>NC_000008.11:10102976-10407457 GCF_000001405.40 Homo sapiens | reverse complement strand
CAGTTCATCCAGAATGGTTCACAAATCCACCTCCACCCTCATCGCCACCTCTAAGGCTCAGCCATCACCCACCTTTGTCTGGACTGCTGCCACAACCCTCCACCTGCCCTTACTGACTCATGTCATGACCCTAAAATCTACCTCACCCTGCCCAGGACCCAGGGGAGCTGATGAAAGTCTGATGGTGAGAACGTGGGCGTTTCACATCCACCTCTGGTTGTGAGATGCCAGTTCTTGTTCATCACATTTGCAAGAACACAAAGAAAATGTCACATAGTCTAGGCTGGGCATGGTGGCTTCTGCCTACACTCCCAGCACTTTAGAAGGCCGAGGCGGGAAGATCACTTGAGTCCCGGAGTTCAAGATCAGCCTGGGTAACACAGTGAACCTCACCTCCACAAAAAATAAAAAAATTAGCCAAGTGTGGTGACACACACCTGTGGCCTCAGCTATTTGGGAGACCGAGATGGAAGGATTACATGAGCCCAGAAGGCTGAGGCCACAGGGAGCCCAGAAGATCAAGGCCACAGGCAGCTGAGATCATGCCACTGCACTCTAGCCTGGTTGAGAGAGTGAGGCCTGTTTCAAAAAAGAGAAGATCACGTCTGACAAGGCAAGACTCAGGGCCATCCTAGCATGGGCCTCATCTTGGTTCCTAGGGCCTAGAAAGTGGGCCAAACAACATGACTTTTCAGAAATATGGAAAATTGCACTTTTTGGAGAAATCAAAGGAACAAGCACAGAGCAGGGGAGATATGGCTTATCTGTGAAAACCCACCTTTTGTGTTTGAAAGTAGGTTGTCCGTTTAACTTATGCCAGGAGGGAAAAGAGAGCAACAGACTGGCCAGCACCAAGGAGACGCCTCCAATACACCCAGGACTCTGTGGCCCCCATTCCTGTCTGCACCAACACCCTGGATGTAACCCCCAGCCTGCCTATTCTTGAACATCCCCAACACCCATCTCCCCTTCTTTGCTTTCATTACCTGAAAGGATGCCCCACTTTCCTGCATGACCTTGCTCAAGTCACTTAGCCTTTCTGTACTTGGATTTGCTCATCTCTAAAATGAAAGTGACAATATCATCTTGTAGAAGTAGCTGAAAGGTCACATTCTTCAAGAAGCAAATAGCCTCATTTTCCAGATGAAGAACACAGGTTCAGAGAGGTTAAGGAACTTGCCCAAGGTCACACAGCCCACAAGCTGCCGTGACTGCAAGGGACCTCCCTCAGCCCACCACGGTAGACTTTCTGCGAGACCACTGCTGTGAACACACACTCTCTCCCGCCACTGCCCGACACAAGTGTGTGAGCCTGGGAGTCGGATACAGGGAGAGTCACGCTTCTCCCCTTACTGGGAAAGAGCAGGAAATAAACTCTTTAGTTCCCACTAATGGGTTCTGACCCCATCAGCTCATGGAAAGCACACTCACTGCAGGCAGCCCTACCCTGGAGGACAGATGGTGAATAGCCAGTCTCAGTCTCCTCTGCCCCTCGTGATCCATCACATGTGTGTGTGTGAGCACATGTGAGCATGTGTGTGTGCACTGTGAGTACAGCGTGTATGTGAACATGTGTGAATATTGTGTATGTGTGAGTACATGGGTGTGTGAGCATGTCTGTGATTACGTGTGAGCACATGGGTGTACGCGAGCATGTGTGTATGTGATTACATGTGTGAGCACATAGGTGTGTGTGAGCACATGGGTGTGTGTGAACACACGTGTGTGATTGTGTGTGTGAGCACATGGTTGTGTATGCATTCTTCCTCCAAGGTCATCTCCAAGCCTCACCTCTCTGCTCCCACTCCCATCACTCACTCTGGCACTCTGATCAGCATCCAGTGGTAAAGGTCTACCCTAAATAGTTATGGATATGGGGTCCTTAGTAGTCCAAGTTCCAGAGAAAGGAAAGTGACAGCTGAGGTGTCAGGGTAAAAAGAAGGAAAAAAAAATGCCGGGCATGTAACTCACATTTTATTCTCTCTCTCTCTTTAAGAATCTGGCAGAGAGCTCATCTTCCTTCTGCCATGATGGAACAGCAGTGACTTGGCGACCATCTCGCGCCAGATGTCCCCTCATCTGGCTGTCTTGGCTGGGTGGTGGTTTGGAATGAGCTGCCCAAACATGGAGGGAGGGGCAGGTGCTCCGGCAGGGCGATGGGTGGCCGAGCTGGGTGGCCTGGCAATACTCTGATCCTGCAGCTGCAGCTCCCCACCTAGGCACAGGGTTGACAGAGGGGAGAGGCACTCTCTCCCAGAGGGAGGCTGGGCTCAGTGACCTGGCACATGGTCACTGTGGCATAGACATGTCTTGCTATTTTGTGAAGAGAACAGGCTTCCGGTGCACTTGGGCTCTCATGGACACTGGAGCGGTGGCCACGAGTCTCTCCTGTCCGACATCCACCAGACCACACTCCGGGAAACAGATGAGAGGGAGCACAGGGTGGCCCAGGCCCCACATCTGGAGCCTGTGACTGTGGCCTAAGGCAGCTCGGCCATCGTGGGTTCTGTCCAGGCCAAGCCCAAAGCCATCGTGGGGAGCAGTGGGTGCACAGCTGTGCCGCTTACCACACACACTAGCAAGGAGACTGGGGAGGATGCCGTGCTTGGGAAGTGGGACACGCCACATCCATGGTCTGGCGGCCAAAAATGGAAGGGTCCCAGTGAGGTGGGTGGCCTGGGGGAAATGGGCCTGCGACTCTGGAATAAGCCCTCTGGCTGCCCCTGAAACCCCAGGCAGGTGCCACGAGAAGGCACGGAGGGCCGGGCTGTGTTTGTGTACACATCAGTGTGTGCGAGGGAGGGCGGCGCGGCAGCACAGCCTGCCAGCAAGCCCATTTTGGTCACCATCTGCCATGGAGAGCCCGCGCACCTGTCAGAAGCAGCTGCTGACGGCAGATCGTAGGTGAGGGAGGGAGCGGCCGCCCGGGATGGCCTATTGCAGGAGCGAGGGCCACCCCGCAGGAATGCCAACTGTTCACTTTGAAGCCATCCACGTGGGCGGGCGTGATGGATCCCACACCCGCCTGCCCCTCCCCACGGAGGGTTGGGGGGTGGTGACGGGATCGTCACTTCCCTGCCTCCCTGGCAGCAAGCTTGACTGTCGTTTGTCACGGGGCTGGGGAGAAAGGCATCTAGTGTTGTCAGGAAAAGAAAGATTCCAGGGGGACGCTTCTCTGGAGGTGGGAGCCCAGATGCCCCTGGGGAAGGTCCCTGCCTTGCTATTTGTGGAGGAGGAGCAGCACCGTCTCACTTTCCCGGCATTGTGGGGAAATGAGGTGACCTCTCCACGTGGACCAGGGGCCGAGGTGATGCATTGTGACATGCGGAGGGCACCCCCTAGATCCTTTGAAGCATTTTCCGAAGTCTACTTCATCAACATAAAATAAAAGCCTTTTATGTTAATATGATATATAATGACATATAATGAGAAATCTTTCCTACAGTGAGCAACAGTCCCCCGCCCAACACATTTTAATTACGTCATTGTCATCTCTTAAATGCTCATGGGTCACGGCTATTTTATTACTGTATTTCTTTAATCCTCATACAATCCTCTGTGAGTGGTGCGGTCTCATCCCTGTGCACCAGATGGGAAGCCTAGGTCCTGAAGAGGTGAGGCAACTCAGCAGGGACACACGGCCTGGGCATGCAGAGCCAGGACTCACGTCCCGCCCGTCTGCCTCAGCCTGAGCCTGGAAGCCACCGGCATCGCTGCTACATCTTCCCATGTGTGTCTCACACCAGTTTCAACTTTGTAAGGCCTCAGTAGAGCCCACAGTTGTGCAAAGCACCCATGAGCCAGGCCTCTGTGGGCCACAGACACACACGAGGCACAAGCTGGAGACTGTTGGGGAATGCTTTTCCCCACGGGACACCTGATGGCCTGCCTTCCTCTTCAGTGCCGCGGACCACCTTCCCCAGCGAGCACCTCCAGAGCCCCAGCGGCAATTCTCTCGCCCAGGCTCTCTAGTCCCAGCCAGGGCCTAGCCATCCAGGACCCATGAACCTCTCCCTTCCTGTGGCCCTGGAGAAGGGATCCCATCATCCCAGCTTCCAGCAAGTATGGCATGAGCATGTGGAGCTAGGTAAGGCCCGGCACCTGCCTTCCCACACAGCACGACAGGGCTTTTTCTCGTTGGCTGGGTTGATGTCATTTTTCTCCTGGGACATCACTCAGGGAGGCACCTTGCTTCTGAAGCCTTCCCATCTGCCACCCACTCTGCTGAAAGCTGTTTCGTTAGTCTCAGGTGCCAAGTTTCCGGAAGCTTCTCTGGTGCATTTGGAGGGCCTTCTCCAAGCCAGCCCTGGGACATTTTAATCTGTGGCTTATAATTTGTGGGGACTGGTAAACAAGAATCTCAAGCTTCGTACGTGTGAGTGCCTAAAACCAGAGCCAAGACAGGTGTCAAGCATCCTGGCTTTTGTGCATGAACTTGGCTACATAACTTCTGGTTGCTTAGAAGCTGTCTTCTCTTCCAGTTTTCAGATACTCCTTTGGCCATGGCTTCAATGGTAGGCATGGTGTATGTTTCTCAGAAGTAAATGCCTCCAAATAGCAGGAGAATCAGGGTCATTACCCATGTTGGGACCCTTCAGTACAGGGAAAATACAATTTTGTGCTTAAATCTCAAGTCTGGAAAGTCTCCTACTGATTCCACATTGCAAAGCAAATAACTGCAAATACTATGCAAAAGTATCACTGCACTATACTTTTGAGAAGAGCTTGGCCATCTGCAACTAAACCTTCCACCCAAAGGGCATTTCCCAATGCTACTGTGACTGTCTCTGTGTCGGGACAGTTTCTTTCCATTGTGGATACTCCTTCACCTCTCCCTATCCCTCTCCCCGAGCTAGCAGCCATTGTTGGAAATGCGTGCTATAGAGTGCCTGGGCTCCCAGCTGCCTCCAGTGGGCATCTTGGGCTATGGGGGCACTGGATGCTTGCGTCATTGGAATGATCATGCACAAAATGCAGCCTCAGGGCTCCCCTCTCCAGGGAAAACTGTGGGTGAGTGGGAGCTGCAAGTGGAGGAAAGACTTCCAGGCCAGAAAGCAGCTGCTGGCTGTCGAGGAAGAACCACATTTGGCGTTCAGCATCAGAGGCCTGTCACGGTTCTCTGTCCCCTGCCCAGGCAGGAGCTGGAATAGGAGGCCAGGGTCCCTCCAGGGGTAGGCTCAGCCCCCTAGAGAGCTTCTGTCCAGTTTGGGAGCAATACCTTCATAGCCAAATGTTTAGAGGTGGGAGGGGATGAATCCCTGGGTGACAGGCATCGCACAGGGAGTGGACAGGAACCCTCAGCAATGTTCACGATCGAAATGCACTAGGAGAGCTAAGGGAACCCAATGCTCAGGGTCTGCCTGCCTTCCTTTACATTTTTTTCTATTATGGTAAAATATATGTAACATAATATTTACTATTTTAGGCATTGTAAGTATACAATTAAATGCATTAAGTACATTTACAGTGCTGTGCAACCATCACCACTATCCATTTTCAAAAACTGTCATCATCCGACAGAAATTCTTTACCCATTAGATAATAACTCCCCCTTTCCTCAGCCCCTGGGAACCTCTATTCCATTTTCTATCTCTATGAATTTGACTACTCTAGGTCCTCATATAAGAGGAATCATACAGTATTTGTCTTTTTGTAACTGGCTTATTTCATTTAGCTTGATGTCCTCAAGGTTCGCCCATCTGTAGCACATGTCAGAATTTTCTTCCCTTTTCAGGCTGCAGTCCATTGCGTATCTATAAGTCACATTTTTTTTTTACCCATTCATCTGATGACGGGCACTTAAGTTGCTTCCACTTTTTGGCTATTGTAAATAATACTGCTAAGAACACAGGTGTACAGGTTTGAATCCCTGCTTTCAATTCCGCTGGATATATACATAGGCGTGAGATTGCTGCAGGATACAGCAATTCTACGTTTAACTCCTTGAGGAACTGTCTAACTGTTTCCACAGTGGCTGTACCATTTACCATTCCCAGTAGCAATGCACAAGGGTTCCAATTTCTCCACATCCTCACCAACACTTATTATTCTCTGTTTTGTTTTGTTTTGATAATAGCCGTCCTAATGGGTCTGAAGTGGTTTCTCACTGTAGTTTTGATTTGCATTGCCTCAGTGACTCATGATTCTGAGGATCCTTTCACGTGCTTATTAAGCATTTGCATTTCTGCTTTGGAGAAATGTCTATTCAAAGTCCCTTGCCCATTTTTCAAGGGGGTTACTTTCTTTGTGGTTGTTGAGTTGTATGGGTTTTAAAAATATTTTCTGGACATTAATCCCTTATCAGATATATGATTTGCTAACATTTTCTGTGACTCTGTGGGTTGTTTTTTTTTATATTCTTGATAGTGTCCACTGATGTGTAAAAGTTTTTAAATTTGATGAAATCCAATTTCTTTTTTTCTTGTGTTGTCTGTGCTTTTGGTGTCATATCCAAGACACCAGTACCAACTCCATCAGAGATCTGCATTAAATCCATTGCAAATCCAGTGAAGACTTTCCTCTATGTTTTCCTGAGACGGATTTATCGTTTTAGCTCTTATATTTAGGTCTTTGATCCATTTTGAGTTAATTGTTGTGTATGGTGTGAGGTAAGGATCCAGCTTCATTCTTTTAGTTACATTCACTCACAAACCTGGAGATCCAGTTGTCCCAGCACCATCTGTTGAAAAGTCTGTCCTTTCCCCACTGAATGGCTTGGCACTCTTGTCAAAAATCAATTGACCACAGATGTGAGGGTTCAGCCTTCCTGTCTAACACTACCCATTATGCTTCTCCTCCTGCCACCACCTCAGCAACCAGACTCCCCTGAGAGGCTAACAGCCTCCATGCCCTACATCTCTCGGTCAGCTTGTTACAGCCTCAAGGCAGCAGCCCCAGAAAGCAGGTGCACCATCCCAAGTCAGCATGGACCAATATCTGTCTTTGTCCTTTGTCATACCTGTTCTCACTCCTGCTTCTCCTCCCAGCAGTCACATGGGGAGTCAATAGGCTTGATATCCCCAGCCCCAGCTCTCATTCATCCACCGTGTATCTTTCCCTACACACTACACACTACACACACACACACACACACACAGAGCCTGAATAGGTCATAGGCCATGGAGTCCTCCTGACCTTCTCTCTGATTTATTTTTTTCTTGTCTCCTCCCCTCCACCCTCTCCACTGTAACCCAGGCCCTCATCATTTCCCACTCTTAGCCCCTCTCCCTGCCCCAGCCCGATCCCATTCCAGCCTGGCCTCCACAATTCCTCCAGAGTGATCACGTAACATGCAAGTCTGACTTTGTCTCTGCAGCTTAGAGCTTTTCAAAGATTCTCCATTTCTATGACAATGGTTTATCACCTACCTCCCACCTTCACACACACACACCTTTAGAGACACTGAAATGGCTGCTAGTCCCTAAACAATCCATATTCATTTTAACCTTCATGCCTTCCCACATTACCTGCCCCTTGTCAGGAAAGGCCTCACTCCCATGCCTCATCTTATTCTTCCAAAGCGGCTCCAACAGCTCTCCCTTTCTGACAAGTTCCATGCTGCCCCCAAGACCATCCATCTAAAGCAGAGCTGGTGTCCTTCACCTGTGCTGCAAATCCTTGCGGTTTGTTAGTGACAGCAATAACAGCACTAATCAATGCTACAGCCGCCACCATAACCACCTCCACTGCCGTCCATTGCACCCTCCTATGTAGCGCTACCACCATCCATTGCACCCTCCTATATAGGGCTACAGGGAAGCCTATTGTTTTAGGCCATTTTTGTGTTGCTATAAATAAATATCAGAGGCTGGGTAATTTGTAAAGAAAAGAGGTTGAATTGGCTTGTGGTTCTGCTGGCTATATAAGCATGGTGCTGGCATCTGCTCGGCTTCTGGTGAGGCCTCAGGGGGTTTTTACTTATGGCTGAAGGCAAAGTGGTAGCAGGTGCACGGCCAGAGCAGGAACAAAAGAGACCGGAGAGGCACCACACCCTCACGTGAACTAACTGACTGGCAACTCACTCATCACCAAGGAGATGGCGCTAAGCCATTCAGGAGGGATCTGTCCCCTGATCCTATACCTGGCACCAGGCCCACCGCCAACACTGGAGGTCACATTTTAACATGAGTTTTGGAGGAGACAAACATCCAAACCATATCACCTATGGACACTTACTACAGTAGACCATGCTCATTTGCTCTCTTGTCCATTTCTCCCCCTAGACATTGTCAGATCTGAGGATACAGATTGTCCTCTGTTCACCTTTGCACCCAACACGTACCTGGCACACAGCAGGTGCTGATAAATATTTGCTAAATAAAGGAATGAATAACTTCAAGTTCCATCTTTAAAGTTTTGCAGCCTTTGGAAAATTCCATGGTTGAGGCAGCTGCTCCTGTCCTCTGTGCAAATAGGCAGTTTATCAATCCAAAGGCTGGCAGATTTGCTGAGCCGAACCCAGTCCTCGGGCTTTTTCCCAGAGCCGTCCCTCCACTCAAGTGGAAGCTGCATCTGCCTCTCTCGATAGGGGCTTCTGCCAGGAAGCTGGGAGAGGCTCAATGCAGCCCCACCACTCCTAATGCTATTTTCAAAGCAAAATTCAGAAGCAATGGTGATATTTTTTGCTCTTAAGAACAAGACAACTCTTTTGACATAATAAGGTTAAAAAAGAAATGAAAAACCTCGTACTGTTTTTCCTTTCATCTGAATAGAAACAAATCCCCAACCTCCCAGTTCCAGCTGGCAGACCGCTGGACTTTCAGCTTCCAGAAGAAGGAGAGCGGAAAGATCAGGCCTTAGCAGCTGAGAACTTATTTTTGGCTAAGCAGCTGGTGCTAGAATTGCTGGCAGCAGGCAGCATCTCCCCAGCACAGAGCGTGGGGCACCTGCCACTGTCCAGTTCTGGGCACTCTGTTTTTCTGCTGGCACTGACAAGTCCATCTCAGGGCAAAGGCAATCCCAGTAGTCAAGCCCTCTGAGGGACCCCTGCAGGAGAAAACTGTGCTCAGACTTCCACAACGAAGGCTGCAGAACAACTTTGCTGCTGGCCTCAGAGAAGGTCTCTCTCGGCAAGGGACCAGAGGAGCCACCCTGACCTGCTCTAAAGCTGAGCTAGGACCAGTGGGTGGAATTACATAAAGGCAGAATCCAGCCCTTTCACTATGAAGAGAAGCTCCCCCAAATCAGATGTCTCTGATAATGGAATGGCTTACCCCAGAACTGTTCAAACAGGAATTTTCTAAGAGGAATCCCTGGACTGAGCGAAAAGAACTTAACTTCTTAGAGTTGGAAAGGCTACTAGAGAGTCCTTGGGAGTTGATGAATGTTACCATTGTAATTAGTCAACTGGATAGTGGGGTCCCAAATTTTAATAGACTCCAAAGTAGATTTTTACACAAATTTACAAATTTGTCAATATGCTCTAATTAAAGCCAATCTTCTTTACTTGTGCTGAATCAATGCCACCTTTTATATTGGTGATGTTATAGCCCAAGTTCAAGGCTTTTCACATTAACAAGAGAGGGAAGAGGGGCCTCCACCCACTTTTCCCTGCAACAAGCTGTTATAATGGGCTTACTTCCTTACTTCTCCTTTTTTTTGGTAATTTAGAATGACAGGAATAAAAAGTTCTAAAGACTATGAGACTATGAGAAAACAGAATGTTCTTCAAAGAAAGCTCCAATCCAGATATTGAATATTCCAACAACATCTTCATGTTCCACGCAAAATATTTTTACATGGAATTTGAGAGCATGAGAGCATGAATAAGGTAGAAGACGAAATGATTTTCACTTGCAGAGAGTCTTCCAATTCCAAAGCAGACATCACCTGTTAGGTGCCAGGCCCTCTCTTAGCTACCGTCGTGGATGAAGACCAATGAAAGATGTGGCCCCTGCCCTCCAAAGACCTCTGAGAAGCACCCTGAAGCCTGGACCAGTGAACACTCCCAAAGAAGAGCACAGGCTCTGCAAGGCTCATACCCCAGAGCTCTACTCGTTCTGGGCTCTGCAGACCTCTTCCTCTGCCAGGGCCCCCATTTCAGCTCAATGAACTCCCTGCAGGATAACAGGTTCATTCTCTGGCTGCTTTCATTTCAAATGAGCTCAACCCAAGCAACATTTCCTGAGCTCCTACAAAGTACCAGGGTCAATACTAAGGCCTTTGAGGGGTATGATTCAAAGGGAGAAGCTTAAATATTTGCGCACTGGTTTGTTCATACCTCTACTTTGTTCCACAAGCATTAGAGATGGCTCACACAAATAAAACAGGACCAGGGAAATATACATTCTAGCAGAAGGTCAAGCCGGGAGACAAAGGTGAAGCCCACACCTGCGGATCATAGAGTCCTATATAGTTGCTAAAACAAAGGCACAAATTTCACTACAAGGATGAGCAGGACACAGTCTCTGCTCTAAGCTGTCTAGAGATGGAGAACAATCCTTATCCAGGTTCCTGGAGTAAAAAAGCATAGAGTCTGGTACTCAGCGACACTCTGAATGTTCACGGTTTGGAAGCCGACTGATGGCATCGGCACCCAAGAGGTCATGCCTTGGAGCACAGATGTCAAACTGAATAATTCTGGCTGGGAGGCTCAGGGAAGGCTTTACTCAACAGATCTCGCGTAAGGGCCATACCCCAGACCATCGGCTTTACTGGGCTTGGGCAATTTCATTCACTTAACAATCTTGAGGTTCCAAATCAAGGTATGGTCTTACTGGGAGGAAAAACAGAAACAGAAGAGAAGGAAGTGGAAACATTTCTAAGGGCAGTTCCCTTGGGGAAAGAGACAAGATTATTCAACAGCCACACGTATGTCATCCTTCCAGAAAGTTCTGATTGAGAAACTGTCTTCAACCCACACTAGAAGTCCTTACATTTTAAGGCAATCTAAAACTTCAATCATTCCTAAGGGGTTTAATAGCCAGGACACACTTTCACAGGATCACAATCCAAGTTCTCAGTGCAGAATCTTCAAAAATCCATTTTCTATCTCATTTTTGCCATAACATTTCTCTGGTTTTCTTCCCAGTGGCATTTTCCTTTGATGATATAGACTTTTATCATACCGAAGCCCCCCAAATGGAGGAAAATGAGACGTTATTAAAATGTTACATATTCCTTCATAGCTCTTCCCACTCAGTGTGTAAATAAAAAAGAAGTAAGGAGGGGAGAGGATGTTGGAGAGGAAGAGACAGTGCACCTGAGAACGGCAGCAGTGGCTGAGTGCAGGAAACGCTTCTTCCTGGAGGCCTGGCCTTGTACCAAGGACAAAGATCATCAATAACAGCAGCAGCACGGAAAGTGGCCCCAGTAAACAAGAATAAACAACTCCACACAGGCAAAGAAGGAGGGGGATCAGGCCTGAGAGATGAAAAGGTGCCTCTAAGGGCCCTTGTGGGAAGGGGAGAAGGGAGGGAGCTGCCTTAGAGATGGGCAATTCCAACAGAAATGGAGCCATACCAAGTGTTAGACAAGAGACTGCCCACTTGAGCTTGACTGCACTTGTAGGGCCGTGCAAAGATTGGTAGAAACTGGAACCTTTGTGAATTGCCATTTCTGATTTCAGCTTTTGTACAGAAGGGGGATGTGTGCCTAGGAGCACCATTTTATATTTTTATTAAAGATATGTGCCTCTGAAACCCACAGAAGATGGGACATCTGTAGCTTTGAGGACGTACGCAGGTTTCATTGGACTTCAGGGAGGGTTTCCCAGTGTCTGGTGCTGAAAGGTACTTTCTGTAGCTAGGATGAACCCAGGGTCAATGGATGTGCAGACATTCTCAGCATTTCATTATAAACAGAGGAGTGATGACAAAAACTGTTCGCATGCCAAGCTGAGATGACTCATTCATGATGCTGCCTGGACTTCTGCAAGAGCCTTCAAACTCCTCGAACATCAGTGCCTGCTTCCTCAGCTCCATCCATCTGGCCTCTGCTAGACTGATTTTTCTAAAATACATCTGTGGCCATGTCATTCTCCTGCTCAAAAATACAGCTAAATGTTTCTTCCATATTTTGGCCTCAACCAAACTTTCCAGCCTCAGTACCTCCACTCCCTACTCTCTTTCTACACACATCCTATAATCCCCTTAGTGAACATGGCGGTTCACAGACTCATACGTATTTAGGTCATCCCTTCTCCCTATAAGGCATTGCCTCTCCCTTACCCACTGCAGCCCTTTGCAATGTGTGTGTGCACGTATGCACACACACATGCTTCCACTGCTTGTTAAAAACCCTACACATCTTTCAAAGCACACTCTTAAATAGGACCATGCTCTGCAAAGTCTTCCCCCCGGCCACCAAAAGCTAGGCTCCAACGCTTCCTCCTGCGTGTTCCTAAACCATCCTGAGCTCATCTTTCCTGCTACGCTTACACACAGGTGACTGTGTGTGTTGGCTTCTGCCACTTGGTCGGAAGCCAACTAGAGGACAGGGACTGAGTTGAAATCATTTGTATAGGTCCCACTGCTCACATATCCAAGTGTCAAAGGCAATATCATCAACATCGAAGAGACTCAGTTCATATGTGGATTGAACTGAATGGAAATATAACTGTAGGTCACTGATTTACAATCAATAAGCATGGACAATCTTGAAAGAAATCTGAATCCAAGGCAGACAAGTAGCCATCATGATACTGGGTGGAGGTGGGACAAGCCAACTCCTTCCCATTTGTGCCTCCTAGTGTCTTGCTAACCAAAGTGTTCAGAAAGCAGCTGATACAATCTGCTGGGGCAGAGTGCAGAAGGGAAGCAGGACCTGTTTCCTGAGCACAGCGGAAGCGTGGCTTTGGGTTTGGTGCCTTCTCTCAGCAGCTGTGACTGCAGGTAAGTTCCACAGCTGTTCTGAGCCTTGGTTTTCCCATCTTTGAAATGGATGTGAGAATTCTGTCAATCTGACAGAGCTGCTCAGGGAATCAAGTGAGATGATATAGAGAAAAGGGCTGTCAGAACTGAAAATGAGCTAGTCAAATGAGAAAACGTGTGCAATTATTTTGTAAATCCTATTGTGATAAGCAGATTTTCATCTTTGATACAACATTAATTCCCTTTATTGGACTATATAAAGAAAAGCTGGGGTGGGGTGGCTAGGGAACTCTGTTTATGGCTTGACACCCTGTGTGGTAGGATCTGGTACACTGCTACAGTGTATTTGAAAATACAAACTATCGTCGCTGGGGACTACAGGGTTCTGGCTGCCAAAAGTACAGATGCATAGTATTAACTTTGGTTTCGCTACAATAAAAACATTGAATGGCCCCTTTTGGTTTTGGAAAGATCAATGAGAAAAACTCATCACAATGAGGACGTCGAAGAGACTGGTAAAATATTTAAATGTCATTACAAATATACAAGACGCAGATGCCGTCTAGCTCATAGTTCCTGTCGCTCTCTAGAGACCCAAAGTTAACACTGGTCATGTTGTCTTAGGGTCTCTTCCATCTGCCCTCTAATTGGCCACAGATTGCAGAAAGCTTACAACACACAAGGCCTGGGGGATGGCTGTGTGATCACCAAATATCCCGTGCCTGCAGACCATACAGTTATACACATAGTATCTTCATGCCAACCCTATGCATGTACATGCACAAAGCCTGAATAGTGACCATGTAGGTGTGCACACGTGGTGCACAGGGGATAGTCACAAAACTGTCTCAATTCAATGCATGCTCACCTATTAGCCATGTAACTGTACCTGTATAACAACCACGTGCTGACTCCATTACTTGGGGCACAAGCTGCCCGTGTGCAGGTCATAAACTATACAAGACATACGGATGCTAGGCAGTCCTGATTGCCCACATTTTCCGCGCTATAATCACATGCACAGAAGACTCCCAGGCTAGCCATACAACTAGGTATCCCATGTTGATATGGCTGCCAGGCAGCCGTCCAGCTGCAATACCTGGGCACCAGTCACAACACCATGCCTACACGGTGCCCAGCAAACACCGTCACATGCTGACGCTGTGTCAGCCATAGAATGTTTGTGCCAATTTCCTTCAAGATGGCATCCTTATTGCCTAGAATATAGGCCCGTTTTCCCTAAAAGTAAAAAAATCCCTCTCAGCCTCCCAGCAGGATTTGCCGTAATAACTTTGGATTTGAGTCTGAAGACTCTGTTATGGAAAATTCGATGGAAGAATAATGCAGTAAAACATGCCCAGCCAATGGCAAGGAAACAAACCCCCTGGCACCGCATCCACTCTGAAAGCAGAATGGGCTCGTCTCTTCTTCTTACACTGAATAGAAACACGGGGGGCGGGCGGCTGCTTTCTGTTCTCCCCACAATCTCCCCAAGCTCAAGGAGCAGCAGTGGACAAAGTGGTTCTTTTCTCGCAGCATAACTCAGAGATCAGAAACAACAGAACTTTTTTTTTTTTTTTTTTTTTTGAGACGGAGTCTCGCTCAGTCGTCCAGGCTGGAGTGCAGCGGCGCTATCTCGGCTCACTGCAAGCTCCGCCTCCCGGGTTCATGCCATTCTCCTGCCTCAGCCTGCCGAGTAGCTGGGACTATAGGCGCCCGCCATTACTGCCGGCTAATTTTTTTTTTTTTTTTTTTTTTGCATTTTTAGTAGAGACGGGGTTTTACCATGTTAGCCAGAATGGTCTTGATCTCCTGACCTGGTGATACGCCCGTCTCAGCCTCCCAAAGTGCTGGGATTACAGGCGTGAGCCACCACGCCTGGCTGAACATTTTTTTTAGTATGGGAATGCACCTTAGCGATCAGCTAATTTGACCTTCCCAATATCATAGATTTAAAAAAAAAAAAAAGGGCCGAGAGGCCAAGTGATGGTCACAGGCAAATGACAGGATGAGGTGTCTTCATAAAGACATCCTTACCACCAGATTCGGTTTAATGACAGGGTATGCTTGGCTGCTGGGCACATTTCCTGACAACACAAAGAGCATCATCGGCCAGATCCCCAGAGACAGAGGAAGGGGAGAAAGAGCGGAAGGAGCAGCTCTGGGCAGGAGCAGGTTGGAGGGAGGAACCCATAGGGAGAGGGCTGCACTGGACTCAGTGCCCAGCCTTGACACTGACCAGCCACGTCGGCTCAGGGAAGTCACCTTCCCTCTCCTGGACTGAACATGGAGGGAGTCAGCCTCTATGACTCCTTCTAGCCATCACGATCCAAGCTGACTCAGAGCATGTAAGCATTGCTCAATGTTTAAGGAAGCCCTGGCATTTAAGTTCTTAAAATTTAAGAGAGGAGACAGCTGTCCATCCACTGGAGTCTGGCCAGCCCAGATGCCTTCATATGCCCCTGACCTAGTCTAGCAGGTTTCAAGTCCATGTTCATTGCCACACAGAAAGCTCCATTCTCAAGGGCCCCTTCTCTTGTCAGAGATGAGCCTTCCACTAAGAAGCCAGTGGGGGAGGCTGAGGTCCACCAAACCTTCCCACCTCATTTTCTGAGCACTGGGTGGTCAGACAGTGACTTCTTTCAAATATAAGAGTCTGAAGTCTAGGCCTAAAATACCACCTTTTGGAAATTTAGAGACATGTTCCATCCAGAAATGTTTCTGACACTTCCATAGGTCAGGAAATGTTCACTGCATGATCAGCACCATGAAGAAACGTCCCTAGGAAGTGAAATGCGGTATTTAAAAGACACCACCGTCTGCTCACTCATAATTCTGTCTCTGCCCTTCACGTGGGACAAATGAAGCCACAAACAAATAAGGACATGAAATGCTCTTCTTGGACCCTACGGCAGGGCAGACTGGGAAAGCAGGTGGCAGAGCTGTTAGGCGTGCTCGTGTAGAAGAACCGACTCCTAGCCCACGCTCAGCCTCAGGTCAGATGGCCAGTGTGTGGCCCAGGGAACTCACCCAGTATCCTCATCTTGTCACCTGACTGTTGGCTTTATGTGACCTCTGGCAAGTCCTCTTGGGTTCATCAGTAGTAAAATGCCCACAGTTATCCATAAGTGATGAACAATATTTTCATAGTTTTAACTGAAATTATGATTTTGGTTCAATCAGAGAATGCCACAGATACTCACCACAGCTTGCTAAGTCCCAGACAGTGTGCTAGACATTTCATACACATCACAGTGCCTCCCCTATCCAGGGCCAATCTGAAGACTTGTGCCCATTTTCAGATGAAGAAACTCTGACTTAAGTTGCCAAGAGCATTGAATATGTCAGGGGCCAGAGCAGACCTTGAGTCCGGGTCTTCAGCAGGTGTAGCAATGAGAAATAAACCTCTTTTCAAACTAGGTTCACTTGGGGTGTGTGACCAATGACTTAAAGATTTAAGGGGAAGATACAAAAGCCAATGCAAATGAGGTTAACATTTCTATAAAAGTGTTCTTCCAATAGAGTGAGAATATTGACAAGTAAGTCTGGGAAATATTTCTCTCTCTTTTTACTTTTTTGAAGTGCCAGAACGTGAAGTACATTTGAGAATAGGTAGGTTTCTCCCTAAAAACTCAGAGCACAGCACCTTGTGCTGTTTTTTTTTTTTTTCTTTTGAGACAGAGTCTCACTTATCGCCCAGGCTGGAGTGCAGTGGCGCGATCTCGGCTCACTGCAAACTCCACCTCCCGGGTTCACGTCATTCTCCTGCCTCAGCCTCCCGAGTAGGTGGGACTACAGGCGCCTGCCACCGCGCCCAGATAATTTTTTTTTATTTTTAGTAGAGACAGGGTTTCCTTGTGCTGTTTTAACATGTAGTTTAACATCCTTAATGTCTTCGCCTTTGGAATGGAGTCAGTGCCCATCCCCTCATCAGGGTTAAATGAGGTAATACACACAGAAACAATGCGGCACCTGTGATCCAGCAGGCCAGTGCAAAGTCTCTTTTTACTGCTGTGATTTTTACTCTTCCTTGATAAACCTCGAAAAAATGCCCCAAATCATGTGACAATGGGCAGATGTACGACGATTTCACTAGAAGTCTTCATTTTGCTTCCTATCCTGTCATAAATGTGCACAGGATGCCCCTGGCTTCCCGTGGTGGGCGGGGACACGGGTGGGAGTGGGGAGGAAGACTAAGAGGCAAGTGCCAGTGGCCCTCGCAGGGGAGCCTGGGCAGACATGGAGCCTAGGTCAGTGGTTCTCAACTGGCGACCACGCGACTCCAGTTTGGTCATCTGTCCTGGATGCACTCATTACCAGATAACTGCCAGGCTGCCCATTTCGCACAGGAAACACAAGGCCACGCCCATGTGGCCACACAGGGACCCCCTCCTCTCAGGGCTGCCTGCCCCACGGAGGCCCCATCCCCTCAGAGCAGACCCTGTACTGGGCCTGAACATATAGGTGCCGAGCACTCCCCAAGGTACAGAGACTGGCACAGCCTGGATCACCAGGAATACAGAGAGGGGATGTCAGATCTCACGGGGAATGTGGCACAGGTGGCAACAGTGCTGCACCTGCAGAAGGCAGGGCTCTGTGAGACACATGGGGAGTGGGCTCGGGTGAGGCAGAAGCAGAGTCTGACCTGGTACCTGCAGAAGGCAGGGCTCTGTGAGCCATGCAGGGAGTGGGCTCAGGTGGGTCAAAAGCAGAATCTGACCGTTTGGGCCTGAGCGCAGCTCCGTGCACCATGGGCGATTCTGTGAATGACCTTGCATTTCAGGCAACAGTGTGTGGTTGTATACAATGGGACCACTGAAGTCTTCTGAGACTTCTAAAAAAGAAAAAAAAAAAAAAAGAGTAAGTTTCTGGGGAAAAAAAAAAGACTTTAAAAAAAAAAAAAAAAAAGCAAGCTTCTGAAAAACAGTACAGCACCAGGGTGTGGAGGAAGGCCCATGAAGGCAGGACTGGAGAGAGGATGGCAGGGTTCCCTCCGCCCTCTAGGGCAAGGGCAGGAAGCAGGGCCTGCTCCCCGGTGGGTGGGCAGAAGAGAAAAGATGCCTAGGGAAGGAGTCCTGTCAGTGGTTCTCATAACAGCTCCCCTGCCTCATTTTTTGTTAAAAGAATAATTTGATTACTGAAGTAGTAACAAGAAACTTGTAATTGGATGGCAGAACATAACAATGACAAATTAATTTCACAGGGCATTTAGTGCATAACAGCTACGTTTAAAAAATATTGCAAAGGGAAGCGAGTACTTTGGTTGAAGCCTCCCTCACACTGTAACGGCAGTGTTTTATCAAAGCTTCTCACCATGCCTCAAAAATCATCTAAAATCCTTCCTCTAGAACTCTATCACTCCTCCATTCGGAAGATGACTCCGGTGGTTCTCAAGCCTGGCTACAGCTTATTTCAAGTCACCCAGGAAACTTTCAAAAATACAAATGCCAGGGTCCTTTTCCACAGAGAAACACTGACTGGATTGCCTGTGCTGGGGCCCAGGAGTGGGTGAGTGTTTTAACCCATTCATGCCGGAGGTTACGAATTTTTTGTGAAAAATCAGACCTTGGTGATGACCTTGAGCAGTAGGATATAAATAACTCCCACAAGCTTAGCGTTCCAATAATGGAACACTAGGCATAAATATGTCAACAGGCGATTCTCCATACTTCCAGTGCCCTAGTTCAGTGATTCTCAACTGGAGACAAGCTCTTTCCAGGAGACATTCGGTAATGACCAGGGGACATCTTTAGTTGCCACAACCAGGGTAG
This sequence comes from Homo sapiens, assembly GCF_000001405.40. Classification (NCBI taxonomy): domain Eukaryota; kingdom Metazoa; phylum Chordata; class Mammalia; order Primates; family Hominidae; genus Homo; species Homo sapiens. The sequence continues at coordinate 10,388,877 of NC_000008.11, read as the reverse complement.
CAGTGGCAGGGGTGGGTCGCAGGGGAAGCAGCAAGCTAATGGCATCTAGTAGGTCAAACCAGCGATGCCGGTCAACATCCCATCATGCGTAGAACAGCTTCCCCTCCCCCAACACGGAATTATCTGGCTCCAAACGTCAAAAGCCAATGAGAAACCCTGCTCTCATTAAATATGATATTAGCTCCACTTACAAAGAAGGGGTTGGACTGTGTGTGTTCTTTGGAGTCTGAGGTAATGGGAAGAAGCCAGGATTCTGAGCAGGTTTCTTGGCCTCCTGAAGCTTCAGGTTTAGCATCAGAAAAGTGAGAGATCGGATGTCTCCCATCTTGCAGGATTTTTCGAAGCTCACGCAGGAGACCAGAATATGCCACTCTGAAATATGCCTCTTTGGCATGAGGATTATTTTGAGCTGATTATTTTGAGAAACTGCAGACACAGGAGAAGCTCTGAAAACAGAGAAGTTACCCTTTCGTAAGGGAAATTTTACATCTACAGAGAAAATCTGCCCTTCTAAGAGCATCTCCCTCTCTGTACCAGGAAGACGGGGGTGACCTTAAATCACAAGACCCTTATCGAGGGAGAAGGCACAGCCTCAAGTCTGCAACACGAACCTTACACTTGCTTTCTGTAGTTTTCCTGGTCACCTTCCCATAAATTGCCTCCCCCATAACCTTCTTTCTTCATTTCAGCTGAAGAGGGTATTGAAGCCCAAATTCCAGCCACCTCTTTGAATTACTTATCCCTGAGTTTCTCCCATGTACATATGAGATGTACATGTTAATAAACTTCTGTTTGTAAATTTACTTTGTTAATTGTCTTTTGTTACAAGGGCTCCATTGGAGAACCTAGAAGGTGGAGAACAAACTTTTTTTCCCCTCCCCTGTACTACTATGATGTTGGGGCTCAGAGAACAATACCCTAAAATAGGCGGCTTTGGCATGCCAAGCATTTTTGAATTACAGGAAATTGGAAGGCCCTAGAAGCTGCCTGAGAACCAAAGACTTTCTAAACCACCTTGTTTCTCCCCAGAAGTGAAGAAGAAACAAACTTCTTCCCCCGAAAAAAGCAATTGTCTTAAGAGCCCCTCCCTAGGAATCTCACTGAATAACTAGGAAAGATGAACTACAGGAGAAAAGACTAAAAGTCATCACCATGCCCAGACAGGCTTTTTCTGTATTCTTCCAAGAGCAGCTCCGAGACATTACTTGGGAGACTTTATCTGCATGATGAGACAATCTTTGTCTGCAGTGAACTTGCACCCCTCACCTTCCCACAATCCACCAGCGCTAAGAAGAACTCTGACTCAGGCCACTGTCTGTTCTTTGGGCTCATTCATTTCTCCTAAGAATCATTTACCACCCCCTCAAAACTGCCTACATCTCTTTCCCCCATGAAAATGGTCTTTAAGCCTCAACTCCCTGACCCTTCTTAGAGTCTCATAGTTTGTATGGCTCCCGTGCACAATTGCACATTAATACATGGGTATGCCTTTTCTCCTGTTGATTTCTGTTCAGTTTATTTCAGCAGATTCAAACCTTCAAGGGGGAAAAAAATTCCCTTCACCCCTAAAATGACAACTATTCACACATTTGCTCTGTTTTACCTGCTTCCTTGAACATTATAGAACTGTTCAAATAGAGATTTTGTGACATCGATCATGTTACTCAGGAGGTGGAGAGAGGTTAAATCTCAATGATCTGTCACATGTAGCAGTGCAGTCACGGATCCTCTAGCCTCACTACTGGAAGTGTGGTCGAGCCGTGCAGGCAGCAGGCAGCAGGCAGCAGCAGCAGCTGCCTCTGGAGCTTGTCAGAAATGCAGAAGCTCAGGCCCCACCCTGGACCTGCTGAGTTGGAATCTGTACTTTAACATGACCCCAGGTGTTCTGCACGCACATCAATATTTGACAGGCACTGCTCCACCAGCTGCAGTTCAGCCGATCCCATGCCTTTGGGGCTAATTTTTCTGAAGACTCTTGGAGACTGTTTTTTTTTTTTTTTTTTTTAAATAATCCACTCTGAAGAAGAGTCTCCTCAAAGGGTTCGAATCCCATTTTTCCCGGAGGAGGAATCCCTAGTTCAGCAATCTAAAGCCAAATGCATTCATCCCTCATTTTTAGAAGTAGAACCCATCACCTGTGCAGGCTAAATTAGACCAGTGGTTTTCAAAGTGTGATCCTGGGATCAGCAGCATCACCTGGGAGCTTGTTAGACATGCCTATTTTGGGACCGCAGTCCTGCTGAATCAGAAGCTCCAGGTAAGGCCCAACAATTGTGTCTTGGCAAGCTCTGACGGCGCTTGCAACTCATGCTGAAGTTTGAGAACCACTGGAAAAGACCATATATAGCCTTTACAAACACAGATTTGAAGGTTCACGGCCTTGAAATACCTTTCCTCTGTTGTTAGACTGCTTTGTCTATGATGTCAATGATGCTCCAGTGAACATCATCATATAAAAACCTTCCCTTCCCTCCTGCTTCAGGTATATCTGTTCATCACCCCTGCCCCATTCCTTAGGTGTTTTCAACATCTTCCTAACGTCTGATCAGAGAAAATTATCTGGTGTGAAACTAATATGGGACAGCGGAAGAGTCTGGAATCAGACCTAGATTCCAATGTTTCTTCCACTTGGCTACACAATTTTGGGAGAATCGTTTCCCCTCTCCGAGGTCCAGCTTCTGTTTGTAAACTGGAATACATATCTCAGAGAACTGCATAAGAATTAAAAGAAATATATTTGTTCATAATTCATTTTAATAAGCAGGCAATGGCACACAGGCACTTCAATGGCCCCTATGTTCAGAAATTTTAAGGGGTATTGACGAGACTGCCATCCATTCCTCCTGCCCTGAAATACTCACAGACAGGGTCTGAATGAATGGGTTATGATGAAGGAAGGGGCGCTATCTCCAGAAAGCCACCTTTTTCTTTCCTGGTGTCTGTGATCGCGTATTGTCCTCCTCTGTCACGACGTATTCTTGGTCACCCAGGCAGTTTCCTCTTCCTGGGCTCTCTCCACACTGGCGCTATTCTGTCCTTCACCTGCTTTTTTAGGAAGACACCCCACCCCCCACCAGGTGAGTGACAACATCCACAGTTCACTCCCACAGCTGCAGAAACCAGGTAAATGTGGCTATGACACCGGTAGCTCTTCCACCTCCGCCCTGGCCTTAGACCATGACTTCACTGCCTCTTGGAAATCTCCACCTGGACTGCCCAACCAGAACCTCAAATGCCATGTGTCCCCCACTGAACTCTGGGAGCCAGGCCCTCCTAATCTCCTTACCACAGAGTAATCTTTTAAGACCACAGACCTGATCTTCTCACTCCTCTGCCCCTCCTGCCCCAATTGTCAAGGTCAAACCCATCCTGTCCCATCTTTCAGCCCTGCCCTCTGCCCCACATGTGCCACAGGCTTCCACCCGCCATGTACCACCCGTCATTCTGACAGAGTCTCACTTTGACTAAACTCTACTCAGATTCCTTTGAACTCTCTCCTCAACCAGGCCCTAATTTCTAGGCTTCTACCTTTGTCCCTGCGTTGTCCAATTTTAGTAAGAATCCTGTTAAGCTGGTTTAACCTGAATCCCCCCAACTTCAGTATCGAATTGAGTTCCCCATCTGCTGCCATCCCCCAGGTGGTCTGATCACCCTGGCGTGCCATCAGCAGGAATCCTGTTAGGTCACTTTAGCCACAATCCCCCTTACTCCTGGTGTTTCCCCCATAATTTCCATTCACTGACCTCCATCTCCTGCTCCTTACCTATGAACTCCCACTTGTCCTTTGCATTCGAAGTTGAGCCTGAATTCTCTTCCCCACTGCAACACCCTATGCAGCAGCTCCCCTGAATCATTTTATTTTTCCTTTTTTTTTCGGAGACAGGGTTTTGCTCTGTCACCCAGGCTGGAGTGCAGTGGCCCAATCACGGCTTACTGTAGCCTCAACCTCCTCGGCTCAAGTGATCCTTCTGGCTCAGCTTCCTGAGCAACTGGGGCTGCAGGTATGCGCTACAACACCCAGCTAATTTTTTTTGGAGACAAAGAGTTTTGCTCTGTTGTCCAAGCTGGTCTCAAACTCCTGTCCTCAAGGGATCTGCCCACCTCAGCCTCTCAAACTGCTAGGATTTCAGGCATGAACCACCATGCCTGGCCATTTTATTTTTTCTTTAACAGTTCTCCAAATAGGACTCCAATCTGAGTCCTTCCGCTAGTGCAACAGTTCTCAGCCCTGGCTGCACCCTGAAAACACCTGGAAGCTTCCAGAAATACCTACTCGTGCCTGTGTCCCTGTTGAGACCAGCTCAGTGTCAGAATGTGGGTGAAAGAGTTTTCAAACCGCCACTGGTTATTCCAATGAGCAGCCAGAGTTGAGAACCTGTGACCTGGACATCGTCCTCGTTCTCCACCAGGAGAGAGAAAGACATCCTGCCATCCTGCGGAGCTACCTCAAGAGGCTTCGTGTGGCCCAGACCACCATCAGGGCTTTATTGACACTGGTCTGTCGATATCTGCTCCAAAGGCAGGAGCTCTGGCTTTTCATTCTTTGCATTCCTAGCACAGGCAGAGTGTCTGACAGCATCTCTCAATGGATTTGACGGCGTCAGAGCAAGCAGGCTGGGGTACAGGGAGATGCTCCTATTTCAAGGCAGGTGGTTGCTATTTCTCCCCATCTCTAAGGGCGCAGGAGGAATCATGGCATAGTTGTCCAGGTGGCAAAGCCCTATACGTCACCCGTCAGGCTCTTCTAATTTAAGGTACAAGCTCTGGGCACATAGCTGGCCTGAAACTGGCAGCTAAATGTCACAGTATTTTACTGTATGGCTTCACAGAGCAAGGGGGCTCCAGAGTCACGGATTTCGGGGTGACTCTCAGCTCTGCAGGCATCAGAACGTGAATGTGGCTGCAGCCCTCACCCTCTGAGCCCCTGGGAAAGCAGTGGGGATGAGCGTATGAGGAATGTCCTGGATGTTCTTCCCGTCCCTAATATCCTTTGACGCTCTCACAAACAAAATAAAAATGCTCTGTCTTTAGCTGTGCTCAAGTGAAGCAGAAGTCCCCAAAATGAAGGTGACAGCAAGCAGGAAGGAAATTCACAAAGGCCATGTGCTCAAAGCACCCTACAGTTTCCCAATGCAGCACTGGGCTTTGTCCATGTAGATTAAGGAAAGGAAAGCGATCCGATTTGGGGTAGGCAGAAGAATAATTCCAATCCCGCTTCCTGGAATAAGGTACTTTAAATTCCTTTTCACTTCAAGGTGTCTAATATGGTTTCCAAAACATTTTTACAAATGTCAAACTCACCGTCAACCTGAAACCACCTGGAAAAAAAAAATAACTGACAGGCAGCTAAATTAAGGAGCTACAATTTTGCTGAAGTGTTCCAGCAACCTTTTAAGCCGCAGGAACCAAATTGAAACTACTTCACTAGAGCTCAGAAGCTGCTTGAGTTAGAATAGGCCACAAAACCGTCTCTCCTTCACACACAGAAACACACAACACACACGCTTTGAAACTGACCCTGTGCGAGGTGAACCGGAACCTCTTCTCATTGCAGGACCCCATGCACCCCACTTTGCATGCTGACATTCAGATGCTTTGGCAAAGTCCTCTCCTGCCACCACCTGTGACCCCCATCTCACACAGGAGCTCCTGTGGAAGCCTGCACATTGCCCTCTGCCCCTGCAGCCTTCTTGCCCTTCCAGATGGCAGCAGAGTTGGCTGGCACCCTTCATGGGACAGTCCTGACTCTGCCATCAACTGGATCTATGATCCTGAGCCTCAGATGTTTACCCAAGGGTCAGGTGGGTGAACACAGCATTCTCTCATGCCTGTTTCCGATCTTTAGGGAAGCCCCTACCTCTTGCCCATTTCAAAAGTGATGGTCCAGGGATTGTCCTCTCACATCCAGCACTGCAGGAGAAGATGAAAGTTTCAAAGAGGAAACCACATTCAGGAAGATGAAGACCTGAAAGGGAGCTGGCGGTGGAGGGTGAAGAGTATTATCTAAGGTGGACCAGGAACCGTCAGGGGCAGAGACTGGGTGATTTCAAGCTGCAACACCAGCTAGTTAGTGGCAGAGTGGGACCTCTTCCCAGCACAGCCTTGTCCTTCCATGACTAAGGAGAAGAGTCCAGAAATGCCATTCTTGCCCCTGAATGACCTTTAGCCCATTCGAGTCCTTTGTCCTCTGCTAACTCTGAATGCAGAGATGAGGTGTTTGCCTCAGTAACTGTAGTTGGTGGACCCTTAACACTTGTTGGCCAGGTTTTCATGAGATGCCTTGGCAAAGCCCTCTCCTGGCACCACCTTTACAACTCTAGTTCAGGTCTCCAAATGAGAGGCAGGTGTAGAATGACAGCCTCTGGACATTCTGCAAATAGGGCACTCAAAGCCTGCCTCCTTGCAGGTCAAGATGAGCCCCAACACCAGCTGCTAGAGGGACCTTTCCACCAAATGCAGTACAAGGGCGACTCTGGGTACAGGTGTCTCTTCCAGCAGTGTGGGTTGGGAGATGAAGACCATGATCATGGCTAGGGGTTTTCCTCCTAAAGATTCAAGAGAGCCGCAGTGCAGGAGGGTATCTGAGGGCAGGGCCATCTTCAAGCCTGAAGGCTCCTGGGCTGCTGGGCCTGCTGGAGGCCTTGGAAGAGCAGCCATAAGAGGGAAGCCAGCAGCCTCATCTGCTGAAACTAACACAAACAACTGCAGCTCAACCACAGCCAAAGGCCTGCAGCTGCAACAGCCTTGCCCAGTCCAGCGGTCACTGGGGGCAGTAGAGCTTCTAGAAAGCCACTTAACTTCACTGGGACTCAGTTTCCTCACCTGTACTGGGCAGGAGAACCTTGTACCACGCAGAAAGAAATGGCTTAGCATTACTATTCTCCAATCACATATTACTTCTTCCAATACGTACTACTCATGATTTGTCCTCTGGAAGTCTGCTCTTGACATGCCTCTAATCCCCTGGGGTCCCAAGAGTGGCAGGTGCCTGAGGTGGGGCAGGGAACAGATCACCCAGGGTGATTTTTCCAGTCCCTAAAGATGGCAGTGACTTCAGGTGTCATTGTTACAGCTCCTTGATCTCCACGGAAGCAAAGGTCTCATCAGCTTCCTGAGGGTCTGCCCTGATTCTGCTTTAGCACTGTCATTGGGGCAGCACCTATTACCCCTGACATTATGGGGCAGTAGGGAAAAGTGCTCCATCCTGTGGGTCAGTCTAGCAACTCCTGAAAGAATGCCAGAACCTAGAGCCCCACCCACAAGGTTTGAGGGCATGTGTGTTCGTTCCCACCTCTACCAGCCTAGTCTCCAGGACAGCAGATGGATTTGACTCCATTGTGAAGGGTGATGGAAACTCACTGGGGAGGGGCCCGTAGGGTACACCCAGCTCCAGCATCTAGGCCTCATAAGTCCCTTCCTCCCAGCTCTTCCCCTGAAATGTTCTGGGGATTCTGCTCTTCAGGACATGTCCTTTCTGAGGTCCTGGGGATTAGCCCTAAACCAAAAACTTCCTGGCTAATTACTCAGGGTGAAACAAGCAAGAGGAGGTACGGAATGGACTGGTTTATGTTAGGAATAGGGTGGATCAAAGAGAAAAGAAAGGAGAGAAAAATACTGGGATGAGGGTAAAGCTAAAAAGAGGAACATGGGAGAGTGGGTGGTGGGAAGAAGAAAAAGGAGAAAAGGCTGTGTTAGGTAGAGGGTCACAGAGGGGAAAGGTTTGGGAGAGACCACTGGGGAAGTCACTGCCCAGGCACCTCTTCAGAAGCCACAGAAGCATAGGAATAGATATAGGATATCCATCAATCCATCTCTCCACCCATCCATCTTTCCATCATTTATCCATCCATCCATTTTCTATCCATAAACCCATCCATCTATGCATCTCTTCATCCATCCATCCTTCTACCCATCCGTCCATCTATCCATGCCTCCCTCCCACCACCCATCCATCCATCACTCCCCCTCCCTCCAGCCTTCCATCCATCCATCTACCCACCCACCCATCCAGCCATCCAGCCAGCCAGCCAGCATTCCATTCCATCCATCCATCTCTCCACCCAACCCTCCATCCATCCACCCATCTGTCTGTTCATCCATCCATCCATCCAGCCATCCATGTGTCCATGCATCTCCCTCCTTCCATCCATCTCTCCAGTCTTCTATCCATCCATTCAAAAATAATGTATTAAATACTTATTGTGCGCCAAGCATACTACTGGTTTCCAGAGACATAAAGATGAAAAAATGGCCCTCAGTCTAGAAAAGGAAAGAAATTACTAAATGTAACTGCATATTTCTATCTTGGACTGTCCCTGGAAGAGTCCAGAGTCTACTTTGGGCTAACCAGGGTAACTGCCCAGGAAAAGAGGCCACACCATCAGCATTTCTCATAAGTCCCTTGGAATAGCCTTAAAGAAAGAAATTTGAAAAGTGAATTGCAATGATGCTCTCAAAAACGATGAGCCTTCAGCGCCATGGCTCCATCCCACCAAATACAGTGCAGGGAAGGCCCTCTCCAGTTGTCTACCCAAACGCCAGGCCTCCTCCTAACATAGCAGAGCTTGTCCTAGAAAAAGCTTCCAAAGGAGGTGACCCTTCTGGCTGAATCTTAAATCATGAGTAGGAATCATCCAGAGAGATAAAAAGGAAATAAACATTTAGGCAGAGGAAACAGCACATGAAAAGGCAGACGAAACAAAAAACAGGCAAGAGAGAGCAGGGCCCATTCAGGTATGCCTGGGATGTGCAGGAGGAGATGTATAGTAGACAAAGCTGAGGCTAAAGACATAAACCAAGAACAAGATGGACATCAGCACTCTCCACCATTTCTCTTTCACTAGAACTTTCTGTTGTTGATTGTGATTAGGTTGGGTATTCTCTCTAGCTCATTGTAGGCCCACCCTCTCGTATCGTCTGGCCCAATCAGTACTTATGTCACTAATCTGCCCCTTCTAGGCATCTGGCCTGAGTTTGTGGTCCATGAGCCAATAATGATGAACATAGTTTGCTATGTCATGAAGTTCGAATTTTATCCCCAAAGCAACATGGACCCACTGATGGAGCACGCCTGCAGACTGCCACTGGCAGAAGAGATCATGGCCTAAAAGAAACCCTGAGGGTTACCCTAGGCCTGGCCATCCCATACTTAGGAATTTATCCTAACAAAATAATCTTAGTGTTATGTACGTGGCCCCAGAACCATTATAGGTCTTGTCAAAACAAAGGGGCTACCACTAGAGGGTGTGCTGGCCAAGCTGAGTGTCTGGGAGGAGACCAGGGTGCCAGAGGGGAAGAGGGGGGAAGGCGGAGGGGGCATGAGAGGAAGGACTGGCCTTCCTGCTGGGAGACCAGGATGCTCAGGAAATGACCAGACGGAGGGCCTGGCATGGGGCGAGGCCACAGGCTCCAGCCCAGCCTCAGCCCGGGCTCCCCCTCTGCTGACGCCACCTGCGAGTGAAATGAGAAAAGACTCGGGTTCAGAACACTGGGGAGGGCAGGGAACGTTCAGTGGTGATCCATCCCTGCAGATTCTGTATCTGTTCTGGGCTGGCTGGATTTTTTTTTTTTCTTCGTTAAGCAATCTTCTTTGGATCACTTCATGTTGAGGGCTTACAGGGAAGGTTAGGCATTGGGCAGTGGAATTCCCCAAAAGGTGACTTTCCCTGGGCAGACAGGTGACTTTTCCAAAAATGGAAAGTGGCAAGTCACCAAATGCTTATGGACAGGGCAGCCAGGCCATAAAGCCAGTACATTAGGGAGGTGTTCTGCAGTCAATGAAAATGACAAATATGAAGGTTATGAAGCAATGGAAAAGACGCACTAATACTGTTAAGTGAAAAAAAGTCCAACATAAGCATGTCTGCGTAAAAAAATATGCAGGCAAATGGACCAAGGCTGGAAGAGAGATGACAGCAGGTGCTGTGATGGGGCAGTAGGGCTGTGGGTGATTTTTAAGGGCTCTTTTATTGCTAAGTTGGTGTTTTAATAAGATATGGTTTTAAATAAAAGAGGAACACACGTGGTTAGTCTGATGCAGTGGCTCTCACATCTTAGTGTGCCTCAGAACACTTGCAGGGATTTTTAAACATGAATTACTGGGCCTCACCCCCAGGGTATCTGAGCCAGAAGTTCTGGGGTGGAGCCCAAGAATCTGCATTTTTAACAAGTTCCCAGGTGGTGCCAATGGGGACCACATGTTGAGAATCACTGGCTGTTGAATGGCCTCTGTGAAGAAGGGACGCGGAGCTGCTGAGGGGGATGTTAGGAGCCCACGTGGTGAGGCTCTCTCCTGGCCGGGAGATGAAGCCAGCTTGGGTTCTGATGGCCACAGTGAGCCCAGTCTCACCCAGCCTGTTCACCGTCAAAGTCACCAACTCAGCAAGGTCACTGGAGATGCCACCCTGATAGGAAATGCCTCAGTGGTTCACAGAGACTGAGAATTATCACCAGGGGATTAGCCGGCAGCCCTCCTAGTTTCTGGGGTGCCATGGGGCCAGACTGCAGGGCTCCCTAAAGATGTTCCTTGGGGCAGCTGCCCACCCAATGAGTCTCTCACTGGGCAACAGCTTTTCCCTGTGGTCCCTTAGAATCCAGAAGGAACGCAGGCTGCTAGCACCACAGGGACCCAGAGGTGATCTAACTCTAATGTCAGCTTTCTGTGTCAAGGCCCAGAGGGGAGAAGCCACACAGCCAGCCTGTGGCAGAGCTGAGACTAGAATCCAGGGTCCCTGATCCCCATCCACAGCCCTTTCTCCCTGCTTCCGCCCTGTGCCCTCAGGAGTCCACAGAGTTCCTCTGCCAATGTCGAGCCACTGATAAAGACATCTGCTGGCCTGGCCACCCGGGGCCTTTTGCCTTGAGCAGGTGGTGCTGATTAGAAGCTTCTGTTCTGGGGCCAGAGCTCCCAGTGTGGGAGTCACACGCCTGCTGCCATCACCTAAGCTCAAGCGCAGTCCCTCCTGGATCACGGGGGCCTGCACTGCCAGGGAGCTTCCTCCTGGTGAGGCGAGATCTGTGCAAAGTGGATCCCAGCCGGCTGCCCTGGAGACCCACTTGCCTCCACACCCAGCACGTGGCTGTTCACAACCCTCCTCTGAAAGAGTCACTTGCCAGAGGGTGTTTGCCCTGTGAACCCAGCAGAGGTTCCAATCTGATTTTTGAGCCTGAAATCGGGCAGCTGCAGTGCTGTGAAAGACACAGACCGCTTGCTCCCAAGCTCTGGACACGGGGTTCCAGCAGTCTCCGTGAGCCATTTTGGTATTACATCTCACTAGGCAGAGACAAAACCAAAAGTGGAAATTGCAGAGTACACTTCTGGGTAAAAATATGCATACTCCTTACCTCATCCCTCCTAGATGCCCCCGGCTCTCCCATCCACCCATCCACCCAAAGGATATGGCTACAAGAGAAGCTCTGCCTTCTAGCAGAGTCAGTAATTACTATGTAATACACTTTGGCTTATCTGCTAATGGAAAAAGACTGCTACTAGTAATATCAGAGAATCTGGTTCTTTATAAAGCAAACTGTGCCTCAAATCAGAAGTCCCACGTAGATGCTGGCAGAAATCCCCTTAAAGGGGCTTCAGGCCACCTTCCAGTTTGGGATTTTGCCAGGCAAGAATGTCAAATGTAATTAACGTTAAGCCACGCAGGTGAACTGGCCTGGTTTTCACCCTCTGGTTAGTTCCACCTGTACAGCAGGCAAATCGTTCCAAGAAAAACTCGCGATCATTACGTTCAGTGGGACAGAGCACTATCTCCTACCCAGCTGCATAACGTGAATTACTGCTAGAAGTTAGTGCATAACTTTGTAGCCCCATTTCTCAGATGAGGAACCTGAGTCAGATCTAGAAGGCTTCAGTGGCTTACCCGAGGTCACACAACAAAAGAATCTGGGCTAACATTCAGTCCTCTTGATCCCTTCCCCGCTTACACCCTTTTTAAAACAGGGTTCACACAAGCTCTCTTGTTGCCTGACTTCAGTGCAATGATACAGTAAAGAAGGCACCTGCGTATTTATTGTGGCTATGCCCAGGAATACTTGCTTTCACTAGATGAAAATCTCTTTATGAAACCAAACTTTGTATAGTTGTCTTTATATATTCAGCACCTAGCATATCTCAGTTCACTGCATGTGGTCACCGAACACTGGTAGTTCTAAGAGTTGAACTAGATCACTAAAACTGGTTCAAAAACTCCAAAAAAGTTAAAAATAGGATTCCCTTGGGGTTTAACATGCTTAATAGAGGCTACTATTTATTAAGCACTTACTGTGTGTCAGGTAGTATTCTAAGAGCTTTACCTGGAATAAGTTATTTATCATTTACCAAACCCCAGGAGGCAGGTCCTATCATTACCCTTATTGTAGAGATTGGGAAACTGAGGCAAGGCAGAGCAGCAATGTGCCATGCCCAAGATCCAAGCCCAGATAATATCACAGCAGAGCCCATGACCTTAAGATGCTGCTGTCCTGCCTCTAATTAGGTATTTTCTAAATCTGCACTTGATTAAAAATACAGGCGCAGTCCTACAGATGCCTTGCTATTAAGTGAGCCAAATGGCATTTGCTGTTCCTGGCTGCATTGTAGAAGCCAGGGATAGGAGAAGCCTCAAGAAACTTGTCAGAAGTATCAATGCCCTAAGAGACATGTGATCGCCCATGTACAAGTGGTGCTAAATGTTTCCCAAGTGACTTAGCTAAAGGAATGCATTATCCATCTCCTAAGCAACCATGAGCAGCTCAGATTGTCAGAAATGTGAGTCGGCCACCCAGAAAGGGAATTTGCTAAGAGAAGGCTGAACCAAATCAAGCTGCACGAAGACGCAATCTTCCCCAGGCCCTTCAGAGGAAAGTCCTGAACCTGACCGGGGAGGGGAACAGAGTGATTAATAGGAACTCAAGTTAGTAATCACGCCTTCCTCCCCCATCAGAAAGTCCACACAGAAACCTCCAAAGTAGCACTGATCGTATTGACCTAATACTCAATTCCAGTCCAGTGCAAAGAAGTCGGGTCGGGGGAATTCTCTCCTTCAGAGCCACCTAGTCAGGGCAACCAAAGTTACAGAGAAAAGAAATGACCATGACCAGGCATTTGTGTAAAGTCTCGACCACTTGGTTTCAACCCCCGAAGCAAGATGTTGGTCTTTGAGGTGTTGCAGGCACCAGCATGGTGTACCTGTGTGTTTTCCCATTTCCACTGGTGATGCGGTCTCATTATTTACCCAGGAACTGCCATTCTGGACAAGCCAATGCCCAGGAACTTGCTGCTGCTTAGCGAGCATCTCCCTCGAATCCTTGACTCCCTGGCTGGTTGACAGGTTGATAGCTATTGATCAGCTGTTGATAAGGTGCAGCCAGCCCTACCCCTGTTCTTCTCGAGGCACCCACAGGCCACTGGCTCCACAAACATCATTCCACTAGGGGCACGAAGATAGAAGCGTAAGCATATTAATTCAGTTTTGCAAACAAAATTGTGGTCATGCCTCCGATATGAAGGTTCTTCATCTACCTTCAGGGCCAAAGATCCATACCAGCTGTCCTTATGTGGTGTGTAATGCCAACAGCTCCTGATCAGGCTAAGCCTGATAATCAGTCAGACTGCTACCCAGCAGACGCCAGCCTTGTTTCTCCCTAAATGTTTTGGAGATGGGGAGGATGGAAGATGCAAAAAAGATAGGAATAAGTAGGAAGAGGGGGAGCAGATTTGTGGCTGTACAAGTGTGTTATTCCATCTGCACTGCTATAAAGGAATACCTGAGGCTGGGTAATTTATAAAGAAAATAGGTTTTTTGGCTCACGGTTCTGCAGGCTGCACAAGCATAGCACCAGCATCTGTTTGGCTTCTGGTGATGCCTCAGGAAGCTTACAATCATGGCAGAAGGTAAAGGGGAAGCAGGCATATCGCATAGTGAGAGAGGGAGCAAGAGAGAGAGGAGGAGGGTCCAAGCTCTTTTAAGCAACCAGCTCTTGCATGAACTGGGTGAGAACTCCCTTATTACCGTGAGGACAGCACCAAGCCATTCACGAAGCATCTGCCTCCACGAGCCAATGTCTCCTACTAGGCTCCATCTCCAACATCGGAGGTCACATTTCAACATGAGATTTGGAGGGGACAAAACATCCAAACCATATCCAACAAGTCAATCCCAAAGTTTTTTCATCTGTTCAAATGCACAAGAGATTTCAAAGGCAAAATTGAGGGGGAAATGCACGCTAAACTGTCAGACTCTGAATGGTTCATAGCAAAGACCTGGACCACCTACCTCCTGCTAATATAGAGTGGGACACAGGGAAGGCCTACATTGTAATTTCACTTGTCATGTACTATCTGGAAGACCTTGGGCGATTTGTAAAATATTTCTGAGACTTAATTTGTTGTTCTGCAATACTGGACTCATAAGACCTTCCTCATAGTGTTCTTGCGGGACTCATATGCACGGTACCCAGCCTAGGATCTAGCCTGCAGGATGTGCTAGGTTGGTGGCTATTCTTATCACCTCTCCCGTACAGCACCAAGGTCCACAAAGGGGTCTTCCCACTCCCGCTGGTGCAGCCAACCCATCCAATACCACCAGCCCTTGGATTTAGGAGAATCACAGTTTTCTCCTCTAATATCTCTGTCCATAGTCTCAAAATTACATTCTGTAAGTTTACTTCTGTACTTGCTTCTCATAAACTCCACAGGCAAAGTGTTCTGGGACCAAACGGATCGTAGGAATTTGGCCTGGAGAACAAAAGCCCATCAGCTCACTACACTGAACATAAGGCGGCTTGACTTCTCGATCAATCAGCCTAATGGCAGGGGACAATGTCTCCACTGGTGTTTCCTGAGTTTGCATGGAAGCCAGGAACTGGGTGTGCGGTGAGCTGGGGAGGGCGAGCATGGCAGTGAGACATGCATCTGCCCTTGGGTCCAGCCCACAGTCTTTTCATGGGTTCCGAAAGCCCATGGCCATGATATTGACCCCACAGCCAATGCTTCACTTCAGAGATCTGTACAGACACCGCACTTCTCACCTCCTGCACCTGCTCAGAGCCCTCCAGGGGCTCAAC
This sequence comes from Homo sapiens, assembly GCF_000001405.40. Taxonomy (NCBI): domain Eukaryota; kingdom Metazoa; phylum Chordata; class Mammalia; order Primates; family Hominidae; genus Homo; species Homo sapiens. The sequence goes on along the minus strand of NC_000008.11, from coordinate 10,373,823 downwards.
AGCCCACCCTACCAGGTCTAAGCTCCTCTGCTGGGCTCCAAAGTGCGGTCATCATCTGGCCCATTCTCACCTGTCCCACTTGATCTCCCCAGCCCCCCGGCACGTGCCCTCACTCCTGGTGTTGCCCCCTGTGCCTGCAGTCATGCTGGCTTCCTTCCCGGAATCCCCTGCCTCTGGCCCCCATGCAAGCCAACCCTGATCCCCTTCCAGGCCCAGTTCCTGCCCTGCTTCCCCCATGGGGCCCACAAAGGCAGCAACTTAGTGCTGTGTCAAAAGTACCAGTCAGTAGCTGGGCAAGGTAGCTCATGCCTGTCATCCCAGCACTTTCGGAGGCCAAGGCAGGAGGATCAAGGCTTGATAGCCCATGAGTTCAAGGCTGCAGTGAGCAGGGATCGTGCCACCGCACATGCCTGTGCAACACAGCAACACAGCAAGACCCTGTCTCTAAAAAGAGAAAAAAACCACTGGTCAGACAGTCCTGGGTTCAAGCCACATCTCTGAGCTACTGTGGACAATTTACCTAATCTTTCAGTCCTTGGTTGACTATTTGGAAAAATGTCAGTAAAAACAGTACCTATTTCATGAACTGGATGGGGGATTAGACAAGATTTCGCTGGTAAATAATCACTTAGCGGCTGGGCGCGGTGGCTCACGCTTGTAATCCCTACACTTTGGGAGGCCGAAGAGGGTAGATCACCTGAGGTCAGGAGTTTGAGACCAGCCTGGCCAACATGGCAAAACCTCGTCTCTACTAAAAATACAAAAATTAGCTGGTGTGGTAAATGCCATGCCTGTAATCCCAGCTACTTGGGAGGCTGAGGCAGGAGAATCTCTTGAACCTCAGAGGCGGAGGTTGCAATTGGGCCGAGATCGCAGCACTGCACTCCATCCTGGGTGACAGAGCAAGATTCCGCCTCAAATAATAATAATGTTAGTAATAACAACTTAGCAAAGTGCTTAGCACACGCTTAAGCCTATACAGGAAATCCTATTTTTAGCTTTATTGGAGTTTCTAGACTGGTTTTAGTTGTCTATCTTGACTCTTAAACCTTCAAAAATAGTAGCTATTATTTAAATTATTATTCCCTAACCATTCCAACCTTCTATTGCAAATTCCTGGGGGCACCTCCAGTCTGTTTCACATCACTGTTACTCATTATGGTTTTTTCATATCTTAGTTTTGTCTAATTGTAAGCTAACCCCCTTTGTTCAGAAAGAGAGAGGGAGGGAGGTGGGAGGAGATTCATTTCAATTGGATAGTTACCGTTGCTAGGAACACAGTGGTTGTAAAAGTGAGACTCTCTGAGATTTCATTTATTTATCTAGAAATCGGGAAAACAGCACATGCCCTATTTACTCATAACATTACTGAATGGAAATAAAATAAAGTCATATATGCACGAGCATTTTATAACTGCAATACGCTTCACATGCAGAAGGAATCTGTTTCTCTTATTTGTGAGCATTCTGAAAGTAATCTCCATGGAGTTCCCTTGGAAAATGACTCTGAGCACTTTCCGCTCAATGAGGCCTGTGATTGTTATAGTTTATTTCTTAATTCCCAATTGGACCCCTCTGGCTCCTATGGCAATGGCTGCCCAGCAGGGCCAATGACACCCAGCATGAAAGCCCCGAGTAGTGTAGAGGCAAAAGGTGGGAAGGCCCTGCCTGGTGAGAAGAGCTAACGATGCCCTTCCAGAGGCCCCAGTGCTGCCAACACTGCTCTATCATCCCAGACTCAATTGTCATGAGGTGGCAATGACAATCGCTGCAAATGCTTAAGATTATATGGCATCAACAAGCTCGTTCTGCCTGGGGCTCTTTGATCTATCATTCAATCTCATGTGTAGGATGATAAGACTTCTCCTTCCCTACACTTTCTCATGTGTAAGGAAAGACTTCTGGAAATCCCACAAAATCAGAGAGTCAGAGAACCAAACTTGGGCAAACCTTCAGCAAGTGTTGCCAAGTCAACCATGTCCCAAGTCCTGCAAGACATGGAGTCTAAGAACACAAAGATGGATGCGCCACAGTCCTTCCTCTTAGGCACAGCGGAGAAGGCAGACGTGGTTATGCTTGCATGGTAGGAACTGCAACACCACCGACCACAAAGAAGGCAGGCACAGAGGTACTGAGGCAAACAAGGAGCTTCTGGTAGCTAACAGGCGGTAGGTGGAGGGAAAGGACTCTGGAAAACTGTACAGCCTTGCATGCCATGCTAAGGGATCCAAACACTGTCTCTGCTTGATGACCAATGTCTCTTCTTCCTTCCTAACTAGAAAGAATGTTTCTCTTTGCTGCTGTTTACTTTTATGCAGGCAAAAACCTGAGAACGAGAAGTAAACAATTATGTCACCCCTAAAGTGTGGGAACCCTAGAAAGAAGGCTTCTGTCAACCTTGCATGAGTTCTATGTGGGGTCAGGGAAGCTACGGAACGAGGCGCCGGCCGGCACAGGTTTGGGGACTGAGGACACTCTCCCCATGTCCAGCATGAGAGCGCGCTCAGGAAGCAACTTCTCCCATAATATAGGGGTGTTCCTAGTCTTAAAACTGCACCATCTCTAGAGGCCGGGATGGCTCACTACTTCCCTTCTGGCTTTCAAATGCCTGTTGGTACTTACATCCTTCTCGATCTTGTTCCAAAATAACATATCCTAAAAATAACTAAAGAATTAAGCTTTTCCCTAATCATCTATCATGACACTGAGAGCTCTGCACCTTCATCGGGATTGCGGCAGGGGTGCAGTGGGTTAGCATGGTCTGAAAACATCTCCAGGGGATTCGGATGTGCCTAGGGTAAGAATCATTTGCAGAGGGTGGATTTGAATTGTGGCATGCAGACTTGGATCACACTTCAGACACGTCTTCTCATGACCTGCCCACGAGCGTGTGTGACAGCACGTCCCAGAACAAAACGCTGGCGCCTTTTCTCTCCATGGCAACATTGGCACTTATCTGCTCAGATGAATATCCCCAAGCTGACTCATCTGGAAGGAGGACAAATCCACATGGCCAGCCAGGAGCCGACCCACAGGACCTCTTCAGTGAATGCCATGGGGCATCTTTGACAAAGCAGGGCTTCCTCCTTGTCGTTCACTGTGACAGCCTGATATTCCAGGTATGTAACGTGGCCTGGAGGTGGCAAGTACAGGAGAGCAAAGTGGTTGGCCCGAGGGAGAGGTGTTTTACAATTCATCAAAAGGTGGCTCCTCAAGGCGGTGACCAGGACTTTGCTCCCCGTACTCACAGTTCAAGGGATATGGCTGCTGCTCTGCCAGTAATTATTGCTGGATGAATAAATGATTAAATGACAACCAACATTACATTAAAGGACAAGTAGATTTCATAGTTTGTGTGAAATCTGTTTCCTTGGAAGCCTCAGGCACTGGGTCATTCTCTGCCTAACTTGCTATTTCTTCACTGGCCGCCCGTATGCTATGCCACCATGTATAACAAGGATTGCCCTTTGGAGGGACCACTCTTCTCACAGGAAGCAGTACTCTGGTAGTGGGAGAAGCATGGAATAAAGAGGCTAAGGAAGGAATCTAAGTTCACATCCTTCCTTTGCCACTTATTGGTTATGTGATCTTGAGCAAGTCATTTCATTTCTTTGAACATAATGGCTTCCAAATCCATAAAACAAAGGAACTAATGAACCAGGCTTGAGGGAATGAAAATGACATGTGGAAGCATTTTGCAGCTGCAAAACACGAGACAAATGTTGGCTATTATTAAACCAGAAAGCAAAAATGATGGCAAAACAAAAGTTTATAAAGGCAACACTACTACTGAAGATTCAGCATCTAGTTTCTTCTTCAATATGAACAGAACATGCATGCCAAGTGTCCATCAAGGATTTGATGTTAGAACCTTGACTTGTGGTTAGTTATGAACTCATGGTCTCATAACCACATAGGAGAATGAATGAATGATTGTTCCTCTTTTATCTGCTATAAGTTATATAATAGTGCTTTGAAACTTAGAAAACTGATGAATAATTCTCATATGTATTTTTGCTTCTGTGACTGTTTTTAAAGAGTATTTTTTGGATTAACTGGCCCTAATTAAGTTAAATAAATTCTTATGCTATCAATGATGCACAAATAGAATGACTATTAATGAACATTACCTATCCCGTATTAATAATTATTTTAACCTATGCCTCATTTTTAAGTTTTCATCCTAAAATCAAATTTTAATATATTATAAATTTCTATCCTCCTTTTATATTACCTTTTCTTAATCTCTGATGGGAGTTTTAATGCATGAAGCACCACAAGTCAAAAGACAACTAAAGGTCAAAAGATGACAAAGTCTTCACTGGGTGTGACAGTCAGTAACTTACTAAAATCAGTCTCTGTAGATGGCATTTTGTTTGCTCTAATTATATTTCCTTTTGAAATTTCAGTGTTTGATTTCGTTGGGTACTTTGTCTGCAATTAAAGCACTCAACCATTAGGGGGGCAGTAGTGCCAGGATCATGCTATGTTCAAATAAGCTGTCTAGAATGGATGAATAGATTATTTCTTAGCTGAGGAGACAGATAATTTCTTCTTCGTTTTTTTTTTTTTTAAAGAACTCTATGAAAGGAGGCATAATTCAACAGTATTTAAAAGGTCACTTTAGTTTTTAATACTTAATATAATATTGAACAGTTTTGAAACTTAATACTTCATCCTTAAATACTCAGTCACTACTTAATACAACTGTTTTTCTCCAAAAACTGAATGTAGAGTTCATCTCGAACTCATTGTGAATCCTGAGCTTGGATTCTAACACTTATTCTTTTAGCTTTTGGACTTCAGGCCTATTGTTTCAACACACTTGCGGGTGTTGGTCCCTGGTTATCACAGCTGTGCCCTAGAACCACAAGAATTTCATTTTCTTGCTAAGCTCTTGGAGATCAGTAGGGGAGAAGCCTTTGCTTGGTTTTCTGGCTGTTAGATTAGCAAAAGGCCCTTTGGAATTTACTGACCCGTCTCCCAGGCAGAAGGGAAAAGTGACAAGACAGGTACAAGCATGTGCGGGCAGCAAACACTATGAAACTTAATGGAAGAAGTGACATTCACTCTGTCCCTATGTGGTTCCCTTAGTAATGCCTTTAACTCAGGATCAGATACAAACTGTTTTACAACTGCTTTGTTTTAATAAAAGAGCTTTTATCTTTCATTGTGGAACAGTGCATCTTGAAAACAGCATTTGGCCAGAGGGCTAGGCACGGTTTTAAACTTGCATCTAGAGATTCCTTCACTAGAGGCAACCAGGACTGGGACCACCCCACTCCGGTGTTGGCCATGAGTCGCCTCCCGGCCCCTCTGCTGCCTATGGCCAGCAACCTCGGCCCCAGGGCTTCCGCAGATCAACACTCACAGCCCCTGGAAGGAGTCACACTTTCATCTTCTGATTTTGCAAAGGAAGACATCTTTTAGCAAATCAAATGATAGTGCTGCACTCCATCTTATCTGCACATCTTATTCGTGTTTTGTTTCATTTTAAAATAAATTTGGATTCTCCTGATCAGATTTACAAGGCTGGGCAGGGGGAGGCCTTAAAATGACTCACTCTGTAAAAATGCGTTAAAAGTATTTTAAGCTTCAGAAATATATCATCACAGTATGGAATGAACCAAATTTGTAGTCAGAGTGGATGTGTGAAGGTACACTTGTCCCACGATCTGGATCAGCGAGGTACCCTTTCTTTCCATGGCTTCATGACTCATGGTCATTCTGCTGTGCCTGGCTCTGCTGTGGCAGGACACTCATTCCTTCGCGGGGCAGGGAATTCTACCGTCCGGCAGCTCCACTTGCTTGGAAACCCTTCCTGATGGGCTAGCATTGGCCCCATTGCCATCTTCACCCACAAGTCCCCTCCTGTCACCTGGAGTAAGTGAGCACACCCTCTCTGCCACGGACAAACGAGCAGAGTCTTAAAAGCAGCTTTCCCCCCTCACTTGGGCTTCTCAGGCAAACTAGAACGCCTTCCTCATGAGGCCTGCCTCATCCCAGTTACCCTCTTCCAGATGTGCTGTGGGTGAAGGCACTTCAGACTAGCTCCAGTGCTGAGCACAACACACCAGTGGGGTCCAGCCAGCGCCGGAGACAGAGCAATGGGATGCCCGCGATCGGAGCCCTTGCAAGTTCCTATCTGCCTCTGCTACTCACTCGCAGTGTGACATGGGGAAAGTCAACACCTCTGTGCCTTGGTTGGCTCATCACTTCACAGGGCCATTGCTAATAAACTGAATTAAGTGATCTGAGATAAGACCTACAGTGCATGCCTTGTACAGTGACTAGCACACGAGGATGTTCTCCATAACCTGCTAATACGGAAGCCCTCCTTATCCATGAGGGATATGTTCCAAGACCCCCGGTGGATGCTCAAAACCTCAGAGGATATGGGACCCTATATATACTATATTTTTTCGTATACATACCTACCTGTTAAAGTTTTATTTATAAATTAGGCACAGTAAGAGATTATCGCAACACTAATAAAGCAGAAGAATTATCACAATATATTGTAATAAAAGTTATGTGACTGTGGTCTCTCTTTCTGTCTCAAAATATCTTATTGTTCTTACTCACCCATCTTGTGATCTGTCGATCTGATCACCAAGATGTCTTTAAGTGACTAACAGATAGGCAGTGTAGACAGCGTGGATCCACTAGATAAAGGGATGAGTCAGGTCTCAGGACAGATGGAGTGGGACAGTGTGTGATTTCATCAAGCTGCTCAGAACGGCATGCAATTTAAAATGTTCGCATTGTTTATTTCTGGAATTTTCCATTCAATATTTTTGGGCTGCAGTTACCTGACCACAGGTAACTGAAACCACAGAAAGCGAAACGGCGGATAAGGGGAGACTACTTAATTATAAGGCCCAACCGGAACACAACAATATCACAAGACCTCAGGTCAACCCAAGTGGCTTTCACAGAGGCAACAGCGTGGTCTGGCAGCCTTGGGTCTGGTGGTCAGCACAACCAGTTAAGTCCTACGTCATCTCAGCAATTTACTGATTCACTCATGATATTAGCTGAGCACATACTAATGGTGCTCAGAATGAAAAAGATCAGTTAAGACAGCCGCCGACCACGAGGAGTCTAGCAGGATGGACAGACGTCCCCAGCAACGAAGCCTGGCCAGTGTAGCAGGTACTGTTACAGGTACAAGCAGGGGATGCGGGAGCAGGGATGGTGCTGGGGGTGAGAGAACGCTTCCAAAGGGAGATGCCACTCTCTGGCCAAAAACCAAACCAGACCAAAAGATCACCACAGCTCCCATCGCTGACCCTCACATCAAGACCCAGCTGAGCAGGCAGCATGCCTTGACTCCGGAATGTCTGTCAGGGTAATGCTTGCCATTGTCCCCACTGCCGGCTCAAAGAAAATTCCAGAGAGCCTGCACAAGGCCTGGCTCAGGGCCACGCAGTGCCCTGCCCAGCCTGGGGCCCTCGCATCTTCCGAGCTCACACGGGCTTGCCTGTGGCACAGAGTTTCAAACTGTAGGCAGGTGTCTTTGGTATAAATTCAGAGCCCTCTGCTTCCTCTGCCCACTCATAACTTCACACTTTTCCCCAAGCTGCCTTTGCCTGGAACAGCTTCCCTAAACGAAACATGAAGCCTCTTCTCTTTCTCTCTTTCAAAAAATCAGTCTCCTCCGAGCCCATCTGCTCTAGAAAGCCGTCCAGATAAAATGGCTGCTCTTCCCTTTCGACAGGCCACAAGACCAGTAAACATCACAGGCCCCCAGGTGTCCCCAGTCCTGCAGATGGACATCACTTCCTGCCTATCTGTCCTGAAGGAGCAGGGGAATGAGGCAGGCAAGGCTGCTCAGCTTGGCACTAAGGACTGAAGGGGAATGAAGGTCGTCCTGCAGCCCCATTGACTAGTCAAGGCAAGTATGCAGAGGTAGGAAGGGATGGAGAGCAGAACGAGATGCCTGGAGCCAGGAGTCCTGGGTTCACAGCATCGTTCCTCCCTTACCCAGCATGTGACCTTGGCCAGGGTGTTCTACCTCCGAGTGCCTTCACTTTCTCACCTGAGCACCAGGAGGCCTGATGAGAGGAGGCAAAGACAAATCTCCCTTCCCTATAGGCTGGGATTAGGAGGTGATCCCTTCTCCCTGAAACCGGGACAACTGCTCTTCCATCTAGAGTCAGGCAAGTAAAAAGTTAATGTTCTCAGTCTATAAGTAGTTCCTGCTGTTGCAGATAAAATTAAATGGCATGGCTATTTTGGGGGAGAATCAGGTAAAAATGCTGAAAAATAAACTCTCCATCAAATGCTAGTCCCTTCCCCCAACAACGTTCTTTTTTTATACCCATTTGGTATTTGCTTTTAATTCTGGCTGATTGTCAATTTTAAAACCTGATGCATAGAGTGGCTTGCTATTCCGGAGGCGTTATTTTAAGATGAAACAATGTAAATTCTGACTTTGGATGGCAGATGGCTGGCAGTTCACTGTTTGGCAAACCAACTGGTATGGTATGTTGGAAGTTCAGAGCAGCAGGAATGCGGCTCCATTGGAAACCACCACAGATGCTCGGAGGGAGCGGGGGAGGGGTACAAGCTGGTCAGGAAATTAAGAACAGTACTCTGAGCTCAGAGGGGAAAAAAGATGATAATTAGCTGAAAGTTTGCTTCTTCCAGTCTCGACTTTTTTTTTTTTTTTTTTTTTTGGTTGCTTCACAGAAAACCAGGAAGGCCCTTAGAAGTCAGCACAGAGAAAAGCTTCTAATTTTGCTTCCTATCTGTCTGTTTGGCAAAGCTCAGCCTCCATGAGATATTCAAAGGTGGGGACAAAGCAGATAAAGAGAATATCAAATGTGTTATATAAGCGAGAGGTGCAAATGGCAGTGTTAAATAAGGAGCCTAACTCCCAGCTGATTTTTAAGATCAATTAATGAATGATATTTTGGGGAGGAAGGATTCACAGTTTAGGGAAAGACCCACGCACATGAAATTGACAACTCCAATGTTTCTACATCCGGGGATTTCCCAAAACAAAGTCGGAGGGTGGTAATATCTACTGTGCATTTGGATTACAGGCCCAAGACAGTACACGTGATATCTGGCACGCCCATCTGCCGAGGGAATGAACTGTGCCCAAATTCACCCAGCAGTTAAGGTCTGTTCAAAGTCAATGAAGATACACAATGCTTTTCAAGAAGGTCACTCACACTGCAAACCACAAATCGTCAGCCTCCTGTCAAGTGGAATGTAAAAACAACTCATTAGAACAGGAACTCTTGATATTTTTTGGTGTATGAGAATTAGGCTATTTTTCATTTCCTCCAAATTCTCACCATGGCTGGAAGGCAAGTGGGGAAGGTTTTGCTATTGGTCCCACAATTCTCTTCCTTGGGCACTGAAAGTGAACAGGAAGATAAAATGGCCAAGTGTGATGGAGATTCGCCAAGGATGATTTCGAGACACAACAGCATCTCCCAATCTACTCTTGCAGTCAGGGTGCTGTGACACCTTTGACGCCCCAGGAGCCTGTGTTGATGATTCTGCAAAACAGCAACAATTCTATCTGGGTGTTCATGGATGACAGTCTAACCAAATCCAAAGCACCACAGTCCGAAATGACTGAATAACTCATACGGGCAGGGACAATTCAGTTACTATATTGCAATCAGGTGTTCTGGCCAGAACAAGCAGCTAATTCCAATTCTAATTCATAGCATAATTGCTCATCTGGACCTTGAGTAATGAGCAAAGGGTCTCTAGGTTTTTAAATAATCGTTTAAGTGTGTGTGGACCGTTTTCTCTGGCAGAGAACAGGGTAAGGTCTAGAGAAAGGAAACAGTTCTCTCTGACCCCTACTCCCACCCTCAGTTAGGTAAATACATGTGTTCTTCTTTTGTTTTTTGTTTTGTTGTTTTGTTGTTACAGGGTCTTACTTTGTAGCCCAGGCTGGACTGCAGTGGTGCCATCAAGCTCACTGCAGCCTCAACCTCCCAGACTCAAGTCATCCTCCCACCTCAGCCTCCTGAGTAGCTGGGACTACAGGTGGGTGCGCACCACAACAACCAGCTAGTGTGTGTGTGTGTGTGTGTGTGTGTGTGTGTGTGTGTGTGGTGACTGCATCTTGCTTGGTTGCCCAGGTTGGTCTCAAACTCCTGGGTTCAAGTGATCCACCCACCCCTGTGTGTTCTTCCTTTCAGTAAACATTTAGGACCTGTGAGGCACAGTTCTCAGCACTGGGGGCCCTGAAGGTTACGCAGATGTAGATCCTGCCCTAAAGAGCTTTACAGGCTAAGGGGACTACTAAGGTGAGAATATACATCGTCATGCTACAAGACAGGCACGGTAGGGCCTGGAGGGAAGATATGGATCACGTGCTAAGGGAACTCCCACTTCCTAGCTCCTCCAAGAGGTGCTGTGTCTGCGCAGGTAAATTTGGACGGGAGGTCCCCACCCAGTCTGACGGGTTCCTTGCACATGCCAGGTTGGCCCTGTGAGTCACGGAAGGAATAGTGTTTCCAGCCATTCCTTTTATCTCATGGGCCGGAAAAGCACGCCTGACATGGCCATATTCCCTCCCTGGCCAGTTGCCAAAGAACTTGGTTCAAAGGCCTGAGAAGGAGCTGGATCAGGATCGCTCTCCCAGCTGGAAAATGAACTAGCAACTGCAGGGCTTCAAGTACCCAAGGACCTGAAGACAAAGGAACCTACGGAGAAAGGCTGAAAGTGCTAGAAGAGTGGACATTTCTGGGGGGAAAATGTTTTGCTCACCAACCACCAAATGGGAACCACACCAGTGACTGAGGCTGGCGAGGGTCACTGAATACATTTCTTATGAGTGTTCTTAACACCAAATGAATCAAAAAAATTGTTCCCCAAGATGCTGCAAAAACAGCACGTCCTTCTGTTGTTTCACAAATGACATTTAAGCAGTTGAGTGTATTAGGGAGGGAGGCAGGGGCAGGAACAAGAGCAGGAGAGCTGGGGCCAGGAGGGAAGGAGGAAGTCAGGGGCAGCTCCCGGTGGCGCGGGCAGTTGCGTTTGAAAACCGACAAAGAGGAAAAAGGCAGGGACTAACGGCCAGGAAGGAAATCAGGACCAGCAGGCAGCTCGAGCTTGATTTTTCAGCCTCCAGAGCAACAATTTGCAAAAGGGTCCTCATCTGAGACCTCCTTTCTCTTGGGAGAAATTGGTGGGGGAGCAGGGACAACGGGTCTCCCTGTGGACCCTGGACTCTAGGGGGACTGCTTGGAGAGAAAACAGTGGAGGCCTAGGAAACTCAGAAAGGGGATGGAGCAAAGAGATGTCTCAGTGGCCTCCCCTCCCATGCCCAGTTCCACCACCCACAGCCTTAAATATACAAGCCCACTTTTTTTTTTTTTTTTTTTTTGCTTATGGTATGACTTTGGGTGGGAATTTCTGATTTAGTGGCTGTAGTTAAATTTGTATCAAGAAACGTGTCCTCAACAATGCAGGAGGAGAAAGGGAGGACACTTGCTCATGGGGGCAGGGACAGGAGCAAGCACTAATCACAAAATATTTCTCTTTGGCAAGAGGTCCTGTTTTCATTGACAGGAGTGCTCCTAAGTAAGGACGATATTTCCTGAGCATCTGCACTGGGGCAGGCACTAGGCATGCTGTATAAAGTATGACATTAATACTGCTGCAACTCAGTGGTGCAGAGATTTTTATATCCATTTTACAAGGAGGAAAACTGAGGCTCAGACAAGCCAACGAACTTGCCAAAGTCTCACAGCAAGTGAGGGCAAAGTTGGAATGGGAACCCGGGTCTCTCTCACTCCAGGATTCTTCGTCTGCTTCCTTGGGGCCAAAAGACGAAAACAAAATGAAACAACGACAAGAGAGAGGAGGGAAGGAAGCCTCGCAGATCATGAGAAGGAAACGATTTCCCTTTCCAGGAAATGAGGGGGAAGACAACGGTAAGGAAGAAAAAGTTCAAAACTAAGAAAACCCACAAAACTTTAAAGGATGACAGTACGATGTCAAAAAGTTGAAATTTTAAAACAAATAAGTTAGGAAGACATTTTTTACATTACAAAAGTCATATATATTTATTAAGTGATTTTCTTAAGAGTTACTTTAAGTAGGTGCCTCCTTACATTTAAATAAAAGTCTTTCATTAGAAGTGCTTTCTGTGTTTTGCTTTGTTGTGTTGTGTTTTTGGGAGACAGGAGCTCCTGAGAAGGCAAGCATCTTAAGAGGCCTCCAATGTCTCAAGTATGCTCTCCCAGTAATGGCTTGTGTTTACATCCCGAGTTTGCAGCCTTCAAGAATCCTGGTAAAATGCAAGGACTGGCTTGCACCCCTAAAACCCAGGACGTATGAGTCTTATAGTACTGGGAGAATGCAAAGGGAAGTTACCTATTTCAAAATTTTGCCCAGGGCCACAACCACGTAAAAGTGAGTTACAGCCAAAAATAATGAAAGAAAAGACTTAGAACCCTAAGTCCCAAGCACAAGTCTCCCAAGGAAGAGTTTAATAAACTTCGGAGACAGACCCTAGAGCCTTTTGGTGGAGGCAGATGTAGGCATTATTAATATGACTCATAACTGCTAAGGCAGTCACTGAGCTTGGCTAAATCTTCCCCAACACACTGCATTTCAAAAGGCCTGTTATCTTGGGAAAGGTGGCATTAAGTGTCTCTGGTAATTATGTCTCCAAGAAACAATACTCCTCTCCTCATTAAATGTTTCAGTGGGTGGCCCTGCTGAAGGCAGGAACTTAACCCTGGAGCTGCAGAGCCTGAGAGGGCATGGAAACGGGCCACCAAGGAGTTGTCCAACTCTATCAGCCAAGGTGAGGCTGTTTATCGGGTTGAAAACTGCTTTAATTAGGGACCTAGGCAAAGAAGCAGACAAGTGACTGCTGTATAAATCCCTTTAAGAGATAAAGGTACTGGGAGTCACAGGCTTGCCCAAGTATGTTCCACTCTGGTCTTGCCTTTTTGGAGTGGCAGGCATGAACTCCAAAGCCAGTTCCACATTTGAAACTCATTATCTCCATACACAGGCAGCAGAGAGCCACTCTCCCCCACTAGAGGGTGGACTCCTCCCAGATCTGACCCAGACAGTACATCCCTGTCGCCCAAATGAATATCTTCCAAATAAACTGCAAAAAGGATGTAATACCAAAAGCCCAGAATTGTGCCTGCTTTGGGGCTGGAGTTCAAACCCAGAGTTAGACAGTTTCGTGTATGCTACAAACATTTATCGAATCCATGTTGCACACAGAACAATATGTGAAGTGCCGTCAGACGTTCGGCAAGGGGCCCTGTCTCCCATCAGCTTAAAATCTTGCTGGGGGGCTCTGGGATGATGGCAGCTACAATGAGATCCTTCCAATGTCTCCCAGAAAAATCACACAGATGCACTAAATGCATAAGCAACAACTCACAGACAACATTTACAACAAAACTAGGTGACAAGGTATCCCCAAGAACTCCAAATTACAAGTCCATGAATGAAACCACCAACAACCACAAGGCATGTTTTTTGTTTGTTTTTTGTTCTTTTTTGAGGAAGGGGGCATCTCTGCTAGAGAAAACAGAGGGAAGCAATAGGGCATCTGGTGGACCTGGGCACAAAACACCAAAATATCCAACAAGCATTCCCTGGAAGACACAGACAGCCATTTTGACAACAGTGGCTAACACTGAGAGCAGCTTGGCTCACTCAAGCAGCTTGGCTCACTCCAGCAGCAGCAGCACACGCAAGGGCCTGTGTTACGAGGCCTGGGTGAAGAGGCTGGAGCTGCACTGTCCCCAGGGACTCTCAATGAACATGTCCAGGGCCTCACTGCTGGGAGTGGAATCAAAATTGAGCAGATAGAAATAACAGAGATAAAGGAAGGAGGTTGGCCAGGTAAAAGTGGAGGAGGGGAACAGAAACAGGACATCTCAGAGGGCCAGCTGCACAGTTTTAACACTGTGGGATGCAACAGAAGATGGAACAGTGCTGTAAGGTTAGAAAGTCCACATGACCTACTCCTCCTCCCTCAAACTCAAGACCACTGTTCACGAGAAAAGGCAAACTTTGCAAAAGGGCCTCTGTCTGAGACCGTCCTCCATCTGAGACCATCCTCCATCTGAGATCGTCCTCCATCTGAGACCATCCTCCATCTGAGACCATCCTCCTCTTGGGGGACAAAAGCTTGGTGGCAGCAGTGGAAGGAGTGAAAAGAAGGAGCCTCTCTGTGGCAGTAAATACTCTGGTCAAATTTCATACAAAGCTGAAGAAGGATTAGAAAGAAAACGAAGAGGAGGAGAAGGAGGAAGAGGAGGAGGTGGAGAAGGAGAGGAAAATCCCTACAGATAATGAATGCATGCCAAAAAGATGGACCAAAAAACTATAAAATATGCAGCATATTACTTTAAAATGAACTAAAGGCCTTTAAAAAGTGATATAAGACCTGAAATAATATTAAAACATAATGTCAGAGATGAAAACTAAACTAGAAGGAACATAAAAACCAGTATATAAAACAAAAGCTGTGTAAAGGAAATGGGAGGTGCAAAAGGTATCTTTTTTTAAAATCAAGAAGAAAAGAAAAAAGGTAAGAAGGAACTCAGAGAAAGAGACAAATACTGAGGATGGGCAAAGAAGATCCAATCAATGGAGAAGAGGAGTCTGCTCCTGATAAAGAAAAGCAAGTCAAGGGGACAGAACACTGTTAAAGTACATAACTGAAGACAACTTCCCTGAAATTAAAAGAAATCAAAACTACACGTTGAAAAAGCACATCACATGCTTCACACTATCAATCCATGGACAATTTTTCCATAGACCTGGGGTGGGGATCGGGATGGGGGGATAAGGGAATGTTTTTGGGATCAAACTGTTTCACTTCAGATCATCAGGCGTCAGTTATATTCTCATAAGGAGTGTACAACCTAGATCCCTCACACGTGCAGTTCACAATAGGGTTCCTGCTCCTATAAGAATCTAATGCTGGTGGCTCACGCCTGTAATCCCAGCACTTTGGGAGGCCGAGGCGGGCGGATCACGAGGTCAGGAGATCGAGACCATCCCGGCTAAAACGGTGAAACCCCGTCTCTACTAAAAATACAAAAAATTAGCCGGGCGTAGTGGCGGGCGCCTGTAGTCCCAGCTACTTGGGAGGCTGAGGCAGGAGAATGGCGTGAACCCGGGAGGCGGAGCTTGCAGTGAGCCGAGATCCCGCCACTGCACTCCAGCCTGGGCGACAGAGCGAGACTCCGTCTCAAAAAAAAAAAAAAAAAAAAAAAAAAAAAAAAAAAAAAAAAAAAAGAATCTAATGCTGCCGCTGATCTGACAGGAGGCGGAGCTGAGGTGGTAATGCCAGCTCACCTCCTTCTGTGCAACCAGGTTCCTAACAGGCCATAGGCCAGAACCGGGGGTTGGGGACCCCTAGGTTATATGATCTGATAATGCAAATATGACATAGCCACAAAAATTGGGGGGAAACAAGAGAATAGAGGGATTAAAAAATGTTTAACTGTTTTCAGTAATCATCACTGATGGTATAGCGCTCTTATTATTGTTATTGGGACTATTGTAATAATTACGGGATATTCTAATTCTGTATCTTTAAGAACCAAGATTTGCCAGGAGTGGTGGCTCACATCGCCAGGCATGGTGGCTCACACCTGCAATCCCAGCACTTTGGGAGGCCAAGGTGGACAGATCACCCGGGGGCAGGAATTTGAGACCAGCCTGGCCAACATGGTGAAACCCCGTCTCCACTAATGATAATAATACAAAAATTAGCTGGGCATGGTGGTGCACACCTGTAATCCCAGCTACTCAGGAGACTGAGGCAAGAGAATTGCTTGGACCCAGGAAGCAGAGGTTGCAGTGAGCCAAGATAGCACCACTGCACTCTAGCCTGGACAACAAGAGTAAAACTCCATTTCAAAAAAAAGTACCAAGATTCTTGGTTTGGAAGAAAGGAGATACAAATGCAATATAAAAGTAGTTGAGTGAAAACTATACAGTTCTGAATTTGAGTCTGAAATATCAGTTTGAACTCACAGTATTTGATAACACCCCTCCCTCCCCAACATACGCACTACACATTGTATGGTGTGTCCACTGAAAAAACTAGAAATAATGACCAAACCAATAGCAATAAGCATCCATGCTGCCCCAGCTGGTCTTGAAATACTTTTTTCTGATTAAAAGAAAGCAGATTTCTTGGAGAAATGGTGGAATCCAGGTCTGGGGCAGGAAATAGACAACGTGAGCCTATACCAGATGGTAAAGAAGATAGGAAAGCTCCTGAAGTCATGGTAAAAGGACCCCAGAGCCAATGTGAAGGAGCTCCGGCTGGTCAAAGATAGGAAAATAAGAGTTTCAATAAAGATAGTAATTGCAATGGACTGAAACCCATCAAATGTGTGTAAATCCATGAGTTCATAATATTATTGAAAACGACCTAATTGGTTCAGTCTTAAGGAAGACAGGAAACCAAGTCAATGTCTGAAAAGTGGGTCGAGAGAAAGCATTAAGCATTTATTCTGACTTTCCTGTAAGACCTGTGCCACTGAGTACCCAAATGGAAAATGACATGGAAGCTCCTTCTTAGAAAATTATCCCAATTAATAAATGAAAACAAATTCATAGAGTTGAAATAATACGATTTTGCAACTCTCAGTAAAGCAATGGATTTGTGCCTTAAGCATCATTGGCTGTTAACGTGAAAAGGAGCAAAAACCACATGGTGTAGGTTTGCCGATGAAAAGCATCACTACTTTGTTAAAGAGATAGACTTGGGTCTGGTCCACACCTCTGGATGCAGCTGCCAATGTTCAGGAAATACAAAAGACAGAGGAACTGCTGAAGCATGCCAGCTTATGGGGATCTGCAGATTAAAAACCCACAGGAAAAAAGAAGGAAGAGAGGGCAAGCTGCGTGTTTTAAAGGAGACTTCAAAGACACATATATTTTTTTTTTTTTTTTTTTTTAATGGGCAAGGCTCAAAAACAGCAGCAAGGAACGTGCACGCTGTGTTGATCTGTTCGGGCTGCCGTAACAACATACCATGGACTGGGTGGCTTATGAACAACACGAATTTATTTCTCACAGTTCTGGAGGCTAGGAAGTCCAGAATCAAGGTAGATTCTATGTCTGGTGAGGGACTGCCTCCTTTCTTACAGTGTCCTCACACAGCAGAATGGGCCAAGGGTCTCTTTACAACGGCACTCATCCTATTTATCAGGGCTCCACTCTCACAACCAAATCACCTTTCAAAGGTCATCATCATCACCTACTAATCCCATCACCTTGTGGGTGAAAATTTCAACAAAGGAATTTGAGTGGGACATAGCATTCAGTCCACAGCACACACCTGGGTGACAAATCCGTAAAGAAATGCATGGAAGTGGCTGTTACAAGAATTGGGAAGGGTGAGGAGCTGTAAAGCTGTAACTGGGGTGGGGCAGATGGAGGAGAGGCTCTTAGGGGGACTAGCAAAGTTATGCAGTAACAAGGTTGTTTGGCTTACATAAAATCACAAAGCCACACATTTGCTTAATATTGCTTTCTGTATCTGTCTTTTTTTACAACAAAAAGAAGAAAACAAACTTTTTTCAAGGTCTGCCTTTCCTGTAAGATCTGTGCCACTGAGTAACCATACGGAAAACAACATAGAATGTTCTAAGCTTGATCTAGAGAAAAGACAAGAAAGAAGGCTGCCAACTACCGTTACCAGCAGTGAATGTCCAGACCCCTGGTGCTGTGGCTGCCCAACCCTCACAGCACAGACCACTTAGTCCCAGCTCCCCAGATACATGAAGGGCCTTCAGGTCGATGGCACAGCAGTCTGGGCTGCTGGTTCCACTCTGACTGTGGTACCACGTAGGACCTGGGCTGCTACTGAATTCCTTGTGAACAGACCCCTTCCTCAATCCTAGCTCTAGTACTGAATACCAGTTTCCTATGGCTCAGACTCCAGGAGCCCGGTGCCTATGGAACAAAGTCACTCCTTATCTCTAGACCTCCAAGGAATCTCCAAGTCTCCACTCTAAACCTCAGTCCCCTGAGGGCTGGGCCTCCCTGATATGGCATATCTTCCTGGCTAGACCCCTGGCCACCACCTGCATCTGCAGACCCTCACCCAGGACCACCACCAATCCTCTGCTTTCCAAGGGCACCCAGGAAAGCTACTAGGATCCCAGCAGCCAGGACATTCAGAAGCTACCACTTTAAAAGAGCCACCCTGACTGCCTGACCCCACAGAGGGACAGGCCTTCCCCTGCCATGTATGTACTGAAGAAATGCATCCATCAGGTGAGCCCACTCCTCCAACCTCACTGCAGTTCTTTTCCTTTGACACAGCATGCCACCCAAGCCAGGTTTTCTGTTCCTTACACGTGTCTCAGAAATCTCCAGAATTTTGAAATGCCCTCCGACACATCGTTCTTTTTGATGACTTCATTTGCTTTGGTTTGGAAAGTGACAATCAAAGAAGTGATGGCCTACTCGGCAAATGTCATATCTATCGGCGATAAAGCTTCCATCAAAAATCCCGAGTCTCTGACAATGACTTTCTCCTATTTCCTCTCCATTCATCCACAGCTGTCCTCTCTTTGCAAACATGAAACAATACTCAGCACTTCCATGCAAACTGCCATGGCCTCTGGGCCAGGAACTGGGCTGGGCAGGAAGAGGCGGCACTGGAAAGGCTGGGGGCATCGTAGTGTTGTAGGCTGATAAAGGAGGTGCACGGAACCCGGCCCTGACACAGTAAAGAGTTATGGGCTACCACAGGTTAAAAGTATGCTAAATGCCAGTGAAGAAAATACATTATGCTACTGACACAAATCAAAAGCCATAAAGTTTGCACATGCATATATGTAGCCATTCCTCTTCTGGGAACTTATTCTAGGGAACTAACCATGGATGCAAGAAAAGATTCAGCTGTAAGTATGCTCATCACGGCAGCATTTATGAGCAGGAAATGTTGGAAGCAACCCAAATGTCAAACAACACTAAAGCCGTTAAATAAGCTATGGTATATCCATTCAATGAGACTACATAGTGATAACAATAAAATAACATTTTATTATATAACTGGTATATATATATATATATATATATATATACACACACACACACACATATTACATAACTGGTATGAAAAGATATTCATGAAATGAATATGCAGCGAAAATGCAGGTTACAAATATTTTCACTGATAATACCTTCACCGATGCATTTGTAATCATTCTAATCTGATTTTACTGACCGATATTTCACGAATATACTGATTCTATTGTTTAAGGTATTTATTCCCATAGAGAAAGGAATAGAAGCATACATACCAAAATGTTTTAAAATATGATTAGCAAAGGTACTATTATTGTCTTACCTGTTTTCCACTATAAACATAAATTGCATAATCAAAAAGTAAAACAAAGTTCTGTTCCTCCAGAAAGCTCCTTAGAAACTCACCTGATTCTCTCGCTTACTCATTCTTGCTGTTGTGTCCTCGCATTTGTGTGTTCAGGGTGTGTGCTACCCTTGAATCTTGCCAACAATGTGGATTCCATCAATTTAGAGATCCAGGCTGTAGCAGATGCATTGTAATTCAACTAATGGCTTAGTAAGACCTTCAGTGAGCTAACTTGTCTACATACTGGACAGTGGGCTTTCCTAAGTGCAAGTAAACCTTCATTCAGGGCTTACAAACAAAAAGCAAATGATAAACTTAAACTCTAATGCTAACCAAAGATTCAAAAATAAAGTGCTATTTCATGATTACCATATTAGCAAACACTGAAAACAGTGAAGGAGCTGGGGCTGGTAAGGTTATAATAAGATACACTGCAATGCAGGGCACTAAATAACATGCACTTTTAAAAGTTAACCCACTGGAAAAAGAAAAGTTCATTTTAGCTCTCTTGACAACACTGCTTTCCTTCCATAATAAGGTCCTTTGTATCCTTAAAGCCCTTTCCTTCATCTTTTTGTCTTCATATTTTCTGAAATGTAAAGTTTCCTACATGACACAAGACATGGTAAAATGTCTTGTTATTTCTCCCTCTATGTTTATTACTGTCTTGTGTGAGATTCAAAAGAATTTTCCAAGTGGAACCCTGTCCTCTGCTGGGTATCTCAGGACGTAGACAGGTGGCAGTGGGCAGGTACAGGGACAGACAAGGAGAGTCCCTATACTCATCTTCCCTCCGTCTGCAGCCCAGTCTGTGTTCTCTTCTTCCAGTGAACATGCTTGGGTACCTAAAGGAAAAGGCATAGCTAGAAAGACGGTACAGAGGCTACCCAGAAAATTGCATCTCGTTACAGAAACGTCAGGTGTCGTGCTCTGCAGGGGACCAACTGCTAACACAGATACACGGGCCTCCGGGCCTCCGGTACCAAATACAGGACTCACGGATGCCGAAGTGGGAGGAACCTCCAAGGAGACTCCCAGACCCTCCCAGGTCCCTCCTCCGTACACGCCACGGACGGCCCTGGTGGTCTTCAGTACCAGATCAGCGTAGCAATTTCTTTCATGTATATATATTTTGGTGAGTGCGCTAAACAGAAAGCTAGCTGCTGCTGAGTGGCTTTTTATTGGCAAGACTGCAAGAAGCACTGTCTCCTCAAGAAATTGGTTATTTGCAGAAGGCAGTTCTCCCAAGAATGTTCTGCAACATGTCAACTACCTTGAGCATTGCTTTGCCTCACAATTCTTTGTCTCACAGTGAGAATGTGTGTGTGTGCACACGCCTGTCTGTGGCTCAGGCCTGTGGTTACAGAAAAATGCAGAGAAAGGGACTGGAATGCTCTCTCCACCTCTCCCCCTACCCAAACGAAGATGGTATCAGGCAAGATGACTTCAACCACAGAGACACACCTCAAAAACAGTTCAGAGCACACCGCAAAGACAGTTCAGATGGGCAATGGAGAGATTGCAAGTGGGCTCATCAGCTGGGCAGCACGGGATGCTCTGATATGTTGCAAGACAGAGCCGATTTTTTAAAAGAAAAATATAGCCAGGGCCTCTTTCTCCCCCGGTTGTTGTTGACTCTCCAAAACACTGGCTCTGGCACGCGTTCTGATCCCTGGAGTTTGATGCACGTTTGATTCACAGACGGCAGCGTGTCTGCACCAGATGGCCTCGAGTTAATGAACACAAACTCATCACTTTTGCTCACCAGGGAAATGTGCAGCTCAATCTGATTTGTACTCTACAACTAAAAATATTTGAGTATTTTCAGGGAGCATTTTACCGAGACAAAATGGCACTTCAGGAAAGCGTTAAAAGAACAGAGACTAACCAGCAAATTGCAGCTGCAATCTTCTCCACACTGATAAGCTGGCTCCTCGGATCATTCTTTCACCAACATAAAAGTAACACCCGATATGCTGCACAGGGACGATGGCTTCATTCTGCCCTCCCTGCCTCCTCTTCAACTCTGCTGCCCTGCCCCAAGCTGAACTTGTAGTCCCAAAGCACAGTGGAGAACTCTTTCCAAACACTAGATTTTCCCCTTCGCATACCAGCAAAAACATTTCTCATAGGGTACACATACACACATACATACACAGTCTTTTCTATATTATTGTAATGTCTTCATATCTATATGTTTTTATATATGAGAATTTAAGGATTCAGGAAAAATTCACTACACGAACTGAACCCTACAACATCTCCTTCTCGTCCAGCTATGACACAACTCTGTTCACGACGTGTTCCCCTGCTCATCGGCACCAGCACACAAAATAGCTGATGCCCAATGATCAATCAGGAGCTAGGAAGCTATTTCATCCAGCTCATTTCTCTCTTCTCCAAACTCCCATATTTTCTGCTGTTTTATATAGAAATCTTAGTGATTCGACTAAGGAACATTAAAGTCATAACTTTCTAAGTCAGTGCGATCCTCATCGCAGTCAACAACCACACAGCTGGGTTCTCTTCTCATTAAATGTGGCCGTCGGACAGCCAGGGTCCAGAGAAGCACCTCATAGCCTTAAAACCTGCGCCTCTTCTGGGAGTTTATTAGGAAAAGCAGTCTGGGTTCATCCAGACCTGCTGTATCCGAATCTGCATTTTACCAAGATCCCCAGGTGACTTCGGTGAACATGAAAGTTTGAGAAGTACTGCCTTCTATTCATCTCACTGTGGATAACCATCTTTGAATCCACACCACAAGTCTTCTTACAGGTGGCACTGTCTAAATGAGGAAGTAGTTTAATCATCTCCCATCCTGCCCTACAAAGATATTTTATAAGTACCAGACGTTCACAGAAACCTTTCACTTTTTACAGAGATAATCTATGCAAATATAAGTCACTTTCGGCCGGGCACAGTGGCTCACGCCTATAATCCCAGCACTTTGGGAGGCTGAAGCGGGTGGATCATGAGGTCAAGAGACCGAGACCATCCTGGTCAACATGGTGAAACCCCATCTCTACCAAAAATACAAAAATTAGCTAGGCGTGGTGGCGCATGCCTGTGGTCCCAGATGCCTGGGAGGCTGGAGCAGGAGAATCGCTTGAACCCAAGAGGCAGAGGTTGCAGTGAGCCAAGATCACGCCACTGCATTCCAGCCCGGCAACAGAGCGAGACTCCGTCTAAAAAAAAAAAAAAAAAAAAAAAAAAAAGTCTCCTTCAGAGCAAAAACAACCATCATTCATTACATGATGTTTTTGGGAGGGAAAGAGATGAATTTTCACTCGAATGGATGAGCGTGGAGACAAGGTGTCACCACCGAGGAACAAGCTTCCACTGAAGCATCTCAGGTTGCACTTGGCAGGACGTCGTCTGACTCACAGCATTCTGCTGCATAGGCAGCTTAAACGAGGTTCTCTTTCCAGTCAATTCTGGGGGAGCAGCTGCAGAGAATTCATGGGGAGTAAGAGTTCTGGAGGGTGGTTTAAAAACACACTCTTTGTCACCTTAAGAAATGCCACAGGCAGGGCAGGCAGTAGGAAGCCCTCTGGCGGCCTTGGACTTGCCACTTCCCCTCCCTGACAGCTGACTAGGCAGAGGGCTGGGACAGCCTGAAGCGACCCTGGGAACTGGAAGAGGGAAGGCGCAATGCTGTGAAGGGGGAGGCGCGAGGCCTCGGGGGTAAGTCGGCTGGGGGCTCGGTCTGCTCCGTGCTGCCACCATCAAGGGTTGCCGGCCTTGGCAAGGAGCCACGGTGCCCAGGCCAGAGATACAGGGCCAACCAGCTATGAGCCCACTCAGCCTGAAGCCCGGCAAAGCTGACTCTGCAAATTTGAGAGCTATTTTCTGGTTCCAATTCAAACATTACGGCTGCTGACCAGTGAGTTCCAATTCGGTGAGACATCGATGGTCGTCCTGGACTCACTTAACTCTAAAATCCATCTTAATAGTAGATTCACTGGATGTCAGAGTAGGAAGGGCTTTATAGGGCCTTTTCATCCACAGTGTCAGATCTAAATGCCTTCGGAAGCCAGCAAGAACCGTCAATGAGCGAAGGCAGAAGCATCCGGCCGGCGCTGTCCAGTCCCGCACTCTAACTGCTGGCTGCATGCAGCGGCCGAAGACTTGGAACATGGCTAGTGCAAGCTGTGAAGCGCTGTGAGTATAAAACAGAAAGTTTCTCAAAGATGCAGTAACTGCGGGGATGGACGGTGGGGACCAGAGCTATCTGCAAAGCAGGTGTCTTTGTGAGAAGCATCAGAATTCAAACTTTAAAGAAAGAAACGAAGACTGCAGACCAAATTCCACTCGTAGGTCTCCAGATTGTGGCTAATGATTTCACACAAGAACAGGAAGTGCCCCAAATGGCCCAGCTGGAGAATGGAAAGTTTCAAGTACAATCCGAGGTCTCTCAACTCAGAAGAGTCCATCATTTCTACTCAGGGAGGCCTGTTTAACCAAGCCACAAGCTTCAGCGGTAGCTGGAAGGCAAACTGTAACCTTCAGCGAGGGTTCACCTCTCTGGAATGTGTGTCTGTAACAAAAGGGGGTGACAGGGGAAGGCCCCTCAATGCCCTTGGGCTCCAACATGCTAGCAGCAGTGAGCCTCACAGACAGAACTCAGGAGTGGCCGTTCACAGACATCAAGGACACAGGACTAGAGGGGCCAAAACAGCAACGGGGAGATGGCCGTTTTCTTAGACCTAAAAGAGCCTCAGCTTGTGTTAGTGACATTTCATTAAATAAATATTTCTTGCTTTCCAATCGAGGAGCGCCAGGCCCCGTACTAGGCACAGAGGGGACGAAGGCCACAAAAGCAACTCAGACAGGGTCTTCCTCATCATTGAGGCATGAGCCAGGGGAGGCTCCCAGAGGGGAACAGAGACCTGTGCTCAAGGGACGTTCAAGGTCATGAGTGCACGTTAGCAAATGTGCAAGATGCCATGCGGAAGCAGAGGAGAAAAGCAATACCAAAGGGAAGTGGGGTGGCCTCACAGAAGAGTCAGGGTTTTCATTAAACCCTGAAGAATAAACAAAAAAGGAAAAGATATTCTAGGCAAAGGCAACGGTACGTGTGCAGGCCGAGGATGATAAAACCACAGAGAATGGGGAAGAGCACGGCGGAGCAGAAACCCAGTTCACTGCATTGGAAGCACAGATTGCCATTAAAACTGTTTGAAATGGTTGGTTTGCATCTATGACAGCAAAGGTGAATCCTCCAGCAGAGTCAATGTTGATGCTACCCAGAGCAATTTCTAAATATAAACTTCAACAATTTAAACAATAAATGTATTCTGTCTTATTTGTAATTGTTTTAATTTATGATTATCATGTATAATTTGCATTATCTAATCATGTTTTAGAATGAATAGATGTATCGCATATGATTATTCAAATTTTGTCGGCATTCTTTTTATTCCATTCTCTTAGGCTGGTGTTCTACACGGGGCTGGCATGCTCTGAATGTTTTATCTTCATCAGATACATAAATCCAGGGACCAAAATACCAAGCTGGCAGGCTTTTTTAGATCTCGTGAGCAACAGGGAGGCTGTTTCCCTCTTTCCCACCATGCTGGTCTATGAGATCGTTATGCACACTCATGTGCCTTGTCCCCCCCAAGCCTTCTCCTGCCAAGACCCTGCAGATCCCAGATACCTGTTGATCCCCAATTCTGCCAACCTATCCCTCTTTCCAGTATGACGTGTAACTGCCGAGTTTTAATGAGTAAGGAGATAAATATTTTAGATGCCTTGGTAGTATGAACTGAACTTCTACTAAAGAAAAGCCAGGGCCAGGCATGGTGGCTCACACCTGTAATCCCAGCACTTTGGGAGGCCGAGGCAGGCGGATCACGAGGTCAAGAGATCAAGACCATCCTGGCCAACACGGTGAAACCCCGTCTCTACTAAAAATACAAAAATTAGCCGGGCATGGTGGCGCACGCTTGTAGTCCCGGCTACTTGGAAGGCTGAGGCAGGAGAACTGCTTGAACACAGGAGGCAGAGGTTGCAGTGAGCCGAGATCACGCCACTGCACTCCAGCCTGGGCGACAGAGCAAGAGCAAGACTCTGTCCAAAAAAAAAAAAAAAAAAAAAAAAAGGCAATAATTTCTGGATATAAGTTGGGAAATAGGCATTTGGCCATGCTGCTGGTGTAGGCCTCAAGAAAAAAAAATCTCCGCGGAGAAGGCCCTAGCACGGATTCAAATACAAAGCAATTTACTAGAACTACAAAAGGAAGGGCTGAGTAAACACTGATGGTTCAGACACACAATTATGCTGCTACTCTGTCTATATGGTCTCAGGATTTACAAGCAAACTCTTAACTGCACGTTTGAATTCATCAATCCCAAATCCATCTAAGGATGAACCCACCTTAACGTGAGGGTTATTCTAGATGCAATGACCAGCTGCATCATTCATTTACTCAACAGATATTTACCATGTGCCTACTCTATAAATGGCAAAGACCAGCTAGGGTGGATGTTTCAATGAGCTTAGTTCAGTAAGGGAAAGAAGACATCTGCATCGATCACTACAGCACAGCGTAGTATCTATAACTGCCACTGGAGACAAGGGAATGTTCAGTCATTGTTTAAGCTGCGGAGGTGGTAAAGGCAGCAGAAAGGAGGGGAGGAACTGCCATGTCCTAGAAACAACTAGGGTAACGGGATTGAAAAGTCAAGTGTGTGGCAAGGAGTAATGAACACTATGGACGGGATTATTTCATACGGTTGAGAGCTCTGAAGGCTAGGCTGAGACATGCGAGGCCACAGAAGGGTTTCCCATAAGACAGAAGCATAAGCAAAGTGGAACTTTGGGATGGCGTGGAGGATGGATTCGAGAGGGTGACTGAGACTGGAACCCAGTGACCAGGCGGCAGGCTGAGGTCAGAGTCCAAACCAGAACAAAGGCTGAGGTGGGAATAAAAAGAAATGGGACAGAAATGCAAGAGATGAAGATGATGGGGACCCACTGATAGCTGCAGGGGGCAAGGCAGAGTGTTTGTGAGCATGGTGGGACTTTACAAATCAGGACATCACAAGAAGGAATGGCTTGGGAGAAAGATCAAATGTTTGGTTTTAGACATGATAATTTTGAGATGCAAGTGGAATATCCAGTTGCAGATATCCGTAAGGCAGGGAGAAATGCAGACCAGGGAGTGGAAAGAGGGAGATTTATCAGGCTGTATTTGGTATTCATCAATCATTTGTTTAATCGGTATTTACTATAAGCTGACTGGAGCCAGACACGGTGCAAGGGACTAGGGAAGATACAGTGATGAACAAGACAGAACCCCTGCCCTCAAGGAGTGTTTGGACCAAAAGGGAAAACGAACCAGTAATGACTAAAATAAAGGGGACATGTGTTGTGATCAAAGTGCAGGTGCTGTGAAAACACATTGGAGGGGGCTTCAGCCAGAATGATGGGGTGTGGAAAGAGGGTCTGTGAGGACAGGGAACAAGTAACAGCAGCACCTTCAGTTGGGGGAATGGTGAGAGGCTGAAGATACAAATGGACACTAGTCTGACTATATAAAAACAGAACCTTCACCCACAACCTGCAGCAACCAGCCCAGGGAGCCAACCTACTGTTTAGAGTCACCAGTTCAGGAAGCCAAACAACAACCCCTTTAGCAATCAGCCCCAAATGGCAAGGACTTGATTAATTTCCCTGACAGTTTCCCTAACTTTTGTCCTGGCTTGAAATTCTAGGACTAACCCAAGAAAGCTAAATAGGTACCCCTAATCTATTACACAAGATTCCCCGCATCTTGTTAGCCTGTCTGCAACTTCCCCAGGCCAACAGCCTCCAATCAGGACATACTTGAAGCTTTCCCTCTTTTCCACTCTGGAGCTTTCTCTCTTCCGCTTGCCTTTCAGTCTCTGCCGAACGCAAGGGCTAGTGGCTGGCCCTCTGGATGTAGCAAGCTCTGATTCAAGAGGCTTTGCTTGTTTCCATTTGGTGGTCTTCGTTTATTTCCATATCAGCATGTGAGTTATGAAGGCTAGGGTGCAGTGGATGCAGGATGGGATGCACAGTCCCTAGAGTGGGGGAGGGTGTTTACACTTAGGAGAGTGGGGAACCAGCAGCCATGTTAGAGAGGACCTTATAAGCCATGAGCAGGGCTATGAAATGCATGCTGAGCGCAAAGTCATCCACACAGAGGTGAGAGCTGATTCTGAATCTATACTCCCATATTTTCAGGACTAGGTTCAGTGAATAAGCAAAGCAATGGGTGAGGATAAGACTGCATTTACTGAGGTCAGGACCCCAAGTCACTCAGCCTTTGCCCATATATAAGAGAAAAGAGGGCCAGGGATGGCCTGGTATCCTTAGGGAACTTTGTAAATTTGGAACACTGCACAAGAGGTCACAGTTGAGCTGCCCTCACAAACATGTACACATAAACACAATACAATGAGCCAAGCAAATAAACAAAAACACTAGGAAGGTAGGAATGGATGGCTGAACTATGATTCTGTAGGTAGGCTGTAGGTTTCCAAGTGGTTAGAGTAGGTTGCCAGGAGATTAAACTAAATAAAGTAGGTTGCCAAGTGGTTAGACTAAATAAAGACTTGAGTAAGCTGAAATGCCTCCATTTGGAATGCAGGCTGCTCCTAAAAGGTAGATTTGACCTTTTAGTCTCCTCCTAGTGCCTTTAGTTTCATGCAAACACATCTTGATTTGCCAGGCCTTTTTAGAGTGAGCTTAAAACACCAGAAAAGAAACAGAAACCCGAATAACGCACTTCTCATAATGTAATTATTTTTAAATGTGCAATATGTAACAGAGATGTTTAGCATCTCATAAGTTTTTGGAAAATACATTAGAATTCTTCATAATTATTATTTGTAATAATATATCCCATTGGTATAGTCCTCTACCACTTTGAAGATTCTTCCAATCATATTTGATTTTTACATTGTGTGGAAGATGAAACAGAAGTGTGTGTCTGTGTATGTGTGTGCTGAAGTCAGGTGGTGATAATGGTGGACCCTTGGATCGCTTGGTACAAGACTTCTTCATTCATGAGGAATGTGAATCCTATGATCACACACTCAGTTAGAAATGGATGTGACATGGAAAATACCTCAAACTCAGGCTGGCCCTCCTTACATGCTTAGTAACCTATTCCCATCTAACCGACATGGAAACTGAGGCTAAGGTGGGAAGACCATTACACTAACAGCCTCGACAAATCACACCTCCTGGTATCTACACTAAGAGGGGCAGTCCCCATCCTCACATTAACTTTGGGCTTGAACATATGACTTGTTTTAGCCAAGGAACATCAGCATAGGAAGCAGAGGCTTGATAAGCTCTTGGAATTGGGGTTCAGCATGGCGTCACCATCTCTAGAGCCAACCCAGGCCAGGCTAACCTTGAGGGGGAAAGACCATGGAAAGAGAGAGAGATCCAGACAGCCCCATCTTCCCAACTGAGCCCTGCCTCCAGGTGACCCGCCAAACCGAATGCTGTCCCATGAATGAGTCCAGGCAAAATCGACAGAACAATGCAGCCAACCCACAGAATCACAAGAACAATTATTTTTGTCTTAAACCACCATGATTGGGGTAGTTTGTTATGCTGTGATAGACACCTGACACACTAAGGAAGAATAAATATGTCCACTGTAGTCATTCCCAGGCCCAAGAGTGAACCTGAGGTCTTGTACACCACCTCACACAGTAATGGAGAATGTGTTGGTGAACGAAGCTATCCCTGACATGCAAACCTGAGATCAAGCTCTAGATTCATTCAAACTCATGGTAGTTAGCTCATTCAGATCCTTAATGATCCTTACTTAATGCAACATAATCCTTATGTCAAGGCCATTGGAAATGGCTGGCTTTTTTTTTTTTTTTTTTTTTTTTTTTTTGAGACGGAGTCTCCC
This sequence comes from Homo sapiens, assembly GCF_000001405.40. NCBI lineage: Eukaryota > Metazoa > Chordata > Mammalia > Primates > Hominidae > Homo > Homo sapiens. Next base: position 10,344,559 of record NC_000008.11, on the reverse strand, counting down.
TCTGTCACCCAGGCTGGAGTGTCAGTGGCGCAATCTCGGATTGATGCAATCTCCGCCTCCCAGGTTCAAGCGATTCTCCTGCCTCAGCCTCCCCAGTAGCTGGGACTTCAGGAGCCCACCACCACGCCTGTCTAATTTTTGTATTTTTAGTAGAGACGGGGTTTCACCATCTTGGCCAGGCTGGTCTTCAACTCCTGACCTTGTGATCCACCTGCCTCGGTGGAAATGGCTGGCTTTGATTGCCTGATGGTGGAGGGATTCAGCCACCACTCTATAGTCCACCATTAGAGGTGAACAGCTGCTGAGAGATCACCGTACAGATGGGGTGAAGGAAGACCAGAGAGTCAAGGCACTTGCCTCGATCACACTGCTGTTAGTACAAAGGACGATATGAGAATCCAGGTCTTCTCACCTCAAAGCCAGTATCTTTTGGGTGATACATGCAACTTCCTTAGCAAGAGGGAGAAGCTCCAGTCCTGTGGCTTAGAGATATGGATCTTATGTCAGTTCCAGGCAAGAAGATGCTATCTGGGACTACAGAATGTTCTATCTTCAAAGTGATCTTTGGGTAAACAAGAGCCACAAGTGGTATCTCCCAGAAAGACACTCAGCAAGACTGAGGATGAATCAATTGATTCATTCATTATTGATACCCACATATGTCTGAACAGGATCTGAGGTAGCATACGGAGTGCTGATTATTTTCTTTGTTTGGGTAGATAAAACTAGTTATTTATAAGAGATTATTTTAAAATCTCTGTCCTTTGTTATTTTTTGGTTTTGTTGCTGTTTGCATATGAAGTCTTCAAATTTATGTATGATGTTTTAATATTAAAATTTTTTCAGCAGAAATCTATTGACTTGTGTGTGCAGGTCACCAGGGACCCCCCAGCACCCTTTACAAATGTAAAGCGCTACATTTACATTTGTTGAATAAGGAGCACTGGGTTACCTACCCTCACTAAGCTCTCCCATGAACTGATGTAGGAGACAATTAAAGAGTGGTTGGGGAACGCAGTTTGCAAATGGACGGTGCTACAGAAGCAGACATTCCACTTTGGGGGAAAAACAAGAAAAAGAAAACCATATGCCAGAAACAAATTCTAATCACCATACATCATGCTGCAGGTTATTCAACTGCAATACTACTATTCACCGCTTCATTATGAGATTGCATTCCACCCTGAAAACACTGATCACTCCTGCATGACGTACAGCATGGATTGTTGGGTCTGACATGTAAACTAATTACATCCGATCTTAGCTCTGCCTTCAGTCTGTTGTGAAGGCAGATAGAGACGGTGTTCTCACCATGGATTCTGGAATCCCTTTCCCCTGCGATGCTGCTGAGCAAGCCTGAAGGTTGCTGGGAAAAGGAACAATTGAGACCAAGAGATGGAGAAAAGCTGGTCATGATTTCTAGAAGTAGTGACTGCTAAAATATTACAAATGTATCCCTCTAAGAATTAGCTGGGAAGCTAAAATGTGTGTGTGTGTGTGTGTGTCTGTGTGTGTGTGTGTGTGTGTGTGTGTGTGTGTAATGCTTATGCAAGATGCCAGTTCCTTTCCACACGTTATCTCATTTAATTTTCCCAGCAAGCCTATGAAGCAGCTATTTTTTATTATTCACATTTTATGTATGAGAACGCTCAGGCCAGAGAAGTTAAGACACTTGCCCGAAGTCACACAGTGGCAGAGCTGGGATTGGAACCAAGCTGTCTTTCACCGGAGCCTGGTCCCTAAGTCACTCAACTGGGATGCAGGGGCAAGCCCACTGGGCAGAAGCTCTGGGTTATTAACTGAGCTTGGCACCCACGCTGTGTGAGCTTGGGAGCATTGCTTTACCTCTTTGGGGCTCAGGTTCCTCGTCTGTAAGGCCAGGGAACTGCGCTGGACTCGGAGGCCTTCCCTAAGACCCTGCCCCAGCTGTGCTGCTCAGTGATACAACGGCCTCAGATTTGACTTCTGTGCTTCTCTGTGAGGCAGACGAACAGGGTTGGGTAACCTGTGCAATCAAGATCAGCAGTTCCGTGCGGCTCAGAGGCCCCCGGGGAACTCCAGAATCTTTTCCAGGATCCACAAGGTCAAAATTATTCTTATCATCATGCTAAGATATATTTCCCTGTTCACTCTTATTCTCTCATGGGTGCAGGTGAAGTTTTCTGGAAGCTACACGGAGTGTGATGACATCAACACTCGATGGCTGATGGAATGAATGTGTGTTCGGGTTTTTTTAATTTCTCAGTTTTAATTTTTAATCTGGTAAATATCAAACAAAAGCTCATTGGGGTCCTCAATAATTTTTGGGTGCAAAGAGGTCCCGAGGTCAAAAAGTCTGAGAACTGCTGCTCAAGGCCATGCTTGTGAGACCCATGGAAACAAATGAGCGGAAAAATCTCAACACACTGAAGAACAGAACTTAAGAATGAAAAGTGTTGCTTTTGCACAGCTGATTACTAACCAGATATTTTTAACTCTTTGAACCCAGCTGACACACACAGCTTAGACGGCAGTGGAAAGACGCTCCTAGATGAGGACCTCACAGTTAAGCTTCCCCAAAGCCCCTAACCTTGGGCTGGGAGCCTAGCACACAAGAGGCACAGCTTATGTCACAGGAGGAAATGCACTGATGGAAAATGGGGTTCTAGATGTATCTTAGCTGGCACTGTCCCGAGCCATGCCTTCCTCATCAACAGCTGACTGTTTAATGTTCACACGCCTTGGGCAAATCATCTGCCCATTCATGCCCATTGCGGATACAGCTGCAGACAGAACATTGCGAGTCGGGAGCTTGGCACATGTCATCTCACTTACGTCACACCATCAACCTCCGAGGTTCATATGATTAGCTACATTTTATAGATTAGGAAACAGGCTGAGAGGTTAAGTTACCTATCCAGGCTCAAACAGGTACCTAAGTTTGTCTGATGCCCAAGACTAAGTACTAATCCACTACCTTGAGATGTCCAAGCCCAGCGCTGTATGAAAATCACTTAGAGAGTTGATATGGTTTAAATATATGTCCCTGCCCAAATCTCATGTTGAAATGTCATCTCCAGTCCTGGAGGTGGGGCCTAGTGGAAGGTGTTTGGATCATGAAGGCAGATGCTTCATGAATGGCTTGGACCATTCTTTGGTGATAAGTCGGCTTTCACTCTAAGTGCACAGGAGATCTGGTCTTTCAAAACGTGTGGCACCTCCCCCCAACTCTCTCTCCCTTGCTCCTGCTTTCACCATGTGATGTGCCTGTTCCCCCTTCACCTTCCTCCATGATCAGAAACTTCCTGAGGCCTCCCTAGGAGCCGAGCAGATGCCAGCAGGCTTCCTGTAAAGCCTGCAGAATCATGAGCCAATTAAATCTCTTTTCTTTATAAATTACTCAGTCTCAGGTATTTATGGCAACGCGAGAACTGCCTAATACAGGAGTTTTAAACATTTCATATTTCCTGGCCCCACCCCTAAGGACCCTAATTCAGTAGGTCTGAGTGGGAGTCTGGAATCCACAGAGCCCTACAAATAGTCAACCTCTCACTTGGCATCTAAATTAAGGATCTGATCAGTTGGAAATCTTACTTCATGTTGGAGGCTGTTTCCACATCAACGTATTTGTTGTCTTTCTTATCAGGGGCATCTTTTTTCTCAAAGAAATACCATTTTGATTACCACACAAGAACTGTTCTTTCTGTGAAGACAAGTAGGGACCAAGTGAACAGAGAAGCTGATGTGAGATGCTCTTTGCTGATGCCTTTGCAGGTTTTAAGTTTGTATATAGGTTGCTTCCACATCCCCTCCCTTGAATACGGAGGTACTTGGTAAATACCTTTTGAATTGAATCAAAACATGCCATCCTCGCCACTTTATAAAGTGGGTATAATAACTTCCAATCTGGCGGGACACAGTGGCTCATGCCTGGAATCCCAGCACTTTGGGAGGCTGAGGCAGGCGGATCACTTGAGGCCAGGAACTCAAAACAAGCCTGGCCAACATGGCGAGGCCCTGTCTCTACCAAAAATACAAAAACTAGCTGGGCGTGGTGGCACATGCCTAAAATCCCAGCTATTCTGGAGGCTGAAGGACGAGAATCACTTGAAGCCGGGAGGCGAAGGTTGCAGTGAGCCAAGATCACGCCACTGCACTCCAGCCTGGGTGACAGAGGAAAACTTTGTCTCAGATAGATAGATAGATAATAACTCCTAATTTGATGGCTCATAGACTTGCCACCATACGTGGAATTCGGATATACATTTTTTTTTTGATTGTCAAAATCTAGTTCAATACCCTGGTGGTATTAACCCATAAAAGCACGGACACCTGGGGTCAGCTTGGGAGACCTGAGAATGGCACCAAGCTCTGCTGGGAATGGGCAGGTGTGTCACTGTGGTCTCCGAGCTCTGCTGGGAATGGGCGGCTGTGGCTCCGTGGTCTCAAGCGGCTGCCTCTTCTCCTTTGCCGTCTCTTTCCCAGGCTGTGACAGCATTATTGGCTACTCATATTCTCATACCACACGGGCCAGGAAATGGCAGTGCTGATAGCTCTATCATTGTAGACACACACAAGGCAGCTAGGGCAGCTGCCTTGGGGATCCATGAAGATTTTAAGAAGAGGGAGAGCAGAGGCCTGGGTGGGGTAGGGCCTGAGAACAGCCTAGAAGGGCAGACCATAGGGTCCTTATGTTCCCTCTCGTTAGTCATCAGACAGCCTGTATTGAAAACCCCTTGCTGCCGGGCGTGGTGGCTCACGCCTGTAATCCCAGCACTTTGGGAGGCCGAGGCGGGGGGATCACGAGGTCAGGAGATTGAGACCAGCCTGGCTAACACGGTGAAACCCCATCTCTACTAAAAATACAAAAAATTAGCCGGGCGTGGTGGCAGGCACCTGTAGCCCCACCTAGTCGGGAGGCTGAGGCAGGAGAATGGCGTGAACCTGGGAGGCGGAGCTTGCAGTGAGCCAAGATCGCATCACTGCACTCCAGCCTGGGCGACAGAACGAGATTCCGTCTCAGAAAAAAAAAAAAAAAAAAAAAAAAAAGAAAGAAAGAAAACCCCTTGCTTAACAGGGAATAAAACAAACACAAAAATCCTGACCACGAAGAACAGGACAGACACTGAATTCATTGTACTTGTGCTGTACATGTTGACATCTAAATAGATCCAATTCAAAAGCAGCCAATGTGGACCTGAATCATAAGTTTTGGAAACTCATGAAACAAGGTCAAGTCTAATTTCAAACATGAGTTGCCTTCTGAAGAAAAGTTATTTAGCCAGAAAAGTTACAGAAAGGGCCTGTCTCCATGCTCAGATAAAGAGATGGTAACGTAAGAGTTTTACAAACTGCAACTCCAACATCATCGCTTCGTGGGTGTCCCTGACTTACAGTTTTCATTCCAAAGCCAAGGGGCTAGGAAAGGCAGGGACCAGAGAGGAGATCAATGAAAATTTTCATCTGTCAGCCACTGTCAACTTATCTCTGCAGTCAAGGTTCATAAGAACAAGGGAACAAACCCAGTGAATTAAAAAATGGAAAAGAATAAAATGCCAGATCTTTCATCACTTAGAAAATGCAGTTTGGCAAGGACTGGAAACTGGCCTGGCACTTGCTCCCCACAACCCAATTCTGCCAAAACCTTACTTAAATTTGTAGAGCATTTTCTGGATTATAACCTTTGCCCGCACATCAGCTCCCTAGAGCCTCAAAAACACCCCCAAAGAGAGTGATCAGGGCAAGGGTTGCTAGCTCAGTTTTGCAGGTTAGGAAATTATTTGTCTGAAGTTGTATGAATCACCAAAGCACCACAAAAGTCCATTAAAGGGGCTTTCAGTACACAGGTGGCACTTCTTGGAGAATTTCTATGTGACTTCTTCACAGAGTTTTCTCAATCCTGAAAGGTTTTTCTTTCTATACAATTCTTCTTTAAATTTTTTATTATTATTTTTGATTGACAAATCCTAACTGTATATCTTTATGGAGTGCATGATGTTTTAATATATGCATACAATGTAGAATAATCAAATGAAGCCAGTTAGCAAAGCCAACCCTTCACTTACCTATTGTTTTTTTATGGTGAGACGTGTTAAATGTGCTCTTAGTTATTCTGAAATATACACTACATTATTGACTACAGTCACCCTGCTGTGCAACAGATCTCAAACCCTATTCCTCCTGTGGATCTGAAACTCTGCACCCTTTGACCAACAACTCCTCCTCCCTTCCCCACTCCACCCTGGCCTCTGGCCTTTCTATTCCCTGCTTTAGGATTTCAACTTCTTCAGATTCCACATATAAGTGAGATCATGCGGTATTTTTCTTTCTGTGCCTGCCTTATTTCACTCAACATAAACAACACAATGATTCTTGAGCACCTTTTGCTTTCTGCTAGTATTGCTTTCTCGGGGCTCACTTTCCTAGGTTCCTCTTTCACACAAGTGTGCATACAGTGGTTCACAGTTTTCTTTCCTACTCCTGCCTAATTCCTCACACGTCCTATTTGCCTTTTTCTCCCACTTAAGGATATTTTTTTCTTTGGCTGCTCTTTGATCACCCCTTAGGTTCATTTCTCATATCTTCTATCAACTCCCCTAACCCCTGCTTTCCTGGGCCACCCAGTTTACCTCCCTACTTCCAAGTCTTATTAGTCTTGCATCAGAAACACGAAGCCCTGCTGTCATAACAAAGAATGTGTGCATTTGTGAGGACCACTTTACAAACTGATTTAGCAGAAAGAAGGCACCTTGCTGCATACTAATAATATTGCTTTAATAATGTTTTCTTGAAGATGGCTGCACCCAGGCGAGTTGAGCAGAGGAGGCTGCAGTGAGCCCCAGCATGGCTGAGGAAGAACAGGGAAGCACCAGCTGCCGAGAGAGGAGGAGTATAAGGTTCAAGATGAAAAATCATTCACCGGATGACACTATCAAGGAAAATGTGACAATATCCAATATCAGGACCAGAAAAATTAACCAACTTCCAGAGACAGAGAGGAATCTGCTTGAACATGGATTGATGTATATCAGACTTAATGCTGCTTTCTGTAGCCTAGTAGCACACAGTCTTTTTGGATTCATCTTAAAAGCGACATAGGCTTGGCCGGGCGTGGTGGCTCACGCCTGTAATCCCAGCACTTTGGGAGGCCGAGGCTGGTGGATCACGAGGTCAGGAGATCCAGATCATCCTGGCTAACACAGTGAAATGCCGTCTCTACTAAAAATAAAAAAAATTAGCCAGGCGTGGTGGCGGGCGCCTGTAGTCCCAGCTACTCGGGAGGCTGAGGCAGGAGAATGGCGTGAACCCACGAGGTGGAGCTTGCAGTGAGCCGAGATCGCACCACTGCACTCCAGCCTGGGTGACAGAGTGAGACTCCGTCTCAGAAAAAAAAAAAAAAGTAACATAGGCTTCTAGAGCTGCTGGCCTAGCGACAGCAGTGATCCCATTTGACTGTACACATATCTCAGGAGGGGTTTGTGAGTTTACCTTTGCAGACAGGTGATGTGAATTGCGAAACCTGACTATTACAAGGCATGGATTAGCTGGTCTTATCTCTGGTGGTCTTTACCATTGTTTTCTGGGCTACACAGGTGAATGGCAGCCTTGTGGCCAGGTAGGACTCAGCCCTGCTACCAGAGAAAGGAAACAATTCGCTGGATTAGAATTTCTATGCCTGTCTTTGTAAAAATGTTAATTCCCATTTTGCCCCAGACTGTGTTTGCAGCAAACGTTGGGTCTAGACAATTAACTGCTTATAAAGAGCGTTCAATTGCCTCAATGTGGCCTAGAAATTCACCGATTCCAAGCAAATGTGTATACACACACACAAAGGTAAAAATAACCTATCTCTAATGTATGAATAAATACAGACTTGTAATTTATCATGTAAGTTACAACTCTGGAATCTACATCAAAAGGCTACACAGAGCAACAAAAAGCTGAATCTCAGTAAGGGCTACTCATGTAAACAAGAGCCTAATTTCACTGGTTTGCCCAATATTGTCTCTTTCCTCACTTATTCCACTGTACATCAGACACTGAGTTTGGTCTGTAACACAAGAGGGAAAAATAACCATACAGCAATTTTCAATGACGACTTTGTAAAGAAGCCAAACAGAAATGAAAATGAAAAAAAAAAAAGGATTAAAATTTTTTTTTTCTATCACATGTGCTTGGGTGTTAGGCTCTGTGGATTCCTGAAACCACACAGCACCCTTTGTGTGAATATGTATAAAAATAATATATTAGTGTTTAAGTCAACCAAGTGTCTCTGGCATAATAATGTTCCTCCAATCAGGTCCTATTTTTTTCTCACAGTATTTTTCTTTCTTACTAAATCTTGCTATTTTATTAAAAGATTTTGTGTTTGCAAATGTGTTTCTGCCAGCAGAAGGAACCACAAAAAATCCTCAACCATTAGCCCCTGATCTTGACAAATTAAACACTAGTGACATATTCTTTTAATGTGATATTGGCAAGATACGGAATGAGAAGAAAGGGAGGAGCGATCTTCCTCCTAGAGCCCATTCCCTATTTATAAATCTGTGAGGGTGTGACATGTCCAGAGGGAATCTACCTGGCCCAGTGACAGAATGGAAAGAGCATGCACAGAGCTTGGAATCAGGGAGCGGGAGTGTGCATCCTGGGCTCCCCCATGTACGTATCATGTGGTCTCAAGTTACCAGCTGCTTCTCCTGGAGGGCAGCGATTAGAGTGACAGCCTCCCAGGCTCCTTATGAGAAGCAGAGGAGAGAATGTTTGTGAAAGTGCTTTCTGCACTCCCAAATCTGCTGACTGGTCCTATGTTGGGGAAGGCAGGTGACCAACCACAGCCAAATCGCAGTGGGTGCCCTCCCTCTGGGGATTGAAGGCTCTGGGTGTGGCTGGCTCTCTTTCTCACTCAGCAGGGAACCCAAGTCGCCAGCCGAAGAGAGCCCGAGGCAGGTAGCTGCAGTTCCCCTCCAAGACTTCTCCACACCTGTTTGACCAGGTACAAGATCAGGCGCCGGGGTCATCTGTTCACTAGGCCACGGGGTCAGGACAAGAGTCACCCGCAGCTCTGAGGCCAGATGGTAATTCCAATCGCCTCCCCAGTTCAGCAGCGAACCCAGCAAGACGAAGATAATTTTCGAAACATTCAGGCTCGGGAGTAGACGTCGCAATGGAGTGCTGTCCTCGCGGCTTTGGAGCCACGGGGCATGGCCAAGGTAAATGGAATCTGACAGCTAAACTTAGGCTCAGGCCTCACGTGCAGTGTCTGTGAGTAGAAAGGGTCACAGGGCCGGATTTCAAATTCAAACACTACAAAAAAAAAAAAAAAAAAAAAAACAGAGCTGGGAGGTGTTAAGGGTGAAGGAAAAGGTGGCTCACTTTCCCTTATGAGCCTTGCTTTTGTCCTTCACCTGCTTCCCATTCCATGGAGAAGCTGATGACATTGACCCTGACCGTTTCTGGACAGCTGGGTGGGGCGCACGGTGCGGGGGGCGGTCCCTGCGCCCGGCCCGTCCTGCAACGCACCATGCCCAGGCCTCTACCTGCACGGGGCCATGGCGCAGGGCACTAGACCTAAGGACACGAGAGCCTTTTATTCCTCCTCGCTTGCAGCCAATGGGCGGGCTCGCCGCGCCGGCTGCCATAGCAACGGGAAGATGGCTCGGCGGGGCCCGAACAGCCATCACGTGGGCCGAGGCAGCGGGGCAGACGGGAGCGGCCAGAGCGGGGGAGGGGTGGCGCGCTGGAGTTAAATGGTCCCACCAGAGGGAGTAAGGCACATTTTGAAGTAAGTGCAAAGCGGGACCATCTATTTTCTTTCTTTTTCCTGCCCTTTAAGCGCTAAATACACATGCACAAACACAAATGGCCTTTCATCTCCGCTCCTGAGGTGCTCCCGGCTCTCTGGCTTTCGTGGCAAACATGAAAGCTCTGATCTCTGGAAGCGTTAAATGAACATTGCCTCGGTGGCGGAAATGCAAGCGGGCGTCCCGCGGCCGTGCAGGCGCAGGCCGGGGAGCTCGGGACCACGCGGGCTGCGACACAATCAACGGGAATTTGAAACGCAAACGCACTGCCCCTGTAGGAAACGGCAAACCCTGCTTCACTCTTGGCGCCACAGAAATAAAAGCGTCCCTGCACCTCCCCCCCGCCCCCGGTAGTTTCTCTGATCCTATCACTCCGGAGCCACTTTATAGAGGCTGAACCAGGGCCAGGCTTATCCATCTACCTGCCAGAACAACAAAGGCCCTTTTGTTGTCTTTAAAGTAGACCCTACCCTAGCTGAAATGCTGTGTTTAAAATGTTTCTGCTGCCATCCCTTTCTTTTCCACGGAAATTAACGAATATAAATGTGTGTGTATATATACCCAGACACACACACACACACACACACACACATAAATACACACACACACACACACCCCTATATGTTAGTTGGTAAGATAAGAGATGATATTAACGCAGGCAGGAAAGCAGGCAGTAGGCGCTGGGGCCTTTTTTCCTCCCTGCTTGCAGCCAATGGACGGGAACTTAATGCTGCTGCTGTTATCAGACCACACGAATGGCGGGTAGGGGGAGAAAAACGTATAGGCCCTGTCCTAATCTGATAGGTGAAATTCTCTGAATGTGTTGGAGAATGGGAAAATGCTGCTTACAAGTATTTTGCACTTGGGTTTAATTCACCTGACATTCACAGAGTGCCTGCCTTGTGTGAAGTGCTCATGGAATGTTGCCACAGATGCAAAGCAAGGGAAGGTCCCACTCAGCGTGGGGGGGGTGGGGTGGAGAAGAAACGTGGAAACTCTCATAAGGGTCAGAGGAAACGAGATGCAAGCCAAGCGTGATGCGAACATGGAGGGGGGCCGGCTCTGAGAAGCGTCCTGGGGGATGGGGAGCTGAAAAAGAAGCATCTGGCATTGCCCAGGCCCCTGTTCTGTGACAGACACTTTACATATACACCATATCATCCTTATAACTGCCTAAGAAGTAGCCACTATTATCCTGTTTAGCAAATAAGAAAACCTAGGCTTAGACAGGTCAACAACCCAAGGTCATACACAAAGCAAGTACAGAGCCACTGCTGCCCAAGTCATCGGGGACCTCCCTGTGGTTTTTCTCCGCCCAAAGACTTGCGGAAGAGGCATCTCTGCAAGGAATGCAGCTGTGTGTGTAGGTTCCATTTCCTGCTCTTCACCTCAGCCATCACCTTCAGGAAATTGTGGGCTTCAAACATTCTCTGCAGTTTTCTTAATATATATTATAAACACATAACTGAGATTTAAAAGATTCATCTGGATACACCGTAAAATCATCTTGCATTCCACAAGGGGTCTGGACATCACATATGGGAGCCACTAAACATTCCCCTGTTGCCACTGAAAGATGAGTAGGAGTGTGGCCCGTGGAGAAATGTGAATTCATTCATTCAAACATCACCCTATGTTGGCCAGGATTATTTTGTGTCTATACTTCTACTGTACTTCTACTAAAATCAAAAATGTCTCCTTGATCCTCACAAGAATGCTGTCTTCCACCATCAACCTGGGCAGTAGGTAGAATCTTAGGCTGTTTCTGATGTACTTGGATGGAACTCAGTGCAAGTGAATAAAAGACTGATACCGGCATCTGCACAGGGGCTCCACCCAGGGACTCATATCCTGCCACTGCAGCAAAGGCCTACAGCCAGCAGAGGGCAGTCATACAAACCAGATTTTCCATTTGGCCCAAATGCGGATGCACACAGTTTAATATGTAAAGCCCATTATTACAAGCTTTTCCTTTCCCCACCCCCTATTAATGAACAAATGCCCAAGGGTAATACAGAGATTTCTAAATACAGTGCAAGAAAGGGCAATCTGTACTCATACACAGGGAGTCTAGCACACAGTAATAAGTGGAAATGAAAATAATCACCCACATGCAACTAAACCATTATGCCTAAGATCTAGCTGTCTACGTGGCTGCATACACAGAAATATGGGTGCCTGCCTCCCAGAAATGGGCACTTTTAAAATATTTATTTCACAGGTTCTTATTTAGAGTTCATAATAACACCCGTAATTTTAACCTCAAAGCTACAGAAAGGGACTAAGAAGAATTTTATCCCTATTGCTAGGCATACGGTGGGGAGGGGGGATTTTTCTTTTTGACTAAGGTAAGTCAATGAATTATTCAGGGTTTTTCCATGGGCATTTTAAATCATAACTTCATGCTTTAAACAAAAGCACAGATAAAAAAAATTTTTTAAAGACGAAGAGCTATGTAATCCCCAAACCATAACATATCAACTGACATTTACCCATGTCTATTTAGGGTTTTCCAATGCAAATAAATGATGTTTCAGTGTTGGTGAAAACAACAGTCTTTCGGTACTCAGATGGGTTTTAAACATTGCAGCATAGAGAATACAACAGACCGAGAAGGGATGCTTCTAGCATGCAACTTACCCATTTCCCTGGGAACAAAGAAACAGATAACCATGACATTTTCTCAATTCATGACAGAAAGGAAGATATGCTGATCCTATATTGTAACTATGGTTGGAAATTTGAGGATCTCTAGAAAGGCAGGATGAAGTCACTGTAGACAGCCTTACCTCTGCAGTCACCCATTAAACCCTGATACAGTCGGCCCTCCGTATCCTTGCATTCTGCGTGCTTGGATTCATCCAACCACAGATCAAAATTATTATAAATAAATGAATAAAAACAATACAACAATACAAATTTTAAGAATACAGCATAACTATTTTAATATATTAATAGTATGTGCATTGTATTAGGTATAAGTAATCTAGAGATTATTTAAAGTACACAAGAGGATGTGCATAGGTTATATGTAAATGTCATTTTATATAAGGGATTAAGCATCATCAGATTTTGGTATCTTCAGAGGGTCCTGGAAGCAATCCCCATTGGATACCGAAGGATGACTGTATTCGTAAAATGCCTGAAAGATTAGCATGTATCGCCACACAGCATGGGTGAAAAGCTTATGGAATTCAGTGTCAAATGACTCTAGCTCTCTACATTTACTATGGGGGTCATGTTGGGAATGTGAATGAACACTTCTGAGCTTCAGTTTCCTCATAGGCAAGTCAGAGAACAGATCCTGCCCTAGCCTGTGTGTGACTGTGAAGTTTACCCAGCAAAATACAGGAGAAAGCACCGAAAAGCCGTACAACATTCCACTGTTCTTAATTTCCCCATTTTACAAAAGAAGAATGGGCCATAGAGACCTCTCCAAGGTCACGGTCACTACAGGCAGAGCCAGGGCTCCAGCCAGTTGTTCTCCTCCAAGCCAGTGCTCTGCCCCCGCTCCATGGAGTGCAGCACACAAAACAGGGCTCTCTTGTCAGCTCGGGCTGCCATAACAAAGTAACAGACTACGTGGCTTCAATAACAGGCTTCTATTTCTTACAGTTCTGGGGGCTGAGAAGTCCAAGATCAAGGTTCTGGCAAGGTAGGTTTATTCCAAGTCCTCTTCTCAGGGCTTGCAGGCAGTTCTATTTGTGTTCACATGACTTCTGTGTGCAGCAAGAAACACAGCAATAGAGTGCTCAAGAGCCTGCTCCCTGGTGTCTCTTCGTATAAGGACAGCAGTCCCATCACGGGAGCTCCAGCTCAGGACCTCATCTAACCCTGATCACCTCCCAAAGGCCCCATGTCCAAACACCATCACACTGGGGGTAGAGGCTTCAACATATGAATTTGGGGGGACACAGATATTCGGTCCATAACAAGGGGCAACAAAACGGGCTTCTTTATATGCTGTATCACTTCAGTTCAGGTCAACAGATATTTGTTGACAATCACTAGGTACCAAGCACAGCACCAGGCACTGGGGACACACAGGTGAATGGAAGCCTCCTATAAGCTTACTTAATGTAGAAAATGGGAGACGAGTTCCTAGGAGATTCTCTGCAGAAAAGAGCATTTGTCACATGTGAGCTTCTGTGACTGTATGTGGGACAGTTTATTACCACAAACTTCACAAGACTTTGCCTCAGATAGCTTTGTTTAAAGCAACTGTAATGCAAGTCTGGCAATGAATCTGTACATAATTAATATTTGATAAGGTAATTAATTTACTGAGGAACATGGGACGGGAGAATAAGGAGAAAAAGCCATTTTCAGCCTATAGATGTTGAAAAGAAAACACAAAGGATCTGTATATACCTCTTGCTGGGGAATTATCTGGTTCAGTTATATTATCATGGTTATAGCATGGCTAAATATTCATTGAGTATATTAAATTTCTCTCATTTGGGTTGGTATAATTAAAACTATTTTCTGGATCATAAAACTGAAGGGGCTCAGCTTCAATAATGTATATTGGGTCACTACTGCATGCCAGCTTGTGTGTGTGTGTGTGTGTGTGTATATCACATTTAATTCTTATAATGAACCTATTGGGAAATTTTGTTATCCACACTTAGATCATTTAAAAATTGGTATCAGAGAAATTAAGTCAGGGCTCAAAGAGAGTAAGTGACTAAGAGAGTGCTAGACCACTCTTGCCAAACATCCAAATGCTTTTTGATCACACACACACACACACACACACACACACACACACACATTTTTTTCTCTCCCAAATATCCTTCTAGCTCTTAGGATTTATTTTTTTCTACTGTTATTTTTGGTATGCCACTTTATTTCAGAAGTAGTATAGCAGTAAAATTGGGTCTGTTTTGAAGGTAGAGATGTATGAAAGGGGATAAACTTTTGCAAATTTTCACCTCTCTTCAAAACTAGATAAAGACCCCCGAGAGAGGAAATCAAATCCCATCTCGCTGGGAAACCTGAGTGTGTTCTGGGGTTCAGGGCAAGCCAGATGCGCTCCCACCTAGTGAACAACGCCCACCTCTCCTAAGCAGCCCGAGGAAGAGCCCCCAATTTCAGTCTCCCATTTTGGGGTGGACACATGACACTGGCAGGTTGGAGACCAGATTATGGGGCCTGTGGTCATCTGAAAAATGGTCTCCCCAAAATGTCCATGTTCCAATCCCCTAAAACCTGTGAATGTTATTTTATATGGCACAGATTTCACAGATGTAACTAAATAAGGGGGGTTGAGATGCGGGAGTATTCTTGATTGTTTGGGTGGGCCCTAAATGCAACTGTCAGTGTCCTTATTAGAGAGATGCAGGACGAGATCAGATGCCCAGAAGAGGATGAGGCAGGTGGCCACAGAGGCAGAGACTTGAGTGATGCAGCCACAGGCCATGCATGGTGGCACCCACCAGACGCTGGAAGATCCGGGGAGGGATTCTTCCCTGGAGCCCCTGGGGGAGCAGAGCCCAGCTAGTACCCTGATTTGGGTCCAGGGAAATTGACTTTGGGCTTCTGCCCTCTGGAACCATGAGAGAATAAATCCCTGTTGCTTTTAAGCCATCCAGTTTGTGGTAATTTGTTATAGTAGCTATAGGATATTAACACAGGGACAAAAAAGTCAGAGATTTGGCAAAGTAGTGAGAGGAAGGCAGTTTCATCTATCACCCACTGACTTAATCCTACCAAATAATGTTGTACGATCATAATAGCAACTTCGGTGTCAAGAGAGTTTGCAGGATAGGGTTTAGGGTCAAGAACAAGATGGTTAATCCTTCCTTTTAATATACAGCATAGCCTCAACCAGGCAGCATGTCCACAGCCTCTGAATTTGGTCTCTCTGTGGCAACAGTGAGTCCATGAAGGGATCAACTTTGAAATACAAAGAAGTATAAAACCATCCTTTATGAGGTTCACTGCACAACAGTAAGATTTCCTGAGTCCCTGTGGTTCTCATAGTGAGTCCCCAGTTCTCTGGAAAGTTCTTGAGCCTTATTCAAAGGTTCTGAACTTTAAGAATTATAGGCTACATCTTAGATATACTGTGATAATTAGGCTCTCTGATTAGAAGTTACAGATGTCTCATGGGAAGATGGTGACATGACTTTGAAGGACCTGGTAGACCATGCGAAGGAGTTCAGATTTCATTCCACATACAGTAGAGATGCCGTGGAAGATGCTGACACAGGGAAGGGAAATGACCCGAGGTACACTGAGGAATATCACTCTGCTGCCTGTGCGGGTGGTCATAATCATGGAGAGGTAAGAAGTTCAGTTGTCCAGGAACAGATAATGGTGGCTTAAATCATGAGAGTGAACGTGAGAGAAAATGAAAGAAGCGAGCACAGTGGGGATGTCTTTTGGAGGTAGAATCTGTTAATCTGATTCATTGGAGGGAAAAGGCGAGGGAAAGGCATGAGGCAGGGATGACTTCTGAGGATCTTGCTTAGTTAGGCAAGTTAAATGATGACCCGATGGGGAAGGGTGTCAATGAGTGGGGAGGGGGGAGGGAGGAGGGAGGAGGAAGCCATGGGACTTGTTTACAGGGGGTGGCAATAATCAAACTTTCATTTTAGAAAGCATTACGTTGACACACAAGTGGCGATAACAAGTAGACAGTTTGTTATGGGGATCTGGAGTCCAGAGGGTAGTTCTAGACCCTAAATTTGAGTGTCATTTACACTCAGAGTGTCACTGATACTAAAAAAAAAAAAAAAAAAAAAAAAATTACCATAGAGATGGTATTCAAACTATGCTAAAGAAAAGCAGCAATGACTGCATTGGTAGCGCAGGTGAGTAGGTTTTTTTGTTGTTGTTGTTGTTGTTCTAGTTGTTGAGACGGAGCCCAGGCTGGAGTGCAGTGGCGCAATCTCAGCTCACTGCAAGCTCCGCCTCCCAGGTTCACGCCATTCTCCTGCCTCAGCCTCATGAGTAGCTGGGACTACAGGCGCCCACCACCACGCCTGACTAACTTTTTGTATTTTTAGTAGAGACGGGGTTTCACCTTGTTAGCCAGGATAGTCTCGATCTCCTGACCTTATGATCCACCTGCCTTGGCTTCCCAAAGTGCTGGGATTACAGGCGTGAGCCACCGTGCCCAGCCAAGTAGGTTATTTGGTAGTGACACTGTCTTCTTCCTCCCCGCCTCCCCGCAACAAAACACACACACCAGTCAAACCACAATTTGTCAGGGCTTAACTGAAGAGCTTAGGGAGTCACTAAATATCTGGCTGCAATCTAAGCAGGAAGAAAATTAAATAATCAAAACTGAACCTTTATTTTTGAAAATGCTAGCTGGAACCCATTTGTACATGCATACTGTTTTTTTACCTTTCACTTTGGGAACTTTTCTTTAAAATGACCCTGTATTAATTATAAACAAACGCAGAGATGAGAGATAATAAATTGCTAGATAGTTGAAGTTTAAGATAAAATTATGGCAAATATTTAAAGATTGTAGCTATATACTGATGATAGGGACAGGTGGGTGGATGGATGGAAGGGTGGACAAACACTGAGAGACGGATAGATACAGCCTTTAAAACACTGTTTTATATTTGAAACACAGTGGGTAATTTAACAATGACTCCAGAAACATTTTATCCTTATTAGAACTTAATATATTGTAAAATATATACAAAGGAAAACGCTGCTTTTCTTCTCTCTTTTTCGCGAGAGAAATACCCAGAGAAAGCATTGTGCTTTCTTGAAGACTTGAAGAGCTGGCAGAAGGAGCCAGGTCATATGGCCAGGAGAATGCTCTTTAGATTTGCTGTCTTTCACATTTCAAGAAACATAATTTCTCAGTGGGAAAAGATTTAATTCCTAAATGAGCTGGAGTCACATTCTCAGGATGGAAGAATTACACGTGAACCACCCTCACTCTACCGGAGGCCACATTCAGTTTAGGATACTGGGAAATGTTTCTCATGATGGGCTCACTTGGGAGATAAATTGTCCATATTTGACAATCCAAAAACAATAATACATTAGATGATGTCTTGCAATTAGTGCTATAAGCAAATAACTCCACCAAAGATTTGAGGAAAATTTTTTTTTTAATGAGGCTAAGAAAAGATTATCAAGTCTTCTCCTTGAAGGCAAAAACACCCCCCTCCATTTTATGCAAAGTTGTATTAGGGTTAGGGTTGCTCACCAAAGATATGAAGCAGCTGTCAAATTCTGTAAGCAGAATCCAGCATGTTCAAGGTCAGCAAACCCAGCGTGAAGTTCAAGTTTCACTCCTTAAGACTCCATCCTCCTCCTTAAGTCTTTCCTGCCTCTTTTAATCTGATTAGAAATGAGCAAACTTCTTCAGCCAAAACTCTGACAGTCGCTGGTGAGGCTGGTATCCACAACCCAGCCAACTTTGCAGAAAACCACAGTTTCAATGGAAAATCACTTTTGGTTTCTGGCTCCTCAGCAGTACTGCACATCTAATTAGCTCAACAATTGGTCCCTGTGATAAAATCAGCTAATTTTATGTTCAAATGGCTGCTCTGTGGTAAGCAATACTGTCACTCCAAACTTCACATATAAAGAAGCTGCTGAAGAAGCTGGGTACTAGGGGGTCACTGGGAGCAGGCTAGTGAAGAAGACTATTAAATTAGTAACCTAAGTCAACATTACAGTTAGTGTATAGGGGTCCCAGCAGCGCTCAAAGAAGACAAATGTCCCGAATGTAGTGATGGGGCCAGAAACACCAAGCCTTCTGAAGAGGAAAGCAGTGTATGTAAAATGAACAGAATGAGTCATGGGCAGAATTTCCCCACTTTTAGAAATCAAACTAAATGTTTCTGACTACAGTACAGAGTTCTAGACCATAATCCAGGAGTGTTAAGAAATGACCCTCCCTACCTTAAACACCTCTGTGGTTTCAGGAGCTTGTTCAAGCTTACCCTAGATATAAAACACAGGAAAGCCCAGTCCGGGGGTCACCTCTTCAGCTCCCTGCTCTCCTTCCCTCAGTGAATAAAGCAGTTGGTTAGATCGGCAATTTTCCCCATTTTGTGAATGTATTAGAAACCACATAACTTTTTAAGGTAAAGGCTAAAGCACTGATCAACCTCTTTACGGTATCAAAGCTGATAACATCACCTCTCACAGGCATTGCAAATTGCTGATTTTGCAATGTTTGTATTATCAGTTATATCAACTGAATAAACAGTCAGAAATTCATTCAAGTTTCAAAACTTAAAAGGGCCTCATAAATACATGAATGCATTTAACTTTATATAAAGACATAGAGAGATACACATCTACAGCTAAACAAATATATGTACACAGATAAACACCTAAGATCTATACATGACTTAAAACTGCTTGATTAGCATTTAGTAAGTACTCTGTTGGTACTGTTGTTGCTGTTCTAACAGTATTACTATTATTATTATATAGCTATATATTATATAGATATACGTATTATACATAATTATGGTATATAACCTATATAAAAGTACATATTATATCACCATATGACTGCAGCAGGATGCACTCTGCTAAAATTGAACTGTGTTTTTCTTTCTCACCTCTATCAGAGGTGCCAGAAAGTCACTCCATCGTGGCAAATCATTCCTGAGCCATTGCAGTCAGCTGCCTTCCCTGGATCGGAGTGAGAAGGACCCTTTGGAGACAGTGGACCCAGAGGACACTAATGCATCACTTTAGATCCCTGTGGCCCCATCTGCCTCTTGCTAGGCCAGCCACAGTACCCAGTTCTGCAAGGGCCCCCATTCACTTTGTGCAGCTTTTATGCACCTGCATTGCCCAATCTTACACTCAACGCCATGTGCCTCTTGTCTCTTGCCTCCTGCCCTGGCACACAGTACCCTGAGCTCACACATGTGCAGCTCAGAAGTGCAGAATCAACCTATGACTGATGGCATTCAATGGAAACATGCTTCCTCATCTTCTCCCGAATGCCTAGTCATTTCATAAATCTCAAACAACCAGTTACCAGTGGCAGGGGCTAACTTGTATGGGGTCTTCCTTCTTTTCCTCCCCAGTCTCTCTGCCCCTTATTCCTGCTCCCTGGAACCACACATCTCAGTGAATCCTCACACACAAGCCTCTGGCTTGGGCTCTGCTTTCTGTGGGACCCAGGCTAAGCTAAGCTAAGATAAAAATCACAGTGGTCACCTAGGCATGGATGTCCACTTAGCTCTATTGCTCACCAGGATGGGGTACACAAAGAGACACTTTGGTTCCTGAAAAGGAAAAAACTTGACCCTCATGCTGTGGTCTCCAGGCAGGAAAAGGTGAGAGCAGCTCCCGGTGCAGCACTCTGATGGGCAGGAACCCATGTTCCGTGGCCGTCCCATGTTCCATGGCCGTCCCGCTCTTGGGATAAGCCATAGTGAGAGCAGAGGGCCAGGGATCCAGACTGACATGCTCCACCCCTCTACAATGCACATGGGCATGCAAACACACGCACAAGCTCACCCCTTAATGAACTGCTATGCTCTCTAAATGGTAGCCACCAGCCACATGTGGCCACTTAAATATAAATGTAAATTAATTAAAAGATTCAGTTCCTCAGTCACACTAGCCACTGAGGAACTGAGCCAGTGAGCCACTATTTCAAGTGCTCAACAGCCACATGTGGCCAGAGGCCCTCCACTGGACAGT
This sequence comes from Homo sapiens, assembly GCF_000001405.40. Taxonomy (NCBI): domain Eukaryota; kingdom Metazoa; phylum Chordata; class Mammalia; order Primates; family Hominidae; genus Homo; species Homo sapiens. Next base: position 10,324,127 of record NC_000008.11, on the reverse strand, counting down.
GCAAAAGAGACCACAGCATCATGGCGGAAAGGCGAGTGGTGCTGAAAGGAAGCACTGGTCTAGTCTGAAACTCTGGGTTTCAGTCAATTAGCTGGTACGAAAACACTGAACTTTCAACTCATCTCCCAGTGGAATCTAGGGTCAGTTTTATTTATGCAAAACCATAAAAGAGATATGACAGCATTTGTCCCCTGAGTTGGTGATTAAGCAGTTTATATGCAGTAATGTGAGCAGCAATGGCTATCGGGATACTAAAGGCACAGGAGTCCCAATCTTTATTTAAAAAATAGACCCTACTTTTAAAAGCCAAACAGACACATAGACATGCAGACATGCAGACAGACAGACACAGACACACACACACACACACACACACACACACGTATTTAATTCCCATGTGCTTGGGTTCAGAACACCCAGAAAACATCTGGTCAGCACAACTGCCTACAAGATTAACCTCTACAAAAACTACAAAAATAATGAAAGGATAATTATAGCAGCTCATTAATTAATTATATAATACCTAAATTTTACCTCCTATGGATATCATTTATCTAAAATCAACGTGGGTTCCCCTCAAAACTGAGGGTAGAAACTACAATGGGATAGAAACTGGAAAATTCGGTGATAAGCCTCTTCACCATCACACGGAAGGCACTGGCCTTGAACTGAAAATCTTCATTGCAAACACCAGGATATCATCATATTTCAGTATTCTGGAGGGCAGTTAATATGCTTCCAGAGTCGCTTGGTATTACTCTTGGTACCCTAGAGAACTACGAATCATTACATAAGGGAGTTTATAGATGGCATTATCATATGTGACTTTTAGTAGTAGTTATAAATACTGCCTTTATAATTAAATACAGTGGGATGAAACAATTGAACCACTTTTTAAGTTCTTGGTTGGGGTTGGTTCCTGTGGTGCCCAGTGTAGTGTCCTGCCTGGTTGGACAGTTCCCCTCCCACCGCTCAAGTGGAGGAATCAGTTCCTCGGGTACTAAGCCCTCTCTTCTGCATTTTTTTTTTTTTTTTTTTGAGATGGAGTCTCACTCTGTTGCCCAGGCTGGAGTTTAGTAATGCAATCTCAGCTCAGTGCAACCTTTGCTTCCTGGGTTCAAGCATTTCTCCTGCCTCAGCCTCCTCAGTAGCTCGGATTACAGGTGCGTGTAACCACGCCTGGCTAATTTTTGTATTTTTAGTAGAGACCGAGTTTCACCATGTTAGTCAGGCTGGTCTCGAAGTCCTGACCTCATGATCCGCCCACTTCAGCCTCCCAAAGTGCTGGGATTAGAGGCGTGAGTCACTGTGCCCTGCCTCTTCTGCTTTTATCTCATTACTTTTCCCAAGTAATCTTATCAGCAACTGGGGTTTCATTTAGCAAATATAAGTTGACAACTCCCAATAATAATAAGGGTTCCTGTTTATGAGGTATTTACCATGTGCTAGGCCCTGTGTTTCACAAGCATTAGCCCAGTTAGCAGTCCTAACAATCCTCCCTGCAAGGCAGAAACAGCCCATGGCTCCTCCAAACAGCCCCTTGGATGCCCATGTCATGGGCACCTTAGACTCTGCACTTTCACAACTTAACTTACCTTCCCCACAAATCTGCCTCTGCTTCTCTGTACACTTGTACAAAAAATCACCAGCCATGACCTGGACCTGGACCTGTCCCTCTTATTGACTCTCCACTTCCAGTGAAGTTCCAAGTTCTGGTCTTTGTACTTCCTAAATATCCCTCCCTCCCACCCATACTTCCACCATCCTAGACAAAGCTTCCATTACTTCTGGCCCGGAATCCTATAATAGCTGCCCAACTCATCTCCCTGCATCCAGTCTTACTTCTCTTTAATTTCATTTATTCTAAGGTCATTGCTCTCTCTTTGAGCATCTGGAAAATGGGGATAATGGGGTCTCCCTCATCCTCATAGGTCTGCTTGAGTCAAATAGAACATATGGCTTTCTAAGTGTCAGGTACTTGATAATAAACTGCACAGATGACATGTGAATTGAGAAAATTTCATGCTAGAGACTGCATGTGTAACCACCACCATAAATGCCCAGGTTAGCCCACCACTGTTACAAAAGCCATTACGAAAAAGGGATAAGAGAAAGAATATATAGGTAAAAGGTTTTTAGAATGGAAATACAAGTATACTTAAATTACTCTAAAACTTAGCAGCTTCAAAGTATATACATTTATTATCTCACAGCTTCTGTGGCACAGCTTGGCTGTGTGCCTCTGGCTTGAAGTCCTTCATGACGCTGTAATCAAACTGTCAGGCAGGGCTGCAGTCTCATCTGAAGGCTTGACTGGGGTTGAGGGGATTCGAAGCTCACTCACATAGTTCTTGGCAGGCTTTTGTCCTTGTCATGTAAGCCTCTGCACAGGGCTGCTTCATGACGTGGCAACTGGCTTCCCCTACCATCTCTCACGCGGTAACAGAGAGTTTTCACAATACGAGCCACAATCTTTTAATGACCTAGTCTCAGAGTGCTCCCATCACTGCTGTCATTCATTAGAAGTGAGTTGCTAAATGCAGCCCATATTCAAGGAGATGAATTACATATGGGCAGAGAGCACTGGGGGCCATCCCACAGGCTGCCTACCATGACCAGCCAAGCAGACATCACCCTGGGAGGGAGGTGGGAGGGGCCAAGGAAGGAATGGGCTCTGTCAGCGCCTCCCTCAGGCCTCTCCGCTCATCATAGTCGAACTGACCTTGAGTCACCCGTCCTTCTACTTGCTCACCAGTGGACACTCTAGTTACAGCCTCCTCGTCTCTGCACTCATTCCTGGGGGCTGTTGCATACCTGACTTTTTACAAAATTCTAACATAGATTAGCTTTATAGTAGCTTCTAGCTCTACTGTCAAATGCAAATCCACATCAGAAAATATAATGATAAATAAAATACAAGTACTATCACAAAGTTCTAAAAACTAAAGCAAGTCAACTTGTTTTTAAAACAACTAAATCTCTATTGGAGGATTTTAAAAAAGGGTACACAACTCTGAAAATAATTATTTTGTGATATCATGTATATATTTCCGAGAACTACTTTTATCATAATTCAATTTACTGTTATGAGAAAGTGTTATGGGTTGAATCGTGTCTCCCTCCAAAAGATATGTTGGAGTCCTAAAACCTCGGAATGTGACCTTCCTTGGAGAACGGGTCTTTACAGAGGTAATTAAGTTAAACGAGGTCATGAGGGTTAGCACTAAGCCAATATGACTAGAGACTGTTTAAAAACAAGAAGCTTGGACAAAGAAACACACGCACATAAAACTAGGCTGATGTGAATATAAACATGGAGAAGACAGCCATCTAGAAGCCAAGGAGAGAGGCCTGGAACAGATCCTTCCCTTCCCTCACAGCACTCAGAAGGAACCAGCCCTGCCGACACCTTGATCTTGGACTTCCAGCCTCCAGAATTGTGAGAAAATAAATATCTGCTGTTTAAACTAACCAGGCTGTGACTGTTTGTTACAATAGCCCTGTAAAACTAATACAGAGGGAAGAAAAAAAGAGAGAGTTTCAGACAGAGACAGAAATAAAGAGAGAAGGAAAAAGACTTATTTTAACAGGCTGTGTCTTCATCTAGATGAGTGATTCAAAGGCAAACACATAAGGGCCTACTCTTTATTTTTTTACATTGAGACAGGGTCTTGCTCTGTCACCCAGGCTGAAGTGCAGTGGTGCAATCACAGGTCACTGCAGCCTTGACCTCCCAGGTTCAAACGATACTCCCACCTCACCCTCCCAGGTAGCTGGGACTGTAGGTGCAGGCCACCATGCCTGGCTTATTTTTGTATTTTTTGTAGAGATGGGGTTTCTTCATGTTGCCCAGGCTGGTCTCGAACTCCTGGCCTCAAGTATCCTTCTGCTTCGGCCCCCCAAAGTACTGGGATTACAGGCATGAGCCACTGGCCCTGGCCCAGGCCTACTCTTAAAACCTCATTTAGCACACGTATTAGACACAATGGCTCCACTCCTAGAGGCTGACAGAAATTTCTAAGAGATGTGCAAATAAAACACAATTCCAGTTGAAAAGCAGCAGACTGCCCTCTAAAATCAGAACCTGGCCCTAGTCATGGTGGCCTAAGCCAGGGGCTAGGAGCCCAGCAATCCCTACCTTTTGGTAGTTCTCTTTGGAGCTCAGGGCTGCCTCCATTTGCTTGGCAGAGGTCGGGTAGATGGCCGAGCGGTACTGAGTGCCATGGTCGTTCCCCTGGCGCATACCTAGGAAAGCAGAAAACAGGGAGGGTTACCCGGTCACTAGGCGACAGTGCCAGTCTCAAACTGGGCACAATGCTGAGACATTTTGACACTTTTCATATGGTCCCTGTGCCTGATGTGTTGCTAAGTGCTTGTTTTAATTTTCTGTTTACAGCATTTTCTTTAAACAAGCATGAAATGTATCTGTTTTGATTTGCCTGTTTTAATTACAACAAGTATCTTTGAACTCAGGTAGATTTATCACAGGTCTTGGATCATACTAGATGTTCTATGAATACATACTTTTACATGAAATACTTAAACAACGATCTACTCCAATTGTCACATGTAATGCACTATGATACATATTATTTCCTTGGGTCCTAAGGAGATACCTGTATGGAAGGTTTCATCATCCCTCCCTTGGTGGATGAGGAAATGAGACAATGTCTGTGTAAATTCCTGGCACGGTGCTTGGCACATAGCAGGAGTCCTGCACCTATGACTAAAGTCACCTACCCATCTAGCCTGCAACTTAAAGTCAGCAAAGAGCATTTTCTGCCAGTCTCAGCAGCTGAAGGGTGGATGATAGTCAGTTTCTATCTGAGTGTGACAGTGCCCCAGAGTGAAACAGCCGCAGGGTTGCCACAGATCCCCTGTAGGCCACCATGTTGTGGTGAAAATGAACCAGGCACTGGGATTCAGGAATTGGACCCAGTAGCATGTTTCAGCTAGTCACATTCCTAATATAATCAGGGGAAACAGAGACCAGCAGGCATAAGCAAGAATTAGAGGTGTTAAGGGAAAATCTGTGCAGGTTAAAAAAAATGCAAGGTTTCAGAAAGGGAGTGGGTAAGTTCACGTGATCAGTGGGGAAGGGGCCTATGTCTCAAAGGCTGGATCAAGGAAGTGACTTGTCTTGGCAGCAGGTGGGCGCCAAGGGTGAAGGTAGAACAAAGGTAAGGACTGCGGAGCAGTGCGGTGCCTTCAGGGACTTGGAAGGAACTGCTACTGCTTGCAAAAGCAGCTGTAACCCAGGAAGCATCTGTGTCAAAGCCCTGATGCCCGCTTCTCAAGAGGATGAGCATGGTACCCTCAAGCGTGAAGCCCAGATGACAAAGATGCTTCACTGGGAAAGATGACTGGAAACTCAACAGACTGAAAACCTAGAAGAAAGAACCAACATCCAGGAACGGCTAGGAATACAAGAAGTGGCCCTGCTTGTCTACCCATTGAATCACAAAACAAACGAAATATTTGACTGTCATAAATTGATCTAAACAGGCTTTATAATGCTGTTCTCCAGAGGGCAAAATTAACCAAAATTATATTTTGAGATAGGACAGAAAAATGTTATTGATGATAGAATAACTCCTATATGTCTTTCCTCTTTCTGCAAATAAATATGTTCTCTCCAGCAGAAAGAATTCGTGTGTGTCAACTGTAGCCTCCACACTCTAGAGGCTACAGAAGAATTAGGTCATAATCCCTTGTCTCAAGGAATAACCAGGACGAGGGAGGGAGGGGTAAGAGTAGTCACGAGCCTGACACTGTACTTCCCTGTGCGAGGTCTTTGCCATCATTTCTTGTTTCATCCTCACATGAGCCCTGTGGAGAAGATATTCTTAACCCTCTTTGACAAAAAGGAAATTATGGATCAGAGACATTCAGTGACCCACCTGAGGTCACATAGCAGGTAAATGGCCATCCTGCGATTTAAACTTTGATGGCCCCGACACCAAAGCCCTTTCTCCTTCCAAAATGGATGCATGAGAAGTTACAGCAAAATAATCGAGGACAATGGAACAAAGTGCTTCTGGATGTAGGGTACCTGCTGGGGAGGGGGCATCCCAGCCCAAGGCCCAGAAATAAGAACAAGCTTGGAACGTTCTGAGGACTGTGAAGAGGCAGGACAAGGTCTGACAAGGGGCCTGGTGGGTCCTGAAGCTGGTGGGTTGGGCGTGTAACCACATAGGTATCTTGACAAGTCACGGTGGGGACCAGAGATGCGTGGAAAGATCAGACTCCCATGAGCTACAGTATTTTCTGGAACCCTGAGTGAGCATAATCACCAAGCAATGACCCAGAGCCCCCTTTCCCACAGATGCAACAAGTGTTGCAAAGTTCACTGTGCCCTCCACTTGGCTTTTGAAAAACTATGAGGAAAAATTATTGACACTATTTGGCTGTCTTGATGTACCAGGAAAGCAAGCAGTGGACTTTCAGTGTTGAGTGGAAAGAGAATTACTGGCTCAGAAACAACACCTTGTGCTTAAAATGCTTCCATAGTACTCTATAAACTGATTAATGAGGACTGGGCTTTGGGGCATTCTTGATGAGAACTGACCTCCTGACATCTACCAACTGCTTGAGATTTCTCCATCCACTTTCTCCAAAGAAGATTTTAAAGGGACAAACAACCCTAAGACTGCTCTGAGGTTTCTCTCCCTCTCGGCAGAGCCAGAGGAAGCAGAGGAAAACAGAAACGCTTCATCTATAATGAAGCATAAGATGATGACTTCTCCTCTGCTCAGAGGGCCTCCTAAGCCTCAGCTCATCTTTGGGTACCAACTCTGTTTTATCCATCCTGATTGCAGACGTGATAAATGTGTCTGAAAATGAGAACTTTAAAGGGAAGTTTATGCTAAGAGTTGTTGCTAGGTGATCACTTTACGAGGTCCCAGGAGTTACCGGCTGACAGTGAACATCAGGACAAGTCAGGAACAACGCCTCAGGGTCTGAAATCGCTATCTCTATCTTAGGGAGCTTTGCGGGAGCAATCTCATTAGCAGGACTGTCCATGTTGGTTGAAAACAGAGTGACTCCTACTAGCATGACCTCCACATTCTTCTCTTCTATAGACTGCTGCTAAGAGAAAACGGATCCTGCCTTACAGTCTGCTGCACCAAAGGCTACCTGCATGCTGCAGTGGCACAGGAAGACCACCAGGGATGCTGGCATTGCTGGGAGAGCTCACCCAGGTGCTGCTTCGGGGTGGCCTCCTACCTTCTGCTGGAAAGTAGGGTCTCTGTGAAAAAACATGCCATGGTGTCCCGAAGTCCTCCCCTAGGTGGATGAGCCTCTATCCTTCACAGTGAAAGATGGCACTTCTTATTATCCAGGTGACACCTCCTGGTGCACCTTGCCTTTACCTTAGGTGTTTGAGACAAGCCCTATGAATATAACCATCTCACTTTATCTGAGAACTTAATCCTGTCCATTTTAACTGACAGCTCATTTTTAATTTAAAACACTGAATAAATGAATGGACAGCCCTCCTTTCATCAAAAGGGAGGAAGGGAGAGAGGGAGGGGGAGAAGAGGAGGAGGAAGGAGAGAGAGAGAGAGAGAGAGAGAGAGAGAGAGAGAGAGAGAGAGAGGGATCATCAAAGTAGCTAACAATCCTATAGTTCTCACTATGTCCAGGCACTGTGCTTTACTACGTTATTCACCCAATTCTGCAAATACTTGGAGGATATTAGTAAACCCATATCCCTGCCCTCTCCCACTGCCAAGGTGAAACTGACACTCCCTCAAAGGTGAAACTGACACTCAGAGAGAGGCTGGTTGCCTGTTGAAGGCCAGTGCTGCATCTGGAACCATCTAACTCCAAAGTCCATGATCTTAACCACTATTATTCCGATTTGTAAATATATATAATTTAAGTAAAAAAAAAAAAGGTGGAATATAGGGATGTATGAAAGATATTATGTGGCTCTCTTCTAAAAGGAAGACAGCCACACAATACGGTCACTATCTATCACCTGCACAATGTTCTTTGCATTTTTTCACGCAGTGCATCTCAAGGGAGATGAAATAGTGTTGCTTTTTAACAGAGGTGCCACATATTTATTCCATATCTAAAAGCAAAAAGAAAAATGAAAGATCCTGATTTTCAGTAAGGAGTACACATTACTTCTATAGTCATAAATTATTTTGACAAGATGTGGTGATTTCTTCATGAAAGGTCAAAAGTTATCATAGTGTGAATTTTGTTTGTGTAAAAGGGAAATTCTATTTATGGTGGCCAAAGAAAATCTTTTTACTTATTATGCGTCCTAGAATGTCTTTTGGGACTCCATGTCTGTTTATGTTCTAAAATCCCAAGTTTGGCCAAATAATGAAAATATTAGAAAACGTTCAAAATAGTAAAATTTTTAGGTCATCATTGCAAGTCCAAATCTTAAAGTTTTACAGCCAAAGTGCCCCACTATATGAGATTTACAACATGCTTACATTGAAATCAGTACCAAGCACACATGTGCACACACATTTACAAAGCTAGTCCATCATGGATAGTGTTCATATTAGCAGAAGTAGCAATCGACATATTATACCTTTGTAGTTTCCAGATTTAATTACAGAAAAGTACATAAGACATAAATGTACAAAGGTACATAAAATAGATACGCACAGTTAAGTGTCTACTATTACTCTATTTATAATTAGTGATTATAAAGTGAATACTCACATCACCACCACTAATGTCAAGAAAGAGAGTACAGCCAAGTACCCTTGAGAGTCTTCCATGTGTCTCTATTGATGACAATGCCTTCCCTCTCTCTGGTTGTACCACACCTGGTTTTTGCAATAATTTCTTTAGCACACGGACACATTCAGAATAAACCTAGTTTAGTTTGGCCTGTGATATGGTTTGACTGTGTCCCCTCCCAAATCTCATCTTGAGCTGTAGCTCCAATAATCCCCACGTGTCATGGGAAAAACCTGGTGGGAGGTAACTGAATCACGGGGGGCAGGTCTTTCCCATGCTGTTCTCATGACAGTGAATAAGTCTCATGAGATCTGATGGTTTTATAAAGGTCAGTTCCCCTACACACACTCTCTTGCCTGCTGCCATGTAATAAGATGTGCCTTTGCTCCTCCTTCGCCTTTGGTCATAATTGTGAAGGCTCCCCAGCCATGTGGAACTTGGGGTCCATTACACCTCTTTTTCTTTATATATTACCCAGTCTCCGGTATGTCTTTATTAGCAGCATGGGAATAGACTAATACAGCCTATTTTTAAAATTAATATAAATGCAATTATACTACAGTTTGAATCTTTCACTTACAATTATGATCATGAGGTCCTTCCATTTTCTTCATTTTCATGGCTTCATAATATCCCATTGTATGAATGCACCACAATGGATTTATACATTCTACCCTTAATGAACATTACCAGCCTGGGGCTGTAAAGAACATTCTTGACATGTATTCTCTTATACATATGCATGAGTTTCTCTTGAGTACATACCTAGAAATAGAATTGTTGCTGTATAGTGTTTGCATGTCTTCAACTTAAGTACATGCTGAACTATTTTTCCAGAGTAGTCGTACCAATTTACAAAACCACATGACTGCACAAGAATTCCTGGAGCTCTAAATGCTTGCCAATTCATTAAAGTCTGCTAATGTCAGATTTTCACTTTTTGTCAGTCTGCTTGGTGTGTAATGGAATCTCACTTGATCTTAATTTGCATTTTCCTGATTAATAACGTTAATTATCATTTTATGTTTCTTTGCCACAATTCAAGTCCTTTGCCCATTTTTTCTCTCAGCAGTCTGTCTTTTCTAAAAAAAAATACTGCACATACATTTAAGTCTATTTTTTATATATTCTGAATACTAATCCTTTATCAAATATAATCTCTCTGTTCTTGGCAATTTGTTATTTTTTATTTTTCTTTTTTTCTGTTCTTGGCATTTTCTTTATGATGCTTTTTGATGAACCAAAGTTGTCAGATTTTGATATAGTTAAATTTGTCAAATATTTTTCCTTTACGGTTAGTGCTTTTGTGTCTTGTTTAGGAAATGCTTCCGAAACCCAAGGTCATGAAAATTATCTACTTGAAATTTCGTACGTTTGCCTTTGACATTTATGTATTCAATCTACTTGGAATTGATTTTTGTGTATGGTGTGAGGCAGAAATCCAATTAACTTTCTTCCTATAAGAAAATTATCTTATCACTATTGATTAAGAAGCCATTATTTCCCCAGTACTATGAAATGCCAACTGTGTCATTTGTCATACTTTGACATGAGTGGGTCTGTTTCTGAACTCTCTATTCATTTGTCCCTACATCAGATACACAATGTCTTAACAGCTGTAGCTTTATAATGACTCGATATCTGGAAGAATAAGTCCTCTCATCCTCTTGTTCTTATGCAAGTATCTTTGCTTTTCTTGGACTTTTGCATTTCCCTATAAATGTCGAGATTAGCTTTTAAGATCCACAAAAACAACAACACTGACGACAACAACAACAAAACTGTTGGGATCTCATTTGGATTTGCACTGAATTCATAAAACAATTTGGAGAGAATTGGTGTGTTTACCAACCATAAACAAGACCCAATATTAGATCTTCCAGCTGCCTAACTACTAAGCCAATGCCATGTTTTTTTTTGTTTGTTTGTTTTTTGTTTTTTTTTTTTTAGATTTTTTGGTAGCACTCCACTTCAAGGTACCAGTTCCTGGTAAATAAGTAAACCCTGAAATTCCAGTGGGTGGACATAATAGAAGTTTCTTTCATAATCATGCAAAGCAGTTAATAAAAAGGAGATGGTAACAGTTCTACTTCATGAACTCTTCAGGGGCCTAGGCTGACAGAAGCTTCACCACCTTCAATATGTTGCTTCAAAGGTTTCCCTTGGCATTAGCATTCAGCAGGCAGACTGAATATAGAGAGAGAAGTTCACAGATCATGCAGCAGGTTTTTCTGAGCCAGGTCTGGAAGCAGCATATGTCACTTCTTCCTCATTCCACTGGCCAGAACTCAGTCACATGACCACTTCAAGGGAGAAGAGGAATGGTGTCCGGCTGGGGAAAGATAAATAGGTATCTAGTGGATTTTTCAATCAGCATACATGTATTCTTTCCTTGACTTACTGCATGAGCTAGGACCCCCACTCCAATGCTGATTAGAAATTGCAATGGCATTCTCTGTAGTTTCTCAATGCATCATTATTAAATACAATGCTTGCTATAGGCTTTTGCATGTACTCCTTATCAGAATAAGAAAGTCATCTTTTATATGTGTTTTTAAATCATTTATGAATACTGAATTGTATTCAGTACTTTTTAAGCATCTATTTCAATAATCATACATGTTTTTAAAATACCTGCTAAGGTGGTTAATTACATGGGCTAATACTAAAGTGCTAAACTAAGCTTGTGTTCGTTGGAGGAAACTAAAATTGGTCATGATGTATTATTTTCTTATATACTATTAAATTCAGTTTGCTAATAGTTTGCGTAGGATTTCTGCAAATATAGTCATAAGTAAGATTGTCCTACAATTTTCTTTTCTTACATAGTTAAGTTTTGGTATCAAGACTATGCAAGGATCATAAGATGGACTGCATCTCTCTCTAATCTCTTGAAAACATTATGAAAAACTGCAATTATTTCTTCCTTAAATGTTGGGAGAACTCACTGATGAAGCCAGTGGTGTCTTTATTCAGTTTTATTAAACTATATTTTTAAAGAATGTATCTAACTTTTCAAATTTATTGACACAAAGTTGCTTATCATATCTTCCTGGTTTCTGTAAAATCTCCCACATCTGTAGTGATATCCCACTTTTTATTCCTAATGTTGTATATTTGTGTCTTCTCACTTTTTCCTTGAACAACTTCCCAGAGCTTTATCAATTTTGTAGCCATTGTGAAATATCGACTCTTGGCTTTTTTGATCTTCTGTTTGTTTGCTTCCCATTTCATTTCTTTCTGCCCTTCATTATTTATTTTATACTGTTTGGGTTGAATTTGTTGCTGATTTTCTAAGTTCTTGAGATGGACGCTTAGCTCAGCTTCTTTTCTCTTCTAATATATGAATTTAAGGCTCTATATGTCCCTCTGAGAACTGCTTTACCTATGCCCTATCGATTTTAACATACAGTATTTTAATTATCATTTGATTCAAAGTATTTTACAATTTCCATCATGATTTATCTTTGATAACTAGGATATTCAGATTTGTTTTTTTCAGGCAAGCTCTTGCTCTGTTGCCCAGGCTGGTGTGCAGTGGCACAATCATGGCTCACTGCAGCCTCAACCTCCTGGGCACAAGCACCCCTCCCACCTCAAACTCCTGAGTAGCTGGGACTACAGGGATGTGCCACCATGCCCAGCTAGTTTTTTTGAAATTTCTTGTAGAGATGGAGACCTCACTATGTCACCCAGACTGGTCCTGAACTCCTGGATTCAAGTGATCCTCCCTCCTTGGCCTCCCAAAACGCTGGTATTACAGACGTGAGCCATAATGCCTGGCCAGAAATTTTTAAATTTTCTAACATAAGACGATTTTCTGAATACTTGCATTATGGTAAGAGAAAAAAAAAGCTACATGATTTTAATCCCTTTGAAACATACTGAGCCTTTTATGGCCTGGAATATGTTCCTTGTGTGATTGAGAAGAAGGCGCCCCCCCAGGTGTGGGGTACAGCATCTTATGTCCACTGGGTCAAGTGCTGGAATTGTGTCGGTCACTCCCTCTACGTCCTTAATAAGGCTCTCAAAGCTCGCATTTTCTGGGATTAACAAGTTTGCTCAGAATAAAGATATATCTAATCCTCTGCTTACCTGTCTGGGTTCCTGTGTTGCCTTCCATTTTAACCTGGTTAATTCCTCATAGTTCTGTCAGCCCTTTGATGTGATGCTTTATATATATAGTTGTATTTTATTCAACATTTGGAGCTGCTTTCAGTGGGCAATTTGGTCTGAATAACTCAGCCTGCCATTCCTGGAACCTAGAAATCCTAGTTCCTGCCAGTGTTACCAGCTCTGATTTTTCTGTGACCTAATTCAGTACTCTTTTATGTGAAGTCTAGTAATTCTTCTGACTTCATTTCTTTTTAGTGATTTCATACCATTTCAGCAATTTATTCAAATTCTAAATGACCTAACCATTACTATCTAAGATATGTGAAACTCTTCCTGGCTAAAAGTTTTCAAAAGCCTGATTATTTGGACTTCTTCATCTTGCAAATCCTTAATAGGATTATAAAATTGTAATGGACATCACAAAGAGTTTAAAATCATCGGATAATGTGCTGCTGTTTCCAGTGGGTCATGTTTTCTGCTTTCTGATAGAATTGTGTAGCACTGTGGGGCCATGTGCTACCCAACAGAAAGAACATCAGGCTTCGATTTTAGCCCTGAAGTCCGAATTCCACCTCCGTCAAGCAATGTAGTAAGTGGCTTGTGCCAAATCACTTCACCTCACTGGGCCTTTCTGTTCCTCTACAAAATGGGTCTAAGGTTCATAGGTTGCTTTAAGGAGCAAATGGGATCACGTACACATGAGCACTTAGCATTGCGCACAGCTCAGGAAAGACCTTCAGTAAGAGTCTGTCACTCAGAGTGCAGACACCAAACCCTTGTAACACTAGAAAGGCAAAGGAAAAATGTTAAATAGAAGCTTTATAGTATTATATGACAGAAGGATTTAAAAGTGCAAATAACACTTTTGCAAACAGCAAAGATACTATGAACACGTATGATAATGTGATAGAAGGGAAAGTGTGACTGAAAGAACAATTAATAAAAATATCAGTTAAATTCTTTTGTTTCATTTTTCTCTGTTTCTGAAATTCTTAAAAGAATGAAATCCCTTTCAGAATTCATAATGCTGGGTTTGGGTAGCTTTTGCATTTTATATGTGTGCAGCTGTTCTTCCAATCCGAGTCTGCACATCTGCTCATTAGCAATACAATATCATTCCCACTGTCTAATTATTTGCAGATGATAGATTCCTTGTATATGGTCTAAAAAAGGATAGTCCTTCAAAACTGGTGACTTATTTTAAAAAACTAACTTCAAGGGGTCAGCACAAGGAAGTTCAGATATTAATCTGGCAAGTTCAAATATACGAACGACAGTATTTTATTGCCAAGTTGATGGGGAACAGAAGGAAAATAGGATTTGTCTCCCTTCAATGAATGTTTCCCAGTAGACAGCACAGGGGACCTGCTTCTCCACAGTGCACCTGGAAAGAGGCTCGGGAGCCAACCTCCTGAACACGGAGTGGACCTATCCCACCCGATTCCCTGGGACCACCTGGAAAAAACTCGCCTGGAGCAGGGCTTTGTGGTGACTGCACACGTCTGGCAGGGAAGCCCATGCAGCCCAAGGACACCAAGTAGAGAAGAGTCCTTGCAGGCTCTCTAGTTCCAAGCACAGGCTGAGGAGCCCCACAGAATCCCCAGCTCACGGTAAGGCCAGGATGTGTGGCCCTGGGGCCCCAGGAAACCCAACAGCATAGACGGTGCAGCCCACGGGGGGCAAACCAGACCAAGCCTTCTGAGGACAACTGGGAGCTGTGCTGCAGGTGGAAAGGGGTGAAGAGGAGCTGATTGAGGATAAAGGGTGTGAACCAAGAATAGGAAGCCATCAGGGGTAATCAGAACATGAGCTGAGGAAAAATGATAGAGAACAAGCAGACAAATACTGGGATTCACGAAAGAACAAGACAAACAAACAGCAGCTGGTGATGGAAACGGCCCTTCCACAGGCGGCATGAGCACGACAGCTATTAGAGCCAGCGCTTATTCCGCACCAGGCGCCACGCTCTGCACGGCAGGCTCCGCGCCCGTGTGCGCCCCGACACTGAGAAGGCACAAACTATTACAGATGCAGAAACAGAGGTTCACTCACTAGTTCAACGAGAAAACATTTAATACAAAGCCCACCTTCTAGAGGAGTCAGAGAATAAGCAATAAACAATTAAACATGTGATTTTACCTCATGATGAGTTAGGAAGCAAGGAGAGAATGATAGTACAGAAGTTCATGGGGGTGAGGGCTGGGACTGCTACTTTAATTAGGGTGGGCAGGGAAGACCTTTCTGAGGACGATATCTTCAGCTGAGACTTAAAGGAGAAGGAGCCAGTCACATAGTTCTTGCTCTCCTCGATCCTGGAGCAAGGAAGAGCAACATTTACTAAGCACCCCTTAGGGGCCAGTCTTAGTGGCAGATGTTTTATAATCCTAATTCCATTTAATCCTGACTATAACCCTATGAAGTAGGCATCACTGACTTTGCTTAGCAGAAGAGAAGCAATGAGGTTCCAAAGACTTGCAGTCTTGCCTGATGTTGGTGGCAGACCAAGAGCTATGGACAGGCTAAGCAGTAGGAACAGTGTGCGAGGCAAGAAAGAGCTCAAGTCTTCCAGGAATGGAACAGATGAAGGCGACAGTAACTGAAGCACAGTGAGCATGGATGGGGCATAGTCTGGGGAGAACTGTGGTATGAGCCAAAGTTGGAAAGGCAAGTGCCAATCAGGTAATCCCAGGCCACACTGGCCACTGTAAAGAGTCCGGATCTCATCCCAAAGAAATCGGGCAACCGGCAAAGTGCTTTAAGCCAGAGGGGGCCACAGCTGGTTTTGTGTTTTTAACAGGGCATTATGGAGCAGGGAATGAGAAAGGGTGAGACAGGCCAGTTAGTAGACTACTGGAGGACCTACGTGGTCAAGTGGATAGAGAGAAATGAGGCCTGTCCGCACAGCGAGTGCCGGGCCGATCTGGTTCACAGCCATGACATCTCTGACCCCAGGGTCCACACTCTTAACAACAGGTTTGATTAAAGACGTTTTAATTAAGGGAACACTGCAATTAAGGCTTTCAGAAGGGTAACTGGGAGTTCATCACCAGCTTATAGTTGAAGGCTGTGTTAGTCAAGACATAGGTTCAGCTGCTGTAGAAAATGAGAATAAGAAGGCTTCAATGAACCACAATAGCAGTACTTTAAACAAGAGTTCTTGCCTAAAGATCCAGCCTGGGATGGTGACTCTGGCTCCTTAGTCTCACAGCTCTAGCAGCACAAGGGTCAGGCTCCATCCCTGGGCTTCGTGATGGTCCACCACTTCAGCCCCACACTAACTTGTGGGAAGGGAGGAAGTGGAAGAGAATGCCCCTTCCTCTAAGGCCACAAACCCAGAAGCTGCACGCTGTCACTTCTACTAAGGCCCCCATAGTCAGAATTTAGACATGTGGCCATACTTAGCTCTAAGGTGTCTCAGGGATTTTGTCTTTATGGGTGGCTGCACACCAGCTAAAATTCTTAAACTACACAGGTGGGGGAACCCTAATATTGGGGTTAACCAGCACTCTCAGCCAGAGGCCTCTGCAAAGGCCACTGCTCCCCAAGGAGTATACCGGAGCAGTTTCCAGACCACAGTCCTCTGGGAAGGCTTGGAGTTGCCACAAAAGCTCCACGCATCCAACTGTGCAGCAGGCAAGATCTAGAGCCTGGAGAATGCATTATGTGTACAATAGTTCCCTTTTCCAGAAGTACATGATGTGGAAGTGGTGAATATGATAGGCATGCAATTTAAAGTATAATTAAATCCATGGTAGCATTTTAATATATTTGCTTTTTTAAATGTACTAAAAGCCCAATTGTTATCACTGGAGGATCCATAAAAATATGCACCCCAGCTGGGCGCAGTGGCCACCTCTGTCATCCCAGAACTTTGGAAGGCTGAGGCAGGTGGATTGCTTGAGCCCAGGAGTTCCAGACCAGCCTGAGCAACATGGCGAAATCCATCTCTACCAAAAATACAAAAAATAAGTTGGGCATGGTGGCGTGCACCTGTCATCCTAGCTACTCAGGAGGCTGAGGTGGGAGGATGTCTTGAGCTTGGGAGGCAGAAGTTGCAGTAAGCCAATTGTGCCACTGCACTCCAGCCTAGGTGACAGAGCAAGACCATGTCTCAAAAAAAAAAAAAAAAATGTGCATCCTTAGAAGAGGTCTTCCTAGTCAGGAAGCTTGGATTCCTCTAGTGTATGGAAAAGAAAATAGACCTGAGCTTTAGACAGAGCTGCATCCAAATACCGCCACTAACATTAAGCAAGATTATGAGTCTTTTGGAACCTCATTGCTCCTCTTCTGCTAAGCAAAGACAATGATCCTTACTTCACAGGGTTATGGTCAGATTTAAATGCAATTAGGATTATGAAACATCTATCGCTAAGACTGGCCCCTAAGAGGTGCTTAGTAAATATTGCTCTCCCTTGCTCCAGGACTGAGGACAGCAAGATGGGTTGCAACTGAGAAATCAGATTTAGTGGGTGAAGTCACACAAAACTGAAGACCCTCTGCCTGGTGTACCTGTGGCTTGGCTCGAGGCACTCAGTCTGTGCCCCGAGTCCCACGCAGGACTAGGAGGTCTGAATTGTGTTATTCATGCACAGGTCATTCTAGTTAGGAGGATACAGACCAGCCATGAAATGCTGGGAACCTGATCCAGTTCTTTAGATTACTCTGTGAGAAGAAGCCTTAAGGAGGCTTTTGAGCAAGGATCCACCAGCCTCATCACCACTGTCAGCACCAGCAAGGTCCCAGAAGACAACATAAACAATGCTGAACTCTTTCCAACCAATGCAAGAGACACAAGAATCTCGGTGGGTAGAAAACCCACACTTTAGTAGATGGAGGGTAAATACTTACCCAGACAAAGAATCAAGGGCAACACAGATGTAAGAATAAATGTAAAATTAAAATCTGATGGAATTGTATTGTTGTGTTGAAAAAGACGTAACAACAATACCTGGCACTGGCATGGCACCTATACCATTTTCATGTTATTTTCACACTATTTTATTTAATTCCTACATCAGACCATTAAGTCGGCAGTATAGACATTATTATCCCTTTTTCTGTAGATGAGAAAAATGGAGGTTCAGGTTGGGTAAGTGTCCTGGCCAAAATCATGTGGTTGGGAAGGGGCCAACCAGGGACCAGAACTCAAAACTCCTAAATCTCAGGCACCCACCACGTTGCCTGGAGACAGTGGGAGTCTGGGTACCCCATGGCCAGGAATGTACACCTGCCAGTCTATCCTCAGAAGCCTAAAGGAACTATCTTCATCCCATGAGTAAGAAAGAAGGCCAGAATAGAACCTATTGGCTTAAACAGTGGGATTCAAATGTTTCAGCAAAAGTAGAGGTTCTGTGGTAATTGGTAAATTAAAAGAAAAGACTATTCCACTTACTGACCACATGAGTAATGATGCTAGCATGTCTGTCATTCCTCCTTAGGCTAATCCGTGGAGTGGCATCCTCTTCAGACTCACTGTCTAGTGGCTGTGGAATAACAGGTCTCGGGCCTCACCTATACCTTAAAAAGCCTACACCTTCCAATCTCTCACTTACCAGCTTTGCTCCCTCCAAAATGGCAGAAGGCTAGGCACAGTGGTTCATGCCTTGTGGCCTGTAATCCCAGCACTTGGGGAGGCCGAGGTGGGCGAATCATGAGGTCAGGAGTTTGAGACCAGGCTGACCAACATGGTGAAACCCCATCTCTATGAAAAATACAAAAATTAGCTGGGTGTGGTGGCGGATGCCTGTAATCCAAGCTACTCAGGAGGCTGAGGCAGGAGAATCACTTGAACCTGTGAAGCAGAGGATGCAGTGAGCCAAGATCACACCACGGTACTCCAGCCTAGGCAACAGAGCAAGACTCCATCCGGAAAAAAAAAAAAAAAAAAAAAGGAAGAAAACACATGGGGACTTCATCTAGATGTCCATTAGGGCAGATACTATGAGAGCTGCTTCAGCACCTTGAAGCAGGAAAGAACATGCTGAATGTTCTCTGTTTAGCCTATGCCATGAAGATCTGATTTAACTGAAAGGGGACTCTAAGCTTACATTCTTGCTGTTTCTACTACAGTAAGACCATTGACATCAGCAAGAATCTCCACATTTGCAAATATCACTGTAGATACTGCTTCTCCTATAAAATGCAGTGAATTATAACCAAAAAAATTTAAGGCCCCTTCAAGTCCTTAATGACTTTACAAAAAGGTACTAAAATCTTTCAACATGCTAATTAAAATACATTTCTCTTGAGTCACATTTCTGTGGAAATCATGTTTCCTGGGCGCATCTTCACATCAAATGTCAATGACTTTTCAACTTCTACACAAGTTTTGTCTTTTTGTTGATAAGCAATTCTGGCACAGGCAAGAGCATTGCTCGAGTAGTTTTAGTAATCACTTTTGTTTCTGAAAAGAACCTGGAGTGGACTACTGCCTCACAGATCAGAATCACCACCAAATCCAACCTGCTGCTCTCTTTCAAAATGTCCATTTTCTGAGTAAGAACAGTCAGTCTTACATATCTTCACCACCCTCATCTTCTCTAGTGGCGGCTTTCTTTTCAAGACCAACTTTTACTGTGAAACGTGACAGGTTGCCATGTGACCTCAAGTAGAGATTTAGGCAGCTGTGGTCAGATGTGGTGAGTGAGTGATAGCCAAGTTCATTTGTAGCCTGGCTCTCCCCTGCCTCTGGTCCATCCTTCGAGGAGCAGGCTTCAAATTCTGACCTTGGAAAAATGACACTTGACATGTGTCACTGTTTTTGGACCTTCAGGGTTCCCCAGGAATATCAACTCCATTGATACCAGAGTTATTCTGAACTTAAGGGTTGGTTATTGTTTGTTTTTTGCCTTTAATGTTCAAGTGCTAACACATACTTGTTTTAATGATTTCATGTTAACATTTAGCCTGTGGTCTTATGCGCATTTATCTGTATGCTCACTTGATCTCAGCATATTGGAATTAATTATTTTCTTCCTGTAGGAATATATTTTCCATGTGCATTAACCAAGAGGCCGGATACTCGTGCGTATCCCAGATGCCTTAGTGATTTAGTACACCTGGTGGCTAGGCGCAGTGGCTCACGCCTGCAATCCCAGCACTTTGGGAGGCCAAGGAGGGTGGATCACTTGAGGTCATAAGTTCAAGACCAGCCTGGCCAACATGGTGAAACCCCAGCTCTATTATAAACATGAAAAATTAGCCAGGTATGGTGGCATGCACCTGTAATCCCAGCTACTCAGGAGGCTGAGGCAGGGGAACTGCTTGCACCTGGGAGGTGGAGGGTTCAGTGAGACGCGATCACGCCACTGCACTCCAGCTTGAGCAAAGGATTAAGACTCAGTCTCAAAAAAATAATAAAATAAAAAACAAAAACAAAAAATAAAAGGGCACCTGGCAAATATAATGGGCATAAGATTGTTTGGATTGAATGGGTGGATTAGTAAGGATTTTTGTTACTGTTACATGTAATAGAAACTAAAAAACTAGCTTAAGAAAAACAAAGCCAGCTGAGTAGAGGTTCCTGACGGAGGATCTCTCGCCCTACCCTTAACTAACCATCATCCCCTGCCCTTCCTTACCTCTTCCTCACCTGTGGGGAGGCCACTGACCTATGGAAAGAGATGGTCCATAAGAGAGGCAGAAGGGTGGGGACCACAGATTGGAGGGGTCCTGGGGCAGTCAGGGTTGCCCTGGTGTTGATGAGTGGTTCTCTGAATTCAGCTGGGGAGACTGGATCACGCTACAACCTTAGCCATGCCCTTGCCTTGTTTTGGTCTCCATATTACCACCTATGATGTGAAGATCTGGAAAATCTTTTTTAACCCCAGAGATGCCACCATTACAAACACAGAGCCCATAGAAGGCCAAATGATGAACAGAGAGGTGAGTTCTCCCAGCCCAAACCCTCATCATAGTAGTATTCCCCCCGAGGTTCAGGGGCCGGTATTAGCAACCCAATTAATCAATGAAGATGTGATCAAATGAAAGCATTTAAGAGCGGTATGGAGAGAGAAGTTGACGACAGACTTGGCCTTCTTTACAATTCTGCCAGGCCTAAGCCTAAGGAGATTCTATCAGGACGTGGCATTGCAGTTGGCCACATTAAAGGACACAGACCCGACCTGTCACCTACATGCCTTCAGGCCTTGCCTGGGCCTCTGATACATGTCTTCACTGATAATTTTGGAGCTCTTATCATCTTCCTCTGACCCTTGACTTTGACAGTCAAATGGCTGAACGTCTGCTCCATCTGGATTGATGACTTACCAGAAGGAGCGACTGGCTGTCACCACCCTGATTTATGATCCTCACTGCAGAGCTTCCTGCAGAACCAAAGCAATCTAGGCCCACAGACCTGCCTTCCCACATGAAGTGATGTCCCATATCCCAAGCTAGGGTGACACGTGAACCTTCTGATTAGAGTGTTCTTGTCCTACCGGTTCTTTCCCTACCCTGCCCCATACCTCATCCCTCTTCCACCAGGTACCCATTCCCCCATGTCAAACCAGACTTTGTGGTCATGGAAATCGTGCCCCCGGCCTCCTTCCTAGGCCCAGACCTCTAGGCCGCCATCTGCCCTGATAGATCTGCGTGGATCCTGAACCTGCCTCACCCTGCTCGAGTTTGTCACTTTGCTGCTCTTGCCTCATCTCTGACCTTTGCCCTCTGGCAAAAAGCCCTAGAATGGGATGGTTCTTAGAACCAGCACTCAGGACCCACCAACCTGTGCTGCTACAGGCATATGAAGATTCCACCATGAAGCACAATTTACATTTGGAGAAAAACTTCACTCATCAAGAAATAACACTGCATATCCACTACACAAAAATCTGACACCAAAGAGAAAATACTTTGGTGAAATAGACTGACTGCCAAATGAAGAGGGTTTGTGAAAAACCACATCTATTGCATAGGACTTTTCAGTTCATAAGCTGCATAATATCAGATCATCACACTGGCAAAGCAGGGCCTGCAAGGCTGCTGGGATGCGATCTTGAAATTGCTTCATTATTGAATATTACAATGATATTTGCCAACATGGAATATTTCACTTGTGTATGCATTCAAATAAAATTTCCAACCACCATTGTTTATAGCCCAAATATATTAATATCTCCACATAACAAATTCCAAAGAGAACAAATGAAATATTTAAATGAGCAAGCTTTGTGGACCTAGTGAATACTGCATTTTACCTTTATGTTCTTCTTTATCACCACATACATTTTTTTAAAAAAATCCAACCTGATAACGTCAAAAGACGAGAAAGGCTAAACTCAGAGAAATAAAGAAACCATAAATCAGGAATCTTTGGAGCTGCTGGAAAGACACTTTAATTTTGTAGACAAAAGACTGCATTAAGGAGGAATAATGCAATAATCAAAGGTGAACGGATCGCTATTGTCTGGCGTCTTCCTCTGTGGGAATTTTCCCACCCCTGACAGCTGTAAGGGGGGCAGGGGCGCCGAATGTGGCTGTGCCTTTATTCTCTCACCCTTTTTCTCCCCAGCCCCTCCTCTCCTCCGTCAATAAATGTCTGCAATCATATTCTTGAGCTCCTGTGTGATTTCAAGGTTCATCTCTTCCATGCAGCTCAAACACTAATTATCCCAGCTGTAATTAGTAAGATAATTAAATACTGGCTCACTCATCACTCTACCTTGGGTCGGGTCGTGATTCTCCCAGAAGACCTTGAGCAGTTCCTCAAAACTCATGTGTTCTGGCTGGTACACCACTCGGACGACTTCTGCATGGCCAGTTTTTTCTTGGAAAAAACAAAACGTACAACCGAAATTTACTGACAACATCCATTTATTGCAAGTTTTTTGTTCACAAAAAAAACAACAGACAAAAGCTGAAACTCTACCCTGTGAAGGAAGAATGGAAGGAGGATTAGACTTTAGCTAAGAGTCTCTCTCAAGGCTCTGTTACTGGTTCTTTTTCCATAAAAGCATACAGTTCTCTTCCAGGGAGCTTGCTGCGATGACTTCTACATTGTGCTCTAATAAATTGTTTTAAGTTCATGAAAAAACAAACGTGGGTTTTCAGGTTTCTAAGCTCACTCAGGAAACCTTATGGATCCACCCTGACATAGCGCTCAAGAACTGAAACTCTGCAAAGGGAAAGAGCCAATTTATTTTTATCATCACTCCATGCTATATGTAGTGAGCTCAGCTGCACCACAGTGAGATGGTGCCAGGGAGAGAAACCTGTAAAAAACAGGCTGATCACTCGTTCACATGAGATCAGTGAGTTAAGGAGGGACATACGTGCTGTGCTGTTAACACTGGGACAAGGGTCAGATTTAAATACCCAGCAGGGTGGTAAGTGTTTTCCCAGCCTAATTCTTCTCTGTGGTAAACAATGATGGTGACATATGTCTACTTGCAGGATCCTCTGTAAGTAGGCCTGTTCTCAGTGGTGGTCCTGGAGGTTTGGTGGATCAGGGGTGGGTATTTGCAGTACTGCTTGTACCTGTGAAATTCATGTCCTTCTTTCTTTTATAGTCTTAGAGCATGGCAAATAAGAGATCCCTCCATACTAAGATCACTAGGCTATATAAATTTTTTATCTATCTGTTTTCAGTCACCTTATGTGTAGTAAAGAATTTGGCAAGCTGGGCATGGCAGTTCACTGTAATCCTAGAACTTTGAGAGGCCGAGGAGGGTGCATCACCTGAGGTCAGGAGTTCGAGTAGCCTGGCCAATCTGGTGAAACCCCATCTCTACTGAACAAAAAAATTAGCTGGGTGTGGTGGTGGATGCCTGTAATCCCAGCACTTTGGGAGGCCAAGGCAGGCGGATCACTTGAGGTCAGGAGTTCAAGACCAGCCTGGCCAACATGGTGTAACCCCGTCTCCACTAAAAAGACAAAAATTAGCCAGGCGTGGTGGTGGGTGTCTGTAATCCCAGCTACTCGGGACGCTGAGGCAGGAGAATCACTTGAACCTGAGAGGTGGAGGTTGCAGTAAGCCGAGATCGCACCACTGCACTCCAGCCTTGGCAACAGGGTGAGACTCCATCTCAAAGAAAAAAAAAAGAAAGAAAAAAGAAAATACAAATCACCTATACTACTGCCACATAAGCACTATCAATAAATTTTATCAATCTCTTCCTGGGTGCCTACCAGATGTGTGCATGCACGCGTGCACACACACACACACACACACACACAAATTTCTTCCACTGCATTCATTACAGCATGCTTTTCTCTCTTACCACTATATTGGGAATACTTCCCCATGTCACTAAAACTTTTAGAAAACACCATTTATAATGAATACATAACTCCCCATCAGATGGTTGTCCAACTACTTATTCAATCATTCCTTGTCATTGGGCAATTAGACTGAAATATATTTTTATCCATAAATGTAAATATTTTTCCATGCTTCTGAAGCTGCCTCAAGCCTTAGTTATATAAATGGAATTTCTAAATCAATGTTTCTAAACATTTTTAAATTTCTTGATGCCTAGCTCCAAACTGCTTTTCAGTAAAGTTGACCCAGTTTTCTCTTTCCATTGGCAGCGTTTTTGAGGGCCAGTCTCAGTCACCATTACAACATTTTTAATCCTTAGCAATTCATAGCTGGAAGATAGGATTCTATTGTTTTATTTAGGATGAATTTATATTATTAGTGAAGTAAAACACAAATTTCATGGTTATTAGCAATTTTAATTTCTTCTTTGCTCTAATTGGCATGTCCTTTTATACTGGGTTATTATTATATTAATATTTTATTATTAATTGGCTAGTCCATATAATTTTAATTCAAATACTATAGTCATTCAAGTTAGCATCTAAACAGATTTTATGCTAAAAGATATGAAAAGAATGACAGTGGAGAGTTTGGGAAAAAGATACAGTAGGTATAATAATGTGATTGTAAAACCACTTTTGCTCTAGTAGAACATATTATTTTGTAATTTGAAATGTTTAAATAAGTGATTCAACTACATAAGCATTAAAAATCTCTGAATATTAAAAATGGTAATATGTTATCAACATGACAGACATATTTGGCATGAAAAACATTGAAACCACACTAAAATATAAGCAAAAGACGTAAACAGGCTATTTCTTCTCAATTTACATGTATTTCTTCCTATGTGAAGAAATACATGTAAATTGAGACATGCAAAATGCCAACATTTTTAGTGATCAAAATGAAAGCAAATAAATGCATATTCAAACACTAACATATTATCTCTTATCATATTTAATAAAATTGCTTAGAAGCATCTTAGTGCTGTTGAGGATACAATGAAATGGTGCCCTTACTTGGCTAGTGACAGGGTAAAATCACTAAATCTTTTCTGAAACCCCACGGGTGTATGTAGCAAGAGCCACAAAGACGCTCATTTACCTTGATTAAGTGATCCAGGAAATCCATCTCAAAGGTATAACTTCAACTAATAGAAAAGATATATACATGCACAAAAAATTCACTCTGTCATTATTACAATGGTAGAATACTTATAAGAAATACACAAGCCAAACAAAGGGAAACAAACGTGGTATACTCATAAGATGAAGTTTCATAGAACCATTAAAATACCACATATTTTACTATCCCACACATGGTCAAAGCTGTTACTTTATGATTTAGTGAACAACAATGATATGGTAGCCACTTATCTACTTGATGCCATTTAATGCTCATGATTTTTTTCCTATTTTGATAAAATGAACATAACATAAAATTTACCATCAGATTAAGTACATTCACAATGTTTTGCAATCATCACTAATCATCCGGCTCCAGAACTCTTTTCATCTCGCAAAACTGATATTCCGTACCCATTAAATATCAACTCCCCTTGCCCGCTCCCACTGGGCCCTGGCAACCCCCTTTCCACTTTCTTGTCTCTGTGGATTTTACTTCTCTAGGGACTTCCTATAAGTGGAATCCACTATTTGTCTTTTTGTGACTGTCTTACTTAACTCGGCGTAATGTCCTCAAGGTTCACCCATGTTGTTGCATGTGTCTGAATTTTCTTCCTTTTTAGGGCTGAATAATATTCTATTGGGTGTATTTTGTTTGTTTATCCATTCATCCATCAACGAACATGTGGGTTGCCTCTACCTTTTTACCACTGCAAACAATGCTACTGTGAACACAGACATACAAACATTGCTCACAACTATTTTGCCAGAGACATATGGTCCCCATTAAACAGATGAGGAAATCAAGGTCTCCCTATGAGTTTTTTCACACAACAGTGAGGACGTAAGAGGATTCAGTCATACGCGAACCAGGTTTCAACCGGGGATGAAGCTCAACCTCCTACTATGACCTGAGCTTCTGAATGGAGAAACCTGAAGCCATGAAGTGACAACAAATGTCACACAGGCTGTAGCCCAGATAAGAAATCACAGCTGTGTGGTAACTGACACGAGGCTGTCAAGAATATTTTATGGGATTAGGCTCTTCTTTCATGACAGCAATATGGGGTCAGGAAAGATTTCCACTCGCCAGCAAACACTTTCAGACATAATCTGCCACTGACGTTATTTGTGGAGAGGTTTAAAGAAGCTTGGTTGTTTAAAAGAAACTACTACCATTCAAATTCAAGATTCATTTGCCTTGACAAACAGCACAGTGATGCCCTTGCCAAACTCACCTTTAAGTTTCTTTACTTTATTTCTCCAAAGTAAAAGAACCTGTGTAAAAATACACAGTGCAAATGATCAAAAGGATTAAGGGACTCAGAACCACTTACAGAAATGCCCACACTTTACAGGAACCAGCCAACGTGCTAGGCTAATTTCATTCCAGAGACCAATCTGCAAATACTTTCTTGTGCTTCCAGAGATGAAAGGCCAGATCTTAAAAATACTTCAAGCCGTGTCTTCACATAACATCGCGCACATAGCATGATAGATGTGACGTGCAAACATGCTTGTTAACAATTCACAGCAGCATTACGGGGGCTTTAACGTTGCTGTTCAAAAATATCTTGAAAGAAAAAATGAAAAGGATGATGTCCTCTCTAAGCATCTCCCTCCACTGCCTTACCCCACAGCCCCAGAGGAAGATGAACAAATGGAGAGGGGTTGATTAAAGGCAGCCATTCCTTGGATTAGACGAAGCATCCAATCCAAGAAGAGACATACAAGCATGACCTGGGGCCAGGAAAATCAGGCATTCTGGGGTCATCTAGCTACATGGAAGCTAAGTCATCCATGGAACTAGGTGCCTTTAAAGAGAACCCCGAGATAAGTCAACCAATGTTTACAGTCCTCCAGCACAGCTTCCTATCCGTGGAGAAAATGTCACCTTTGATTCTTCCAGGTTAGGATAATTAGATTTTGCTACTGTTGGGCTGCTGGGACAAGAACAAGAGAGCAGGGAACTGGCCCACGCAGTACATAAGAACAGAAGAGAGAGCCGGTGAGCTGTGGTGAGATGCCAGCAGGTAGTGGTGAGGAGTCAGATTGTCAGGGTTGGCCTCCTGGCTCTGCTGCTGGGCAGGTGCATGACCTTGGCGGGGTCTGGGAGAGGAGGCAAAGCAGGTCCACACCACAGCTCCCTGGCAAATGAGCCATGCCTTTCCTCGGGACCCACACCCATGCTGGGGGGGCCTTTATCTACCCAACCACTCTATGCACAGTTTCTTCACCTGCAAACTGGGTGATTAGTGCCTGGCACATGGGACTTAAGTCTCTACATCTTATATTATTCTCAGTTGTATTATCATAATTATTCTCTAATCAGCCGTGATGACATGGGGAAAATTGGAATAGAAGTCACAAGAAGTAGCTTAAACCATCATTCCAACACAGAGTTTAATACCTTTTTGACTGTGATCCCGGGTGTCCTACTTTTTTAGATGGGAATAAAATATCTCTGTGACAAAACAAAGATTAAATGAGGTCATCTGTGGGAAAGTATTTGGGAAGCGTAAGGCTCTCCATACACAAACACGAGGTTTCTATTGTTATTGCTATTAACCTTTCGTGTTTCCGTACAAGGATGCCGCCCCCATTAGGACTCAACTCTAGGAGAAAACACAAGATTTAAGGACGCCTCCTTCTTATCAAACTGAATTTTATCTCTGTAAGTGCCTCACTCCAATTTATCCATTCATTCATTCTTCATTCATTCTAGAAGTCTCAGTTGTGTGTACTACTGGTCTGGGCACTGAGCTTCCTCTGCTGGAGACTGCAGCTCAGCCTTCATCCACACCCTAGAAAGGCCCAGATTCTCACTCTTTTGATGAAGTGGCAAAAGGGAAAAATCGCATTTCTCAAAGCGATTACCCAGTCTAGAATCAGAATTTTTCTAATTCTTTTTCTTTTCTAGTTTCTTATTAAGCCAGGTTTAATGAGCAAGTGTTTAATCCAGGCAGAAAGACACCTCCGAAAGAGGGGCTACAGGAGCAAGAGCTGAGGCTGGAATCTTGCCTCCCTGGAGAGGCCGTTTCCCATCGCACCCTGTCAACGACTTCCTCTGACAAGAACCTTTGTCCACCAGAGTCCATGAGACCTGGGAGAGGGCAGAGGCACCGGGGCTGAGCTGGAGGAAAGGCTCCCACTGCTGCCTGGGCTGCAGATCCAGAGTACAAGTCCACCTCTCCAGGGGGTGCCAAGTGACCACAGGCTGGGACACGCTGCCAGCATCATGGAACATGATGGCAACTCAGACTGGAGTTGAGAATGACACCCCAAGTTCTCCATAGAAATGGTGGTGCTTCGCCAGCAGGGAAGCAGGTCTTATGTAGACGAGATTTGGGAGGGAGGCCGAGCAGAGCCGTCAGAACCAAGAGCAGCTCGGCCTGCGTGGGGTCCCAGGTGGGGCTCATCTAGAAGGACCAAGGGGGCCTCCAAGGGTCACTGGGCCAGCAGTCTAGGCCCACGTGGTCTGTGTAGATCCCCAGGTCCCTGTGTGAGAAGGAAGGAGTAAGAACGAGAGCAGAGCCTGTGCCTTCCGGAGAGGCTTCGTGGGGACAAGAAATGGGAAATGAGAGAGGCAGCGCAGTGCGACGGTCCCCCAGCAGGTTCCTTAAAGGTGTGTGTCCACTGCTTGAGCCTTGAAGTCAGGTGGAGCTGAGGCCATGGTGCCCAGCTGAGGAGCAGGCGTCCCTGAGAACCCAATGCCCCGGAACTTATCTGAGAACGTAGCAAGACAAGCAGTCTCATTGCCCAAACACAGTAGGCAAAGAGCCAGGAAATTAGCTTAAAGGCAGTTTAGAGACGGGAGCAGCAGAGATCTCTAGATCTGTCCTGCCGCCCAGGAGTGCCTGCTATGTAAGTCCTAATAAACTCATCTATCGCCAAGCTGGACTTGTCCAAGTCATTCTTTGGTCTCTCAGCAACCTCCCAGTTTCAGGGAAGGTCTTTCTATTCAATCCAGGTTTTTCTCATACCAGAGACACAGAAATGAGGCCCACAAGCAAGACCTGTGCACAAAGCCCCCGCCCCCACCCCTCCCAAGCCGGCCCTGGTCCCGGTGCTCAGGGTTCCTGGACTCTGTGCTGCTGTGGGGAAGGTTAGGGGAGGACAAACAACTGGTTCCTCAGAAAACAGCCCAGCTGAGTGGGTGCCCCTCCAGTGTGAACTGGGCTCTGCTGTAGCCCGCAGTGCAATGACAGCCCTGTGCAAGGAGGTCGGTGACACTGTTCCCCCACGTCCCTACCAGCCATAGACTGCCACATTGCAGTCAGCAGGATACCTATCTAGACAGATGGCTGGGCACCACCCAGACCAAAGGAGCATGGAGAGGAGAGCTCAAGAACTCGGTTTGGGAGCCAGAGTGCCCGAGTTGCCACCCTGGTCACTTAGCAGCTGTGTGACTTTGGCAAAGCTTCTTCCTCTATGGGCTTTAACTTCCTTAACTGCAAAATGGGGACACTGATAGCACCCACCTCAGGGGACTGTCCTGATGATTAGCTCAAAACTCCACGGGAGGCATTTGAGCAGTCTGGCCCAGCACAGGCAGAATAACTCAGCCGGTATCACCTTTCTTCATGGCAGCGTTGCTAGTATCATTTGACTGCTACTGTGACTTGGTTCCCAATGTCCTTGGTCAGGGAATCTATGTCTAAAAGTTTCCCAAAATGATTCTTTTTAAAAATTATTTATTTATTTATTTAGAGATAGAGGAGTCTCACTCTCTTGCCCAGGCTGGAGTGCAGTGGTGCAATCTCGGTTCACTGGAACCTCCACCTCCCAGGTTCAAGCAATTCTGCCTCAGCCTCCTAAGTAGCTGAGATTATAGGTGCATGCCACCATGCCTGGGTGGTTTTTGTATTTTTAGTAGAGATGGGGTTTCGCCATGTTGGCCAGGCTGGTCTCAAACTCCTAACCTCAGGTGATCCTCCCACCTCGGCCTTTCGAAGTGTTGAGGTTACAGGCATGAGCCACCATGCCTGGCCCAAGATGATTCTTAGTGTTAAGGAAAGGTTGTGAACCACTGGTCTAGAGCGCCACAGATCCCTGAGTAGCCAGCTCTCAGCCTGTGCTCTCCTGTGTCCCAGCACCTGCTGCCCCAGTCATCAGGAGACTCACAGGAGCCCCAGAGGGCAAGGAGGAAGAGAAGGGGAAGGAAAGGGAGGGAGGAGAGGGAAGGGGAGGAAGCAGGAGGGGAGGAAGGAAACAGGAAAGGAACCCTTTACGGAGACCTGCAGTACAGCTGAGGAAGAGGTTGGGGAACCAGAGACACGTCGGACCTTTCTTCGCTGTCCAGATGATTCCCTAGTAACAGTCACCACAGTGCTATCCAAAACACAGTGCTCGTCCAAAATCATTCAAATATCAAGTGGGGGAGGCTGGACTGAGGCCCAGGCTAAGATGCTCAGAGATGCAGATGTCTGGAGGAGAGCATTGGTGGGCGCTAAGCAGTCACGCCTGAGCAGTCACACGCATACCGGGACGTCAGACGCACACGGAGGAAGCGGTCACGGCAGATGACTTGTGGGGCGGGGAGGGCATCCAAAGCAAGAGCAGGAATCCAAATGGAAGCAGTAGCTCATCTTTGTTGTTGCAAAGCCACAAAGTGGCTCATGAGCTTACCCACGCACCTGGCCACCATGGGAGCTGCTTAGCTGGCCCATCATAGGGATGGCGCACCCCTGATGCAATCCTATAGGGACAGGAACCTCAGACTCTGCCTTCAGACAGTGTCCTGTGCCCTGCAAAGCCTCTAGATCCATAGACTCATGTCAGCATTGCAGCCACCCTTGGCCATTGGGGTAAATGCTCCTATGTCCATTTTACTGAGAGGAAAGCCAAGGCTCAGAGCTCACGAGGGACGGAGACAACCCCAAGCCTAGCCAGAGGCCAACAAGCCCTCCTCCTTGCTGCTTCTCCACACCTGTCATCTCTGTCCCCTTCCCTGGGGCCTACAGGAGCCCTTGGCTGGCCACTAGGGCCCTCCATCACTGGTATGACAGCAACCTGGTTTCCCCCACCCTCCCCAGGCCAGGCTAACCCCTCACACCCACCACCGGCTCCTGCTGTCCCCAGCCTGTAGGGCTCGCCCACCAAGCCCTCTCTGCCCTCAGGGTCACCCCAGGTCCTGCTGTCCCCAGTCCACAGTGTCCCAGGCTACCCACAGTCCAAGCCCTGCCTGCTTTCAGGGTCCCCTCGAGTCTTGCTTCCTCCAGGAGGCTTCTCTGAGCTGGGGACCCCAGGAAGAGGCGCTGTGCAGGGAGAGAGCCCGGCCACTGCGATTCTGTGGGACTGACTTTGTCAGAGCAGGGCTCCTCCACTGAGTCACCTCCCCTGGGGTCCCCCACCGGGTGGCTGTGAAGAGGACCGACGGTGGAGGGAGCAGGCAGAGTTCAGCAAGGGCAGGGAGAGGAGATGCAAAAAGTGGTGTTTCCTTCCACACCCGGCCCTGCCGCCCCATCTTATTCTACTTGGGATCAGTCCCATGCGGTGCAACCTGTGAGTGCTCAGTGCTTACAAGTATGTGCTTAGTGACAGTGGCTCTCCTCTGTAGGCCCCAGGACTGGGCATGTGATGTGATGTTAATAAAGACGTATGGGCCGGAGGAGCCCTCGTGCTGCATCTGCCCACCACTCACTTATCCTTCATCCGGACGGGGCATCTGTATGGACCCCAGCTCCATTCACCTGCCAATGACCAGTCCCTAGATGGAATCCCACATGCACACTGGACTCCAACCCTCTGTCCCTAACCACTGAATTCTACGGAAACCTCACTACAAATCCTAAAGTGGATGTGGCTACTATGCAGAGAAAGGTATTAGACACAGCTAATGCGACTAGAATACTTTACTGTATGGGCCAGCACCATTTTATTTATTCATTAATAAATACTGATCAAATGCCTGCTAAGCTCCATGCACGGTGCTGAGCACTGAGGATTCCACGGTGACTAATGTAACGATGGTGACAACAAACAACCCTTGTGCCACGGGAACTGCCTAGAGTCCGAGTCCAGGTAAGAAACTGATCTTTAAAATAAAAAGACTTGACTTAGTTTATTTATCCTATAAGCAAGATGGAGGGGAGAGGGAGACACAGTAATTTTTTTTCATTAAATAATAACCATTCTTCAACCTCCCTCATCCTTTCCCTGCCAGCCAGACTTATCCAAACCGTTAAACCAAATCAAAGAGCACACAGAATGATCCAGGTGTTTGAAGGGAGAAAGGGGCGAGGGTGGGTGAATAATACCTCCCCTTTTCCCACACGAGATTCAAAACACTACTTTTCTCTTGCTAATTAACTACAAAGAGGTAAGATGTCAGCTCGGTTTCATCTCCAGCTCCTGCGGATAGAAAATGTGATTTCCAACAATGTACTCATTATAAAAAAAAAATCCTAATACATCAAAATTGGATGCCCTGTGGAGTTCATTATAGGATTTGAGGAGTGTCTATACTGTCATTTTATCTTGGCTTTTTTTTTTCTTTTGTCTCATTCGTCACTTAAAGTGTCCGACGAGAAACATAAGCTTTAAAAAGCATCCTATTGATTGAAAAGTAGAAAAAAAATACTGGTGGAGCAATTGTGAATTTTTTGTTGTTGTTGGCCCGCCATGGGGAGACACGATGGAGAATTTATGATCCTCTGCTGTATATTTTATACAGACATATCCTTCAGAGATTATGCTCTCAGAGGAGTGCCATAAACACAGCTCAGTACTGGATCAAGAAAAGTCTTCAAGAAAGCAGTCAATGGCAACCGTTAATTCTTTGTGCACTGGAGGTTTCTAACTGGTACAAAGAAAACCAGTACGTAGAAGTAGGTAACTAGGATAGCAGTGAGCCACTCCCTAGTTTCTGTATCCAACCTGCTGATTTCAGAGGCTGGCCTTCGCACCCAATGCTAACCCTTTGAGCTGGATTTTCCAGAATAAGAAGGGTACAAAAGGACCTGTGCCCATTTTCTAGACTGGCACCAAACTCCCACTCTGCTGCGAAACAGGCAGGGATGATAAGATATGGGCAAAACCAATCTGTCAAGCAGGGACCATGGTATCCCTGCAGCCAAGAGAACCAATGCAGTTTATTAAATGGCCTTTTAATATTAACAAGGGTATTGCACACTGAGAAACTATGATTCCTTGATGCTACTGAATTATACCACCAAGTTTAAAAAGAGGTCTGTGTGTGCCTTGTTGTCAGTGGGCTACACAAGGAGAGTGGTTCACAATTTAACAACTTAGAAATCCTTGTGGAACTCTGAAACATACTCTCACGCCTCCCCCTCCACCCCACCAATGGAATTCCGATACAGGAGAGCTGGGGGCAGGCCTGGCATATGCATTCTCACAAAGCCCCATGGGTGCTTCTGATGCAAAGCTGGGAAAGGAACCACGAACTTGGGCATCTGATGTATGTGGCTAAACCACAAAGGAGGAAATGGACAGAACATTTTTTTTTTTCAACAAAGTCTCAGAATTGTAAGGGACCTGAAAGGTCATCTAGCCAAATGGCATACTATATAGTTTAGCCCACTCCAACCTCCAGATGACCATTTCAAGACAGGGCACTCTCTAATTCTCAAAGTAGTTCATGCCACTATTGGGATGTCCTAATTGCTAGAAATCCATGCCTTTATTAAGTCAACTTCTGCCTCCTCCTACTCACAGTCCAGGCAGTGCTTCTTGGGACCTGCTCACTCCTCCACGATGGCTTTTAAGAAGGCTGAAGGCATTTACTACGGGCAAGTAAATGGCACTGACTTTGGAGTCTGAAGAACCACATTGAGTTTTTCTACATTTGAGGGCATAATCTGCTAGAGAGGCCACTTAACTTCTCTTAGCCACAGGCTGCTCATCTATAAAATGGGCATACTAATATCTGTCCTATCAATCTTAGAAGATGGTTAAGAGCAATAACAGACATAAAGGGGAAAGCACAAAGCACTTTGGGAACTTACCAGTGGTAATCAAATCTTATAACTCCATATACTAATAATGATCAACCATGGCATCGCAGAACTTCACAATGAGATGCCAGAAGACTTCAAATGTTTAGGATCTATGTTAGTACAAACAGAACAACATGGACGGCTCTCCAAGCAAAGACAGGTTTCTCTGGGTAAGTTGTCAAGCGTACGTTTTCCTAAAAGTGTCTGTGTTCCACCTCAGAGTTAAAAGACAACTAGAGAGGCCCTACGAGCATGATAATAGAAGGGGTCTTTGAAATCAAGTCCAATATGTTTTCATATTCTTCAAAAACTGTTCTAAACTCTCCATGCGATGGATGAGAAAAGGCACTCCATACCATTTGATAGCACAACAGGGTGACTATAGTCAATAATTTAACTGTACATTTCAAAATAACTAAAAGAAAATAAATGGATTGTCTGTAACACAAAGGATAAATGCTCGAGGGGATGCAGACCCCATTCTCCATGATGTGATTCCTACACACTGCATCCTGTATCAAAACAGCTCATGTACCCCATAAATATATATACCCACTATCTTGATACACAAGATAATATGCCTATCATCTCGTATACCCCATAAATGTACCTACTATGTACACACAAAAATTAAAAAGAAGGCTGGGTGCAGTGGCTCATGCCTGTAATCCCAGCACTCTGGGAGACCGAGGTGGACAGATTATGAGGTCAAGATATCAAGACCATCCTGGCCAACATGGTGAAATCCGTCTCTACTAAAAATACAAAAATTAGCCAGGCATGGTGGCGGGCACCTGTAAACCCAGCTACTCCAGAGACTGAGGCAGGAGAATGGCTTGAACCTGGGAGGCAGAGGTTGCAGTGAGCCGAGATCATGCCACTGCACTCCAGCCTGGCGACAGAGCGAGACTCCATTTCAAAAAAATAAGATAAAGTAAAATAATTCAAAAAGAAAAAAGGAAAAAAAAAAAAGAAATGGCACTCCTATTGAAGCTCACCACTTCAAACACCGTGGCTGCTTGCACCATTTTTGCCAGAGAGCTACTTCACGTCATCCAAAGACAATGAAAATTGCCTATTCATTCTGCACATTAGCCACATTATAGTTGCTTTTTAAGTGTATATGGTGGTAACATATTCTCCCAACTTGGATAGTACATTATTTACAAATAGCTCACATAGGAAGGATGTGGCAGGATTGCTCAGGAAGCATGGCTCTAACTAAACTATTAATAATAAATGTAAGTACATTTTTAGTCTAAATTTTTTTTAAAAAATGGAACTAAGAACTTCAGATTTGTTTATAACTCAGACCCACACTGAAACACTGTTGCTGGTCTGAGGAAAGTCTTGGCCTTGCCTCCTAGACAGTGCCAAAAGCATCAGTTATTTTACACCACAGCCCCCCAAAAAAAATCAGTCCAACAGCTTTATCTTAAAAGCATGCCAACACAACAAGCAACTGAGGCTTAAGAACTTTATAATCGACTATGTACATATCAAATAGGAACTCTTTAGAATATCTGCACAGCACCAAACCACCTGATTCTATAAATTATGATTTCTCAATAAGGGTGGTGTCACTTCAAGGGGGCAAAAATCGGTTCTTGGGGGACAAAAATATCTTACATATGAAAATGGCTACGGCTTCTAAAGGGCCACAGTAACTAGTGGTATATAGTATATCTGTGGTATTAAATTTAATGGAAGGGGACTGGGGGAGACAAGAGAGAAATGTCTAAAAAGGCCGCTTAGGGCGACTATAATTTTTTTAAAGCCTGAAAAACAGTAGTCTGATTCAATCAAATATCAGTACAATCAAAATGGTGACCAAACCAACTATAATTCCAGCCTCATTTTCACTTTTGTATGGGGCTCGTAATCCAACATCACAACCACAGGAGGGATTCATTCACTAAGTATTTACTAAACCCTAGCATGAGCTCTGAGCACTCTCTGGGATGCAGCCAAAACAGGATTAAGACAGGTCCCGACCTCAAAGAGCTCACAGTCTAGGAGGGCAGAGAAACAAGCAAATGGCAACTCCAGGATGAAGCAATTACTGCTGGAGAAGGGTAGTCTCAGAGTTCAGTGACACAGCTTGAGAACGCAGGGACGACTTTACAGAGGAAAGGGTGACTCTAGTGCTCTACCATGGTCCCCTTGACCCCTGGGTCTCCCTTATTCTTGGCAACTTCACACCTGTAGGATATCCAGGTCTGAAACAAAAATGGAGAGCATTCAGCTAGACTACGTGCCTTTGCCTGTCGTTATTTTAACTTATGAGGGAAACAAAGCCCTGAGCAAAAATTCACCAGACCAAGACACTAATAGTAAGTCCAACGCATGAGAACGGTGTGTGTCTCAAAGGGGTTCTCTCAGTAACAAACACCAGAGGCCCCACTTCTGGACTTAGGTAGCTTGTTCTGTGTTATTCCGAACTCTGCACTGGACTTTTCCTGACTTGAGATTCCTGGTTACTCTGTAAGCGTGGGATGATGATGATACCTTAGATTGGTGTAACACTTTTGTAGCTCATGAAATGCTTTCATATGCATTAATTGCGTATTAAATCTTCATGGGAACTCCATGTATTATGATGTCTGTTTTACATTTCAAAGATGAGAAAACTAAGCCTCAATGAGGCCAAATTATTTGCTTAATTCAGGTCATTCAGGGCCCAGTAGGTTTGATTCCATAATTTCATGCTTTCTCCCCATAAACATTGGAGCTAATGGTAACTACTAAATTATTGCTACCAATGACTTCGTATAGATGCAGACTCGGCTGTAATTTGATTGATATTGGGAATCTTTTAGCCTTGACTAGTAGATCTCTGATGATGGTCAGTAATTAATGTAGGAGCCCCAAGACATGCCCTCAGGAACACACCAAACGTTTCAACAATGAAGTGCTGGGAAACTGTGCCAAGGGCATTGGCACTGTAGCTAGAATATTTGATTTGGACGAATCG
The DNA here is from genome assembly GCF_000001405.40 of Homo sapiens. Classification (NCBI taxonomy): domain Eukaryota; kingdom Metazoa; phylum Chordata; class Mammalia; order Primates; family Hominidae; genus Homo; species Homo sapiens. Next base: position 10,286,978 of record NC_000008.11, on the reverse strand, counting down.
CTTAACCTCTCTGAGTCTCGACTTCCTTGTCAGCACAGCAGTTATAATAAAAACGCCAAAAAGGTACGCTATAAAGATTACATTATACACGTGTGTGCACACACATGTGCGTACACACAGGCTTTAACTATAAAGTGTGCTGATACTTAGTTTCTCTACTCATTCTCTCTGTCCCAGCTGGACAGGCCAGGAATTCAATACATGTGAGCCTTCAATCTTGGCTTGAAGCCAATGATAGGAGACATCCAAAGACATGTGATACACTGAGCCTGCTCTTGGAGAACTCACCCAAACACTGAAAACACAGGATAGAAAGTGTTAGGTGCCATGGGAGGGGCACAGACAAGTGCTCTGGTTTAATGGAGACAGTATATCTAACTGGATGTTTGTATTAGTCTGTTTTCATGCTGCTGGTAAAGACATACCCAAGACTGGGCAACTTACAAAATAAAGAGGTTTATCCTACTTACAGTTCCACATGGCTGGGGAAGCCTCAAAATCACAGTGGGAGGCAAGGAGGAGCAAGTCACATCTTACATGGATGGCGGCGGCAGCAGGCAAAGAGAGGAGTGCTTGTGCAGGGAAACTCCCCTTTTTATAACCATGAGATCTCGTGAGACTTATTCACTATCATGAGAACAGCACCAGAAAGACCTGCCCCCATGATTCAATTACCTCCCACCAGGTCCCTCCCACAACACATGGGAATTCAAGATGAGATCTGGGTGGGGATACAGTCAAACCATATCAATGTTGAAAAACGGGAACTACTTAGACACACACAGGTAGAGGTAAGAGTGCTTCAGATGTTGAAAATGACGAGCACCATAACACAGGAAGAAGATCCTAGAATGGACAGGATGGCTTAGATTAAATAAGCCACACCATTCCTGCTGGCAGACACGGTGCCCAGTGCCCACAGTATCAGAACCCCACAGCTCCCTCTGACATGCCTGCACCAAGAAGCTCCCTCCAGCTGAGGGGTACCCTTACCCAATTAGTTGTGACTGTTCCCAAACTGGTTTAGGCCAATTGCACTTTATCTTCTAATTAGAAATTTTAATTAAATGTCACACATACAGAAATAAAAGCAGAAGAAGAAATACAGCTTTGTTTCTATTAAAATTAATATTTAATTTTGTTTTAAAAAAAGAACAAAACTGTCATTTAAGATAACATAGATAAGCTTAGATGACATTTTATGAACTGAAACAATCCAGGCATAGGAAGATAAATACCGCATGTTCTCTCTCATACGTGGAAGCTGAAAAAGTTGATCTTATAGAAGTAGAGAGTAGAGTGGTTACCAGAGGCGGGGAAGGAGTGGGGGGAAGGGGATATAGGGAGAGACTGGTTAACAGGTACAAAATACATTGAGATGGGGGGAATAAGTTCCAGTATTCCAGAACCCTACAGACTGACTATAATTAACAATCATTTATTGTATATTTTCAGACAGCTAGAAGAGCAGCTTTTGAAGGTTCCCAACACAAAGAAATGATAAACGTCTGAGGTGATGGATATGCTAATTACTCTGATTTGATCATTACACATTGTATACATGTATGGAAACATCACCCTGTACTCCATAAATAGGTACCATTTTTAGGTGTCAAATGAAAATAACAAAACCAAAAAATAAAAAATAAGGGAAATGCTTTAGAAAGCTTAATAAAAGAAAGTTGTTAAAAATACTGTCAAATTAAATGCAGGCAAGACTACTCCGTAAGATTGGGAAGGGTGGCTGTCAAGGGCTCGGAGAAGGCGGATGCAGAATTGGTGGTGAATGGTCACAGAGTTTTGGTTTTACAAGATGAAGAGAGCTCGAGGAGTGGATGGTGGTGATGACTGCACGACGAAGGGAATGGGCTCCATACTGCTGAACAATACACTTAAAAATGGCTGTTAGTAATTTTTATGTTATGTGTATTTTTCCAGCTTTTTTTTTTTTTAAAGAAAAAAAGATTGGGGAGGAAGTCATGAAAATCTAGATAAATTCTTTGTTCAAGTTGCTACACGAATGTCTTTAAATTCTCACTAGATTTTGAAGATGCAAAACTAGAGATCATTTGATAATAATAGTGGCAAACAGTGCTTGTTCTGGATGAGGCACAACTATAAGTGGTTTACATATACTAACTCAACTAATTCTCCCATCAAGCCAATAAGAGCTATTTTCATTATATCCATTTTACAGATGAGGACAGTTAGGCACAGAGAGGTTACATGGCACAGCCACCATCACACCACCACTGAGGGGCGGAGTCAGAACCCAGACCTCCATAATGTAGCTCCAGAATCTTCACTCCTACCTCCACACTGTGCTAAAGAAGGAAGATGAGGAGCCACTCCAAGTAGGGAGGGGACTCTAGGTCAAAGGAGAGATAATGGACATGAATCCAATGTTTGGCACAATAACGTACATTTATTTAAGTTTTCTTTTTTAAAGGTTTCTGTAAACCTTTTCAAAAAATGATTCATTCCGTGCCGGGCATGTTGGCTCATGCCTGTAATCCCAGCACTTTGGGAGGCCAAGGCAAGTGGTTCACTTGAGGTGAGGAGTTTGAGTCCAGCCTGGCTAACATGGTGAAACCCCAGTATCTAGTAAAAATCCAAAAAAAAATTAGCCGGGTGTGGTGGCGGGCGCCTATAGTCCCAGCTATTCGGGAGGCTGAGGCAGGAGAATTGCTTGAACCTGGGAGGTGGAGGTTGCAGTGAGCCGAGATTGTGCCATTGCACTCCATCCCGGGAACAAGAGTAAAACTCTGTCTCAAAAAAAAGTAATAATAATAATGATTCATTCTCTCTTCAGTCAGTTTTCCTAATTAACCAATTATCCCTCAAGAAAAGCAGAAAAGCAGTGGCAGGAATGTAAACTAGTACAACCACTATGGAAAACAGTGTGGAGATTCCTTAACAAACTAAAAGTAGAACTACCATTTGATCCAGCAATCCCACTACTGGCTATCTACCAAGAGGAAAAGAAGTCATAATACAAAAAAGATACTTGCACATGCATGTTTATAGCAGCACAATTCACAATTGCAAAATGCAGAACCAATCCAAATGCCCATCAATCAATGAGTAGATAAAGAAACTGTAATATATATGTGTGTGTGTGTGTGTGTGTGTGTGTGTGTGTATATATATATATATATATATATATATATATATATGAGATAGAATACTACTCAACCAAAAAAGGAATCAATTAATGGCATTCACAGCAACCTGGATGAGACTGGAGACTTATTCTAAGTGGAGTAACTCAGGAATGGAAAAAAAAACATTGTATGTTCTCACTCATAAGTGGGAGCTAAGCTATGAGGATGCAAAGGCATAAGAATGACAAAATGGACTTTTGGGGACTCAGGGGGAAAGAGGAGGAAGGGGGTGAGAGATAAAATACTACAAATTCGGTTCAGTGTATAGTGCTTGGGTGATGGGTGCAACAAAATCTCACAAATCACCACTAAAGAATGCACTCATGTAACCAAATACCACCTGTTCCCCCAAAACTTAAGGAAATAAAAATTTTTTTAAAAAAGAAAAGCAGTAGATAGGACATTTCTTCTATAGTTCACCCTAACTGGACAACACGAAGCAGCTTTAGCTGCTGGATAGGAGCACAATACTCCTAATAAATATGAAGAGGGTTCTGAAGGCAGCTAAAAATGATGTGCAATTTTTATATGACAAAATGCAGGATCCACCGTGTGATACTGAAATCTAAGAGAACGTCTGAATGCATCTTGCATGGTGTATTGGAATGGTAACTTCTGCAACAAACCTTTCCCCAGCAAAGAGAAGGGTGAGAGTGTGTGTGTGTGTGTGTGTGTGTGTGTGTGTAATGTGAATATATGCAATATGATGTGTCTGCACCTATCATCTGAACTGGCTGGGCTTTTAGGAAAGTCTTTTGGACCAGGTTTAAGGAAGCTCTTGAAGTTAAGAATGGAATTTTCATCTCTTTAATCTTCAAAAGCAGTCTGCAACACTATGCATTTTCTAAGGGTTAGGACTGGTCTCTAAATTTGGGGGGTTTTTCTGGAGGGAGGTGGAAGGAGGCTAATTACATGCAAATCTTTTCCTCAACACAGTATATAGAGGAGAGCTGATGAAGTAACCTGCTTTTCAATGTTTTTGATGGAGAATTCTGAATTCCAGGATCAAGAATACAGATTTGGTGTCAAGAAGGTGCACTGATAAGAGTGGAAGGTATATTTTCAAGATTACTTAGCAGCCCTGTGTTGGACACTTGGTAGTGATAAGGTCTGGAGGTATACTGAATACAAGGGCATCCCCACTCTTCCTGCTTTATGCTCAGCTCATATCGCCACCACTCACTGATCAGAGAACAGACGAGAAGGTAATGGTATCTTTGCATCAAGCACAGTGCCACTATGGCTGCTCTGTCACCGGAGGCTACAGAGATAATAGGGCTGGACACCAAGGGGACACAGAATGGACACCTGTCCCCACAATGTCGACTATGCTGGCAAATATGGCTTTGCTAGGTTTGCAGATAACAGAAAACATCTGGATCAATGACTTTTGTAGCTTTCATCTTGGCAGATATCCATTATGGAGGTCAGTATAAATTATATTTCTGGGCGATCAAAATAGCTTGATGAAAATAAGTTCAAAGTGACTTTCCAAATATAAATTCCAAGCTGCAGATAAATTAGTAATGATTTCTGCACTGTGTTCTCTATCTTGGCCCTTCTGCAAATTATGGACGATCCTACCTTTGTCAGGCACTTACTGTAGAGGCTGGTGAGAGGAGAATGTTTATAAAACTTGTTGGCTTTTGTGGATGAAAGGTTTTTGATTAGTACGAATTATAAATTATTACTATTCATTAGAAAGGACAAATGAATTATTTCAGCTCCCAATGCATCTCTGCCATCCACACACTATTGTACGTGGGGGGAGAGTCTGGAAGAACCCACCCTGTTCCCAGCACTGCTATTACACAAAACTATAACCCTCCACCTTCGAAAGAACACTTCAGAGCAGCCTGAAAAACCTGCAAAGTAAGCCCCGTATTTCTTTGTCCCTTTATCTAAAAAGCAGGGAAAAAAATATAATTAGAAACGTGGCTAAGAAGCCGTCACTATTGTGCTTGGTGATAAGCTTCAGATGTTTGGATCCCAGCTCGATAATAGCCTTCGTCTTGATCAGCGCCCCTTTACAAAGCAGGCTGCTACTTCACAGACAGGGTGGGGTCAAGGTTTCTGGCAAAGAGAATAAAGTAAAATTCCCCACAGAGGAGCCACTCCATAGAACCCGGTCATTGTGTAGATTTGATACCATTTTCCCCTGTAGCACATGCCGGAAATCGTCTCTGAAAGACCATTTCTTATCGATAGCATTTTTCTAAGTTGTGTTATATGCGGTGTACTGGCTCCTATGTTCACTGCACTTGCATTGTTTCAGGATTCTGCTTTTGCAAAATCATACTGTCTAGGTCGGGTGTGCTTGTTAGTAAGCACCGCCGCATTGTCAAGGCTGTGCCATCCCAGTGGGTTTATAGATGATTACCTATGAGGGTGGGAACTGGAAAATTATGTTCATGTCAGCCTTCTCCATTCATTTTCATTAAATCAATCCTTTTTGATAAATAATCCAAACTTTGTTATTCGACATTTCCAACGATGGGGAAAAGTCCAGGAGAATGGCAGAGAGGGAGAGGTGAGAGAGAGTAAGAATCAGCACAAACAAATTTAAAGTAAGTAGTTTAGAGCTATCATAATTTATTGGTGATTTTGGTAGAAAATGCTTTTTTCTCTGGTAACAACCAGCTTTACTGAGATGAAATTCACATACTATACAATCCACCTATTTAAATATAACTCAGTGGTTTTTAGTATATTCACAGTTGGGTAATCATTACCACAATCAATTTTAAAACATTTTTATCACTCCAAAAAGAGACTCCATACACTTTAGCTATCATTCCCAAACCCACCATCTCCCCCGTCCAAGCTAATGACTAATGTGTCTTATTTCTGTCTCTACAGCTTTCCCTATTCTGGACGTTTCAAATAAATAGAATCATACACTCTATGGTTTTTTGCGAGTGGATTCTTTCATGTAGCACATTTTCAATATCGACCATGTTGTTGTGTGCATTAGTAGTTCACGCTGTTGTACGTGTATACCTTATTTTATTTACCCATTCACACGCTGATGCGCGTTTGGGTTGTTTCCACTTTATGGCTATTATGAATAGTCAAATAATGCTGCTATAAATATTTGTGTACAGGCTTTTGTATGGACACAGGTTGTCATGACTCTTGGGTATATACCTAAGAGTAGAATTGCTGAGTCATAGACTAACCCTATGTTTAACCTTTTAAGGAACTGCCACACTGGTTTCCAAAGTGACTACACGATTTTCCCTTCATACCAGCAGTGTATGAGGGTTACAAATATTTTTTAAGTTGTCTAGCTTAAGACTATTAGACATCACTATCAAAAAGGTAACTTTAAATAACTCAAACAGGAAAAATCACAATTACAATGTTAAAATCTTTAAAATGAATTATAATGGAGCTGCTACTATCAAAACGATTGGGATACAGCAATAGAAATCTATAACTTGAATTAATTATTAGAAAGGAGCAAAAAGTAAAAAATATCAACAAAATAAGTTAAAAAGAGAATGACAACTATACGAAGGTATTTGAAGGATGGAACTAAAAGAGGGGGGCAAAAGTTAATGAAGCATAGAACACTTTATAGAAAGGTTCACGAAGGCAAAAAAATTGATCAGAAAAAAAAAGAAAGCACAAATAAATTATATCACAAATAAAAGGGGGCCATAACTACAGATTCAGTAAAGCCTAAAAAGATAAGAAAAACACTGCAAAAACTTCACGTCAAAAATTTCTTAGAAAAATATAACTTCCCAAAGTTGGCCCAGAAAGAAGAAAAAGCAAGGCTGCACTATCTTTAATAACTATTTTAGAAAATGGATTGTAAGTTAAAAACATGTTTTCCAAAAGGAAAATATCAGGCCTAGTTGTCTTTAGAGGTAAATTCAACAGAATATCCAAGAAACAGATTTGCCACATTTAATGCACACTGAGTCATAGATATTTGAAATAGCTCCAGAAGCACACTCAGGATTACATCATACATATATACATATTCATGGCCTATATGAAGTCAGTGATGGCATAATGGATGCTAAACATAGCACAGGACTCAAAAGAAGAGCAGCATGGACGCTACATTCAGGTGTCAGACGTTGCTCAATAGCTCACAAAATATCTTGTGCCTTCTAGGTGTTAGCTTCAACCAAATGAAACTGTTAATACTCAACCATTTTGTAACTACTTAAATGGCAATTTTGTGCATTTCAACCTTGCTAGGGGTGGGGATGCATATGGGGAAAAAAGTTTTTGATATAACGGGAGAGTCAGAGACGTAAACCAGTCATACAGAGAAGGCGTGTGGGGGGTAGGGTGGGAGGATGACGATCAAACTCAAACTTGTAGGATCAGAAAACGCTGCCCCAAAGATGAGATGCCAAAGGGAGTTGTTATCTCTTAGACAAAGTTGAGTTGTCAAAGGGAATTAGCTTTGATATTGCTGATTTCTTAAAACTCTGAGAATGTGTTTCTAAAATCAATGTCCAAACTCCACCCTATTTTCACCCATTACATATGTCTGGAGAGTCAGCTACTCTGTATTAATTAATTTCCTTAACAAAGTTATGCTGAGTGGCTACATGGAAGACACGCAATGCACGCTTTAATCATCACCCCACCCAACAAGGTAAGAATTACATTCCCTACTTTTACTAATGAAGAGACAGAGGCTCCAGCAGATACGCAAGATCATGCAGCCATTTAGTAGCAGAGCCTGGTAAAAATTATGGTAGGAAACAACAAGAAAACAACTGCATGATGCCCAGATAATCAATGACCTAAATGACCTTTGTAAAAATAACCATCACGGGGCAATTTTTTTTCAATTCTACTGTAAGGCAAAAATCTATTCCAGTTACTAGGCATGCTCAATGAGACTAGCAGAACTGTCCTGACTACCACCTACATGGTGCCAGTAAGACTTACAGCTCCAAAAATCTTTGAAAGACTAAGCCACAAGTCAAATTAGTCTGACGGGAATGTAGAGATGCCCAGGTCCTTTGAAATCAACTTTAAAAGACTGTCTAAAACTTCTGAAGTTCAGTAAAGGGCTGTACTCACAAATACTAACCATTTCTGCCCTTTCTTCTAGGAGTTACCATGTCACCACAGGGAGGTAGAGCTCTATCTCTCATCTCTAAAAATTCCATTTCCTAGGTTCTCTCACAGTTAGTGTGGCCATGCAGGTGAGGTCTCCCAAGAATGTGAGCAGACGTGAGGTGCACCATAGCTGAGCCAAGGCCTACAGGCCATAGGTGTGCCCACTCCATGTGCTCTCCGTCCATCTGATGGGCTGGATGTAGATTTCAATGGGGTTATGGGAGATAGCAGAGCCACAGAAGGAAAGCTGTATGACCCCCTGAATTGCCACGTGAGGAAAGCCACCCACCAAAGTGTGTTTTTGGTTGTTACATGAACAAGAAGTCAACCTGTGCATGTGCGAGCCACGGTACATTTGCTGGATCTACTTGTGATGGCAGGTGGTCCAATTCCACAGTGACAGAACCAGGTCAAGAGCAAGTATGCTGCCTCTTGTGTTGTAAAGGAATTTATGCAGCAGATGGCCCAGACAGAGACCCGAAGGTACTCCAGAATTCCTTCTACTCAGACCAAGTGGCAACCCCACCCCTGCTGTACCCAGCTGTGAAACCCAGGCTCTTCTCAGTCCAGAAGAACCACCACAAATCATTTCTGAAAATGATATCTGTAGAATAAATAAATAAATGCCTCAAGTGATAATAAAGTGTTTAACAAGACAGCGAGCATCGACATTACAGGAGATATCAAAATATTGGGCAAAATGAAGGGAAAAAATGGAAAGAGGTTTACAACTTGCCCCTGCTGTAATAACAGGTACTACTCTTACAATTCCTTCATAGGTATTTTTATTGCCTATGTAAAGAGTTGTTTTTCTTAATTTGTTTTTATTGATAAATAAAAATTGTATATATTTATGATATACAACATGAACTTTCAAATATGTATACATTGTTGAAGGGCTAAATCAAGCTAATGAGCATATGCATTACCTCCCATACTTATTATAAAGAGATCTGAATACAAAAAATTATAAGCTAATAAGTAGCCAAAGAACCGTAAATTAGATAGCCATTTATTTTTAAGAAAGATGATAAGCAATTAAGTATATACAATGACATTGGGTTATTTGAGGCTCTTTGACTTCCAGAAATAATCTGATTTGACCCAAATATCAGTACATTTTGCCACTTATACTACCTACTCCATACAGAGAAAAAGCAAGACGACTGTATTGGAACCAGACCCAGTGAAACACACTTTGTAAATGGGGGTAGGAAACATCAGAAGTTGGAAATACAGAATAGAACTAGAAGGGATTTTAGAAAGTTTCCTCCTCAATTTCCTATTCTTAGAAATATGGAAAGAGGCATAAACAGGGTGAGTGACCTTCCCAAGAAAACACAGCGCTTTGGTGAGAGAAAGTGGAGTAGCTCCAGGGTTACTGACTCCTAGAGCTGTGTTCTTTGGCTCTGATAATAAAGAAGGAAGATCAGATTTAACCTCAGAAAAATACCTGGACATGTACTTTCATTAGCTAAATTATTGTAAGGAGAAAAAGATACGAGACTTAGATTATTACTGTCTTAAGTTTGCCAGGATAAATTTTATAAGAATAATGTCATTGAGCTTAAAAATTATTAAGGACATTTTTAAAACACGTCCTAATTCCTTCCACTATAATCCACTGCTGTTATTATTAAAATCTAGGTCTCAAGTAATGAGGTATATACTTTCTTATTTAGAAAAGCTAACAGATTATTTATAATTATCTTAATGGTAATACACATTCAATTACACAGAGAAAAAAAATCAAATCCATTTAATTCTACCTTTCTTAACCCTGAAGGATATTTCTTCCAGATTTCACCAGCTGACACAATTCAGATGAAAAAAAGATCCTTTCTTTATTACTTAAAGGGAACGATAAATCATATGTAGACCTCGGGGAGGTGGGGTCAAAGTGGAGGAGGGAAGGAGGATTCATTTGCTTATTAGTTTTACATAAAAAATTAAGAATAACAAGCAGATCTAAATCTGCCCCCACAATTGAAGCTGCATATCAGTTGCTCCTGAAACATTAAAGACTTCTCTTAGAAACTGCAATCAACCTAACTTTCTGTTGTCTTGCAGACACGCATGCTGCTCCAAATGATGAGATGTTATTAATAAAGGACGAGATGGCTACAAATTAAAGCAAGCCCTGCTTAATCACATTAATCCAGAGCAAGTCAAAGGCTTCAATTTTCGAAATAATTTTGGGCTTAATGCCTTGGAGATGGGCAGACTGCTCCATTGAGGCAGCAGCTGGTCCAATTTAAGCTGCATTGTGAGGCCGGAATTGTCAGGTCCTTACAGAAACAAGAAAGCCTGACAGTTTTCAGGATGCAACCAAAACTGCTGAGACAAAGGAAATTGCAAGAAACTGAAAGGGCCCTGTAACAATTACAAGGCAGCCCACTGTTGGGTGGATTATATATGATTAACCAACTCTCGCTGGGTGGCGTGCACTTACTGCGACCATGTGCTCGGCCACTGAGCCCCAAACAGCTGCTCCAGGAGGCACAGTCAGGGAGCCACTGCTGTGGACTGCTGATTAGAGAAAGGTAACTTGTCTATAAAGAAACAGAGTAGCCACCACCACGGAGGTCACCCTACATGTGTCGCCTGTTTCCCCCACAGTAACGACCGCTGCAGTGACCACCAGGAAGCCCAGACACGGAGCGAGAGGCCTGCCCAGGCACCAGTGTGTAAACACCAGCCAGTGTTGGAGCAACAGAAGGAACTTAAACCCCCAGTACCAGAGGACAGGTTTTTAGCAGTGCGATTTCACTTTTCATGAGCAATTAATGATTTTCTATGGAACAAAACTAAAAAAGTAGGTTAAAAACAAACGAGTTCCAGATTGTGGGTCAAGAGGCGTCATTTCCAACCCTAGATGTGCAACTCTTTGTCTGTGTGATGTTGAGGAATCCATGTTAATCTCTGGGCCCTGCTTTTTTCATGGATTGTACTGAGGTTTCCTGTTTTGTGTCACACAGCTTATAAGTGACAGAGTCGACCGACTGCAAGTTTCTCATGGCATCTCCTTGTACTTACACATTTCCTAATCCATTGGGAGATGCCAGTGCATAGTGGTGAAGGGCACAGACTCAGGTGTGAATCCTAGTTCCATCTCTTGCTTTTTACTATGACTGTTCCAATTACTTCAAGCAGAACCTGAGAAAGAGAATTGGACTCTTTGCTACTTATTTCACCAATGAACAATAAAGAGGCTGTACAGAGGAAATGCTTCTTGTGCTTTCATTTCTGTTTCACAACTCCAATTCTTTAAAATTCCCATGTGTCAGAAAAGAAGATGCATCTACAAAATAGTAAAATCATACTGTGAACCCTTACACAAGGCTTGGACTAAGGAAATAAAACACGGGGAGTCATAGAAGACCCAGATAATCATTTAAGCTCTTCTGCTTAGAGAGCTGTTCCTTAAGATTTCTGAAACTTCAAACTTGATCGTATGGAATTATCTTGCAATCACGGGGATGAAAACATGTTCTGTTTTCTCATTTCAATGCTTTGGTCATATGTGGTTTTATTCAGTAACTTTGCTCACATTACTCTTATCTTCTTTGGCACATTATGAGAAATTTTCAGAAAAAAGGACACCTGGAATATGAAAGGCAGCAAATAAGAATTATTCTCATATCTAAACTGATGAAAATAATGCATTTGCACGTCATGTCCTTGATTAATTCCAATATTAATATCATATATAGTCCTTGGAAGCCAACCAATAAACACTGTTCCAAATAATATTAGTTTAATTGAGTGAAATAACTTTACTGAGTTTTAAAGCAACTCAAAAGAAGATAGACGAATGGTTGGATGGACGGATAGATGGTTGGTTGGCTGAATGGGTGGGTAGATGGATGGTTGCTTGGTTGAACAGGTGAGTGGGTGGATGGGTAGATGGATGGATGAATGGTTAGATGAGTGGATGGACAGATGGCTGAATGGATGATGGTGGATGGGTGAGTGGGTGGGTGTACAGATGGATGAGTGGATACATGGATAAATGGGCGGATGAGTAGATACATGGATGGATGGGTAGAGAGATGGATAATCAGGCATATGGATAACACATGGATACATAAATAAATGGGTAGGCTGACCTCTATATATACAGCACAACTCACTTTAGGTAACACAGGTATGTCTGAAAAGTCCATAACTTCTCCAGATTGGAATGGACCTTGGGAATCACCCACTTCTGCCTCCTATCCCAGCTGAACTTCCGCAAAATGACTGAGGATCACCCTAGCCTCAGCTTCATCACTCTTAGTGTCAGGATAATGGTGACATTTGGAGTGAAGCATCCAAAACCCTCATGGGATGCCAACATCTGCTTTCCCATAACTGTCCCTGGTCTTGGTCCCTCTGAGAAACACATACTAATGATGTCTTCCCTCCCTCAGGCAGCTGTTTTTCAAATATTTGAAAACAATGGACCTGCTCCCCTGGCCCACCGTACATACCCAAGCCTTTTACATACTGTCTGGAATTTAACTACACTAGCATGTTAGAAGTTTGAATGTAACAGGAGTTCCAGTTATTAACTCTGCTCCAAACCTACCCTTCTTTCTCTGCTCTGTGATAATAGCACTGGGCCTTGTAAATTGCGTCCTTTGCCAGATGCCTTGATGCTAACCCCTGTCAGTAGAGGGCGCCGGAGGGACACATGAGGAAGAAGGGGCTTCTCCCTTCCTGGTTCCCAGAGGCTTCCTTCACCAGGCCCCTGCAGGGTACAACTCTCTCCTATCCTCACCTCCTATAAAGCAGCTGCCTCTCTCTAGGCTCAGGTAGACCTCTTAGGATAGCTGCTGCCTCATCCGCAGATAGGAAGGTGCCAAATCCCACTGTTGGCTCGAGGATCATAATGTAAGCCTCCAATTCTCTTTCTCAGGTTCTGCTTGAAGTAATTGGAATAGTTTGTGTTGCCTGAAAAGTAGCCCTAACAGTGTATTTATCGACTTCAGTTGAGAACACATTCACAGAGCCACAATAACATAACATAAACATAGCATAAGGTAAACAGTGTTGATTTACTGAAAAGTTTTGATACAATTATAGAGAAAGAATGAGAAGAAGTGAGATGGTGGGAGGTTGCATAAGAAAGCTAACTTTCTATCACTGATAATTGTGATATTAATAATTATCACTGTTCTCATGATTATAAAACTTACATGACTCTTATTACATACCAAGTACTTTATGAACAGTAATTCATTTAATCCTAAAAGAATATTGTGGGATAGAAAACTATTTTCCCCATTTTACAAAAGATGAAATTACAGCACAGCAAAATCAGATAACTTATCCATAGTTGCACAACTACTAGGGGGTAGAAGTAACTAATGTCTAAGTGAATAAAGTAAGGAATAGAGGTATAAATGTGTTATTTCAAGATATGGATGCTACTAGAAGGAGCAGGTAAAATAATGTGGAATTCTGGGGAGCAGGTTTTAAGGTAGGGTAGAATAAGTTGGAAGAATACCATTTTTATTTTAAATGCTAATCGACTTAAATGCTAACAGATTGAACAACTCACTATAACTTAGACTAAAACAAAATTCAAATAGTTCCTACTGAATGCTAATTTTATCATATCTGTAGTCTCAAATATGCATGTGAATAGCTTTTGTTTTCAGAATTATCTTACTAACTTTATTTTGCTGCTGTTACACGGTCTACTTTTTCACAAACCATCACTCTTCATGATTGCTTATACCAGTCTTAAAAGCCACCCTCTTACTAGTCATATTTAAATTTAGAATATTAAAACATGATACCTTCTAACTTGTGCAGTTTCTCCTAAATTTGCTACAGATGCTGTTATTCATCCATTCATTCATTCACTTAAGAGATATTTACTTGATACCTGTTTTATGCCAGGTCCTAGGCTAGTGTCTAGTGATTGAAAGATGAATGTGACAAAAATTTCTCTCCCTCAAGAAATGTACAGCGTAGAATAAAAAAAATAAACACATAAATCTACATAGTATCGACATTTGGACGCTTTCCTGTAGAATTCGTTTGAGGGTAGTCTTAAAGCGCGAGTAAGAGTGAGGGTTAATTTTATGTGTCAACTTGACTGTGCCAAGACATTTGGCTAAATATTATTCTGGGTGTCCCTGTGAGGGTGTTTCTGGATGACATTAGCATTTGAATCCGTAGACCCGGTAAAGCGGACAGCCCTCCTTGATGTGGATGGTCCTCACCCAGTAAGTTGAAGGCCTGAATAGAACAAAACACTTGAGTAGAAAGGACTCCTCCGGCTTGAAGGATTGAGCTGAGACACTGATTTTTTTCCTGCCTTTGAACTCTAACTAAAACATCAGCTCTTCCTGGATCTAAAGGCTGCTGGCATTTGGACTGGAACTATGCCATCAGCTCTCTTGTTCTCCAGCTTAGATCTTGGAACTCACCAGCCTCCATAATCATATGAGCCAATCCTGAGCCAATTCTTTATAATACATTAACCTCTAGATCGATCAACTCATCAATAGATCATCCTATTGCTTCTGTTTTCCTGGAGAATATTGACTAATATAATAAGCTTTTACAAAGAACAAAGTGAAGGGAATAACTCCAGATAGAGGAAATAAGCTTTCATAAAGTTTTGGAGGCATGAAGGGAGCCAGCATCCATGGTTGGAGAATAGAAGAGACTGAAGAAAGAAAGGGGCTAAATTGGAGGATTTTTAAAAAAGAGTACCTGGCCGGGCACAGTGGCTCACGCCTGTAATCCCAGCACTTTGGGAGGTCGAGGTGTGCGGGTCACCTTAGGTTGAGAGTTCGAGACCAGCCTGACCAACTCTGTCTTTACTAAAAATACAAAATTAGCTGGGCGTGGTAGCACGTGCCTATAATCCCAGCTACTTGAGAGGCTGAGGCAAGAGAGTCACTTGAACCCAGGAGGCCGAGGTTGCGGTGAGCCAAGATCGCGCCACTGTACTCCAGCCTGGGCGACAAGAGCAAAAGTCCATCTCCAAAAAAAAAAAAAAAAGACTACCCATGGAAATTACATAAATCATTTAATGGAATTCTACAGCAAACTATTTTATAAAAGAAACAGTGCCCTTTGTAATGCAAATTGACTGTCTGATAAATCGGAATTTTTTGTAGAGATAAAACAATTTTTAATTGAATTTACGGGCAGGTGTTTCTTGCATATAAGATGCATAGTAATCCATGCCTCAAGTGGATTCCCACTCCATATTCAAGTTCCCCTGATTATTGTCACCCTAAAAAAGTTTTTTAAAGTTATTTTTCCCCTAGTCAATTTCCATCCCTTAGTCCTCACATCGTATTTGGTCATGTACTCTAAATGTTACATAATTGAGAAGGCCCTCTCCCCTTTTTTAAAAAACACACTCATATATTTAAGAAGCCACATCAGCTGTCCTTAGTGTATCCCAAATTCTGGGTTTGCCTGCTTGCTTCCCCATGGTAGGTATCACAGAAAGCATTTCTCTATTCCCCTTGCTTCCTGTAAACTGGATGCTATATGCCATCTGTGTATCATTGATATAGTGACATGTCTTTTCAAATGTTTTGCCCACTTTTAAAAAGCTGTTTGTTTACTTCTTACTGAGTCTTAAAAATTATTCATATAAAAACTTTTATTTTTCTTCTATGGAATATTAAAAAAAAAAAAAAGAAGAAAGAACTCAAACATGAGCTTAAAGTTATTTATTGCCAGAACAAAAATGTGCACCAGGCAGCTGAGGGTTTGAAATAAAATAAAGCCCTCTTCCAGGAACAAAATGAGCTTCCTGTCAGCTCAGCATTTCTGCCGTGGCAAAGCCAAGCTGTGGGGAAGGCGCCTGGCTCCCATTGTGTCCGGGTGCCTCTCCCCTGCAGCACAAATTCCACCCTGCAGTGCCTTCAGCCTGGCTTCATAACTCTCTTCTTTTGAAGAAAAGCCCGAAGATCTTGGAATCACAGCTTTCCTAAATTCTTCATAGGGTCTGATGTGAATGAGCTAATGATGAATATTGTGTCAATACTCGTTATGAATGCTTATGAAATCACAGAACCTCAGGTACATCCACCTGGATAACACTTAATTCCCCTCTCCTTCACCCCTCACCAACGTGTGGAACTCCAGCTGCTCTGACGTGGTTTCAGTGGCCCTGTGCTGGCTCCTGGTGACCTCCCTCCTCTAGCAGTCCTTATGAGCATCCTGGGCATGACTGCTGTCAAGCTGGCAGTCTTCCATCTGCAAAACTCTCTTTCTTTGTATTACTAAACTTGGATTAGAATTTCTATTACACAAATAAGGCACCTAGTAGAGGATAGTTTTTTTTTTTTTTTTCAGTATGCTTCTTCAAAAGCAGACACACATAATTTCTATGGAAAACGAATAGAAATGAAGCCTTCAGCCAAAGGACATCATGTTGCCTTTCTTTTGTATGGCATTTTGTGGCTCTGTGCATTAACTTGAAACAGAAATAGCTACCAATAAGCAGAACTTTATTTTATTATTTGTAACAGAATCCGGTATATAAGTAAAACTTTCAAAGACAGATATATAAAACACATTTTTCTGATAATATTCCATTAAGGAAAGACCAAAGCTCCCATGTGAAACTTGACTCAAGTTTTTCAGTTCATACAAGAAAACATTCATTCTATAGCAACTACAAAACTTTTTTCCTTCACTGTTTAAACCATGCTATCCATTGCACATTATCTTCTTTGACACTCATAACAAACCCTTCAAGGTAGATGAGATCATTTTTCCACGGTCACAGAGAGAGTAAGCGGTAGCAGGCCAGGCACGATGGCTCACGCCTGTAATCCCAGCACTTTGGGAGGCTGAGGTGGGCAGATCACGAGGTCAGGAGATCGAGACCATCCTGGCTAACACGGTGAAACCCCGTCTCTACTAAAAATACAAAACATTAGCCGGGCGTGGTGGCACTCACATGTGGTCCCAGCTACTCAGGAGGCTGAGGCAGGGGAATGGCGTGAACCCCGGGAGGTGGAGCTTGCAGTGAGCCGAGATCAAGTCACTGCACTCCAGGCTGGGAGAGAGAGCCAGACTCTGTCTCAAAAAACAAAAAAACAAACAAACAACAACAACAACAAAAAACCAAAAGAGAGAGTAAGCGGTAGCAGCAAAGCTGATGTCCAAATTTTCTGCCTCTGAATCCCACGCATTTGACACTCTGCCCTGCCGGCTCTCTGTAGGTAACACTTCCCTGTTGTTCACACAAACCTATGCCTGGTGCAGCCAGAAAATTCAAAGAATTAACAGTGTTGCCTCAGCCCTACAGAAGTGATCGAGTAATCAGTGGTAACACGGGTTGTTTCTTCCATAAGTAGGCCTATATATCATGACATATTTCTGATTCTGCTATAAGTTCTGTTTCTTGAAGAAAAGAAATTCCTTTAAGCCTTTATTTTCCCACTGAAGAATAGTTGACAAAGGGATGAGTTACAATGAAACCACTTAAATGATTCAGAAAACTGAGAATGGCTCACTCTGTGGTATCATTTCTTTGAACACAATTGTTGGAGCACAATTGTTTGGATGAATTCTACTCTTGCCCATTATCTGAGCACAACGTGCAGCAGCAAATTGCATTTTGTGGTAACAATCCATCGACATTGGCTAGAACTCTATTTTCAACTGCCAATAAAGGCGTTGGAGAAGCATTCAAACCTGGAGACAAACGACTGTGCAAGGAAACACAGCGCACCTGCAAATGGGTTTGCGGGCTATGCCTTATCTATCTGTAGTCATTGTGTTCCAATCTGCATCTTCTCCAGAAAACTAAAAATAAGCGTCCCAAGAGGTGGGAAAAGGTTACCACTATCAAGTTGTGTTTTAATGGCAAGAAGTTAAATTGTACCTGAATTCCAGGAGGATAACAGGAAAGCATTCTCTTCAATAGGTTAGCTCCTCCAGGTGTGTGGAGATCCATTTAATGGTGTAATGTGTTCTATTAAGAAAATCAGACTGTAGCCCTGCTCAAAAGAAACCTGGGGCCACAGGCCCATATTCAAATCCCATGATGGGGAAAGAACTCGTTCCCCTCTTCAGAAAATTTCTGAAGCCAGGGTTATTTTTTAAGAAAGTCTTTATGGTGTGAACTTGTTTGATTGTATAGTTAGTCAATTAGCAGCAACTTATTGAGGTCTTACTATGTGCTAGGCGCTAGTCTAGATGATAGGGAGAGAAGAGGCAGATGGGAAACAAATCATTAGTGTCAGAAAAGAGAAGGATGGTGCTGTGAAAATATGTAATGAATGCCCCACCCTAACCTCGGGAGTAGAAGTTCAGGTGCCATGGAAAGTGAAAGCCTGCAGATGAGTAATGGCTGGAATAAAAGAGTGTAGTCTCCCCATATCTCCTCTACTCTTCTTAGAAATCATTTTTCAGCAACATACTTTCTACCCAAATGTCTGGAGTGCCCACAGAAGCAATTTTATTAGATGAGAAAGAAGCGTTCCCATTTTGTTTAAAAGTGAATAAACTGCTTGTTATAGCTAGAACGGTGTGCTGCAATTATTCACACACGTGTCCATCTCCTCCACCAGGTTATGAATTCCTTCAACACCAGGACTGCTCTGCTCATCTTCATATGTATTCATTTAGTTGTTTATTCATCAAATGCTTATGAAATGGCACTAGAGTTATAAATAAAAATTACAGGTCTTGGCCCTGAAGAAATTCCTGCTCTCACAGCAGGGAGCAAAGCCATCATTGTGACGCAGGACATGCAATGAGGGAAATATGCAAGGGGAATGAATGTGGCAACCCCGCCTCAGGGTCTGGGATGGGGTTAGGGAAGGTCCCTAGAGAAGGTAAAGCCAGTTTTCATGGTGCCTCCCAAACGAACACGTGCAAGTCATTTTTTCCACATAAAATGAAAAAATGCATGACCTTTGGCCCATTATGTACATGGAGAGCATGTCCTCTCACTGAATCCACTTGGGTACACCAGAAGGATACTCTTCCCCTTCTGGCAGATAGCGAAATTGGTGTCGGGAGAGACTAAGTGACTCATTCCTGATCCCCCAGCAGGTGTGGGGGACTGTCAGACTCCAACTCCGGTGCTCCTTCCTGTATCTCTCTCCTGACTTTTGTAAAGCAAGCACACTTCTGGGCTAGAAGCACAATGGAAGGCTAAATACTAGGACCCATAGTAATTCCCCGGGACAAATCCACTTGCCCCAGCCCTAGATAACTGTGGTGTGGAGACTGAGCCATATACCACAGTCAATGCAGTGGTGCTAAGGACTCCTACTCCTGGAATAATTATAAGGACAAGAACTGGGGGAAGAAAAAAAGCCACATATCCCTACACAACCCCATTTTGTCTTTCCAAAATCAACTCCTTCCCTCCACGAGTTGCTCTCCCCAGCCACTGCAGCCTCCCCTCCCACTGTGTCTGCACAATAAGAACCCAAACAAACTTCTCTCTTGGCTGTTGTCATGAACGGCAGAGCCCGTGCTCCACATTGTTTGGGATAGCCGTCCAGAGACATAATTACATGATTAAGCACTGTGTCCTCTCCAGGAAATCTAAAGTACCATAATTACTACAACCGGGAGCGGGTGGGGTAAACAATGTGCAATCACTGCTGTTGACAAGGTTTTAAACTGGAGTCTGAGACTATGTTGGTTCGCATTAAAGGGGGAAGAGGAATACTTCTTGCTCCATCCATGTTCGTTCGAGAAATGCAACAAACTATAATCAAGAATATAATCAGGAATATAACAAAACACTGATTGCCCTTAATGACCTTATTATTCTTTCATTAAATGTATTATGAAAACTGGGCAATGTACTTTAGGGGTTTATTGAGTGATGTACATATATAATGTATGATTGACCTTTGCATTTTAATATGACAGTACTGGTAGAAGACTTCTGTCACCATCGGTGGGTAAAGTGACCTTAATCCACAGATCCAATATGTGCCTTTTGCTATATTACACACGTGTCAAATGACTTGCACTATATATAAAAATTAATCAAAATGGATTGCAGACTTAAATGTACATCTTAAACTATACAATTTCTGAAAAAATAAGAGAAAATATTTGTGTTAGACAAATAGTTCTTAGATATGACACAAAAGTTTCATCCATAAAAAAAAAAACCGATAGACTGGATCTCATCAAAATTTAGAAGTTCTGCTTTTCAAAAAACACTGTTAAGAGAATGCTAAGACAAGCCACAGACTCAGATAAAATATTTGCAAATCATTATGTCTGATAAAGGACTTGTTTCCAGAATATATCAAGAGCTGTCAAAATTACAATGAGAAAATAACCCAATAAAAAGCATACATAAGAGATTTGAACAGACAATTTATGAAAGACATACACATGGCAAGTAAGTTCATGACAAAATAATATAATTCGGTCGTCAGGAAAATGCAAGTGAAAAACACAGTAGGATACGGCTACACACCTGTTACAATCACTAGAAGTAAAAAGACTGGCCATACCAACTGCTAATGAGCAAGTGAAGAAACTGGAACCCTCGTACACTGCTGATGGGAATATAAAATGGTACAACTACTCCAGAAAACAGTTTGGAAATTTCTTAAAAAGTTAAACATAAACCTACCACAGGTCCTGGTCATTCCATTTCTAGGTATTAATGTAAGAGAAATGAAATGACACACCCACACAAACACTGGTACATGAATATTGATGGCAGCATTATTTGTAACAGCCCCAAACTGAAAACAACCTGACTGTTCATCAGCAGGGAAAAGGATGCTTCATCCATACAAGAGAATATCATTCAGCAGGAAAAAGGAGTGAACTGCTGATCCGAGAACATGGATGCATCTCAAAACAGGTGGAATCAAAGAAGCCAGGCACAAAAAGAAATCTGTGTGATTCCAGAAAAAAATTCTACAAAATGCAAACACACCTGTCATGACAGGAAGCAGATCAGAGGTTGCCTGGGCACCAGGGCTGCGGGGTGAGGAAGGCAGGGGGAGGAATGATGAAGGCATGCGAGGTAACTTTTTTTGGGGAATGGATCTGCTCATTATCTTGACTGTGGTGAGGGCTTTACAGTGTCTACCTATGTCAAAACGTATACTGTTCACTTTAAAATATGTACTTTAATATAGATCACTTACAGCCCAATTCAACTGTTTCTAAAAGAACTCTGAAAAGTGAAAAGGCCAGGGTTCTGGTCTAGTCCCTGCTATGGGCTAGCTGCCTGACAATGCTGAGTCATCACCTTTGTTGAGTTTCTATTTCCTACCCTGGGAGAAGAGAAGATTCCAAAGGCCCTTTCAGCTGAAATACTCTAATGAGAGGCATAGGTCACTATTTCCAGCAGCCACCACACTTTGTGAGCACCCCAGAGCTGAATGCTGCCCAGAAGCCCCTGTGACACACCTGTCCTACCTCAATCTCCCCCCAGGATCTTCCAAGAGCCAAGATCAGCCTTTGACTCCATGTCTGCTCCAGGCTGGACTGTGTCCTCTGCCTCCCTCTTCTCTCCCCATCACGTGGTATATGACCCAGCCCTCCTCCAGCCAGCTGCAGAGCATATTAGCATCTGGTCTAACTTCTGGAATATGGACTGGCCTCTTCCAGGACATAATTTGGTAAAACACCACCTGAAGAGTCAGACAGGATATTGAATCAGCTGCAGGTAAAATGTGAACAAGAGCTCTCAATGCTCTTGCTTCCTGAATTAAAGACAAATACCTCAGTCTGTTGTGACCTAATCTGAACAGTCACTTAGGACTCACCAAGACCCCAGCTGTACCCCAGCTCCAGTGGCTGCACATACTGAGAGATGGGTTTCAAGCTTCTCATCGCATAGAGGGCTCTAGGCCAACCTGACCCCCACCCTGCGATTTGGCCCTTGCTTCCATCTCCTCAGCAGGTGGGACTATCTAACTGTTTAACTGACTTTCCAGTGCCCTCCGCATTGGGCTCTCAAGTTAGTTCCTGGGACTTGATATAAAGGATTGTCTCCCTCGCCCATTCATCAAGACTCAAGGCTTCTCACTAGTCATCTCACCTTAATGACCACGTGCACCAGAAGGCCATTTGCTCTTTTCCTTCCTCACCTTGGGACCCCCAGCATCTCCCTCATCATGCCCACCTGCTCACTCCTGCTCTCCAAGCAGCTCAGCCCTTCCCGACAGCCAGCTCCCTGTTGCACCCACCTGGGCTCCACTGGGAGCAGCTTTGCCTGGCAGCACTGGCTTTAGCCCAGGCAGCCATCGTTCTGATAAACAAGTTGAAATATAGCTGGAAATGTTGCAAAAAGAGAAAATTTTGAAAAAGATTCAATGCTAAACTTCTGAAAAGACCTAGAATCAAATATATCTTGCAATCATTTAAAACTATGTGCATATAATTTATAATAGTTTCATCCAATGATAAGATTGTTCTGGGCAATCAAAGAAACGACCTAATAGTATAGGAGGTTAAATGCTACATGCTAATAGCTGGAGTTCTCATAAGCTACTGGAAATGAGGGGAAAACAATGATAGCAGTGACTTTATGACACACAGGTAGAGTTTGAGAAGGCAATCTAAAATTCACCTGACTTTCACAAAAAGACTGGCTTCTACAAGAACAGGTCTCTAGTCAAAGCTTTGGAGTAATCAATCTCATATAAACTTGGAAGGCTCTGCTTCCTCTGTTGAAATAAATCATTAGCTTATTAAGGTAAAATATACTTTTCATGACAAGTAGACACACAGATCTGAAGCCTGTGAAAAAAAATATTTTTAAGTAAAGAAAACTGTGGTCACATCATTATTTACTTGAGTGAATAGGAGGAAAGGAGAGGATGAAAAAGCAAATAACAAAGCTTTTAAAATGACCAAATCTTAGTTTTGTAATGTGTTCTGTATCTATATTTGATTTCTAAAAGCATCAGCTATTCTAGCATTCACTTCAAATACAATAACGAAATCACACTGTGAAGATCTCACTCTAAAGATGGGTTGAAAGGCTTTCTGGTTCTCTCCACCTTATTGTCCTACTCAGCTCTTTCCCTATTCCTGTCCCCAGCAGGCTTCCCTTCAGAAAGACCCAAGGTGTTGAGTCCAGCACGAAGCCTCAAGGGGCCAGCCATGAAGCCAGGGCCAGTTTCACATCGGTGGCAGTGAGAATAAAAAAGAGAGAAGACTGAAGAAGGATTTCAGTGTTTAAAAACAAAGCCAAAGAATGATTCCCGGTTTTGGTACCACAAAGGCTCTTAGAGGCTGCCATATAGGGAGATACAGGGTTTTCAGAAAAATGCATATGGCATTAACCTATTGTCTGAACGTGCACACATACCTTCCTGGAATGATGTAGTCTTTTTTCCTATCATGGTAGAACTCAAGTCCTTTAATAGAATGAATGGTAAGCACTGAAGCACTCTGAGAACAAGGCTACTGACTGTCTACAGGTGATGAAGGATAAATCAAAGATGGCCCTGTGACAGACAGTCTGAGTTACTGGGAGAATGGTGAGGCCAGTAGGGAAGAAATGGGAAAGTCAGCAAGGCAACTTCGTTTGGGGGTGACAGCAATAAAGATTTTGAGTTTAGCCATTAAACTGAGAAACACCCAACCTAATGCTGGTTTTATAATCAACCACTGAAAATATGATAATTTTTCTAGACACTAGGCCTCGGGCTGGGGTCAGGATAAACTGTCACTGGCAAAGGCCAAGCCGGTACACAAACAAGACAATCAGCACCCATGTGGGAGGGTGGATGGCCACAGTCAGGTAACAGAACTTGCAGGAAGTCAAGGGACCAGGGCCAGAGTCAGCTACTAAAGTCATCAGAAGCACAAAATGACCAACACGGCAAAAAATGAGAGGCCAAAACCATAGGTACAACCCAGTAACAAGGTCAATAGAAGCAAGTGAACAAGAAAGGTGTGAGTGCCAACATTCGGGCATGCAACAGTCCAACCTGACTTTCTGGGAGAATATTGAGACTAACAGAGCCTGGCTGTGGAGGCCTGCAATTCACCTTCCCAGAACTACTCTGGTCCACCAGTGCCCAACCCACACAGTTCACAAATAATGGATGCCTGGGGAAAGAAATTTTTCAGAGAATGAAAAGGCAAGCCACAGACTGGGAGGACACATTCTCAAGTCACATATCTGATAAAGGCCAAAACAATCTTAAATCTCATCAATAAGAAAACAACAACCCAAATAAAAAATGGGCAAAAGATCTGAATAGCCACCTCACCAAGAAGATATAAAAATAGCAAATAAGCATAAGAAAACATACTCCACATCATATGTCATTAAAGAATTGCAAATTAAAACAATAAGGAGATACCACTATACACCTATCAGAATTGCCAAAATCCAAAACACCAACAACACCAAATGCTGGCAAGGATGTAAAGTAACAGGAACTCCCACTCACTGCTGGTAGCAAAATGGTACAGTCACTTTGGAAGACAGTTTGACAATTTATGGCAAAGCTAAACATAGGCTAACCACATGATCCAGCAATCACATTCTTAAATATTTGTCCAAATGAGTTAAAAACTTATGTGCACATAAAAACCTGTACACAAACGTTAATAGCAGCTTTGTTCATAATTGCCAAAAACTGGAAGCAACTGCAATTATTTCAAGAGCTGAATAGATAAAATAACCTATGGTACCTCCAAACAGTGGATTATTACTCAGTGATAAAAAGACATAAGCCATCAAGCCCCAGAAAGACATGGAGTACCGTTAAATACATACTGCTAAGTGAAAAAGACCTATCTAAACATGCTATTTACTGGATGCTTCCACCCATTCTCGAATCACACAGCTGCTTGACATTCTGGAAAAGGCGGAACTATCAAAGGTAAAAAGCTAGTGATTGCCAGGGGTTTGTGAGGGTGGAGAGATGAACAGGTGGAGCGCAGGGAATCTTTAGGGAGTGAACTATTCTGCATGATTCTATAATGGTAGATACACGTATTATACAATTGTCAAACCTACAGAATGTACACCACCAAAAGGGAACCCGAATGTAAACTATGGACTTTAGTTAATAATAACATATCAGTATTGGCCCATCAGTGATAACAAATGTACTACACTAAGATGTTAATAGCCAAGAAAATGGATGTATGTGTGGCAGGCGGTAACATTGGAACTCTGTGTACTTCCTGCTTACTTTTTCTGCTTAAACCTAAAATTGCTCTAAAAATTAAAGTCCTTAAAAAAAAGGTTTTGTAGAAACGAATGCCTTGCTTTCTTGCCCAGCCTGGTCTCAAACTCCTGGCCTCAAGCAATCCTCCCATCTCAGCCTCCCAAAATGCTGGGATCACAGACATGAGCCACCACATCTGGCCTTATAGTCTTTTTTTTTTTTTTTTAAGTAACAGATTATATACCCTTCATGAAGACAGAAACAATTTTATCCTGTTCACCACTGTATCCGGTCCCTAGCATAGTGACTTTCAAAGATTACGTGATTAATTTTTAAAGCTTTAAAAAAGAATTAACACAAATGTATATACTAAATGTATATTAAAATATTGAGTAAATAGCAACTTAAAGACATGACAATTCATCCATTTTTACCATAAATAAAAAGGTAATCAATACCATCACAGCAGACTATAGTTTTTTTTTGGGTACACTATTACAGCAACCTAAATATATCTAGCAAGAATTACTTTTGTTTTAGTTTAGTACTATTTGGTTTTTAAATGACAACTCCATCTTGTATTTTATACTTCATTCTGAAAGCTGAACAACATTTTACAAGTAACTATTTCCATGAAAGTTATTGTTTTTCACTTTGTGCTTAGACTAAAGATTCAGTGTTTAGAAAATTTATTTCAGCTATATTTTGAATATCTATCAAATATCCAAATGTTATTTTCCTCTCCCACTGCTCTGAAAGTCATACGATTACAACATTCAGAAGTGACATAATTAAAGTCAGGTCTTACAAAGATGAATTAAAGGTAAGTCCTCTTACAAAAGACATTAAGCACACACACACGCACACAATGTAATTTCCTTCCTTTCCTTATTAATCTCGTTTGCTTTTTATTCCCCCCCACCAATGCAAACTGCTGTTCATTTCCCTTTCACATCAGGGGCACCTGTGTCTACCTCTGCCCAGGTATGTTGTCACTGGGTCAACATGATACGTCCTTGGATTTCCTAGCAGGCATTTGTGGTCCCTGGGTAGCCAATTTATGCAATGACTTGTCCATCTGTTGCCCTAACTCCAGGCTACGTGACCAGTCCATCTGTGCCTGTCAACTCTGCGTGCTGCCTCGCTTGTGTACGTGTGCCGCTAGAGTCGTGGGGTATTCTGTCCCCCGCTTCCTCCTCCTCTGTCTCCTCTGTGGAAACTTTGCTCCTTCCCTGTTCCATCCATCTCAGGCTCCTGCAGCTTTCTCACTCCACTTTCATTACTAACCAGGATGCCGTGCCCCTGTCACTGGCCAGGCGTGGTGGTATTAAACAGCTCTTGCATACTTGTCATGTGAGATCCCTCAACCAGAAGTGGAGCTTTTTTTATTCTGCTGCAACTGGACCAAATGGCAAGGAGAGCCTCCTGCATCAATGGCTCGCCCACACACAGCCGCTCATTTCTTCCCTTTCTTTGCCACTTCTTCTGACAGATCATATCATTATTGTGCATCAATTTTGTCTTGCAGTGTTTATGTCCCGTCCAACCGAAATGACTTGGTTGTTTTCTCTTTCCCGGAACTGCTCCCTCTGATGCATTCTCAGTGACGCAGGTCCAGGCCTCTTCTCTGGAGCGTCTGTGTTGAGGTCCTCAGAGGGCCTGTGCCAAATCAGGACTGTGAACAGCAGAACACCCACCAGGGAGAGCCTACAGAGGGGGTGAGGCGGGCAGAGCCCGAGTCAGGAACACCAGCGAGCTGGGTGGCACCGACTGCCATGGAAGAAGCCGAGAGGAGCAGCAGCCCCAGCCTACAAAAGCAAAGCCAGGTGCAGGGAAGCTGAGGTCCGGGAGAGGGTGGAAAGCACCCTGAATCTCTCCCCCACACGCCTGGACTGCTTTCCCTTGTTTCCCCAGGAAACCCTAGTCCTGGGTTTCCCAGGACGGTCTACCTTCCTGGAGGGGAATATCAACATATTATTTTCTGAGCTTTCCCAAATGTCCAGAAAAATGTTTTGCACCTAGTAAGTACTCAGAAGAAATGGGAATGGGGAAAGGGAGGGACAGTGACTTAGGAATCCCACCCCCAGCCACAGGAGCAGGGAGAGAGGAGGAGACAACTCCAGATGGGAGAATGTCACGGGTCCCTACACACCTGCTTCACCAGGAAGTATGTCCTTTACCACCTGACTCTAATTATGAGCAGTGTTCCTTTCACCAACCTGTGAATTAACTCTTCTTGTAACTGCATTCTGTTTTATAGGCTCGATATTTACAGAACACTCCAGAAATGACAAAATTGCATTTATTTAGCCTCTGGGGCACTCCAGAAACTTAATTTTGTCACCTTGCTACAGCCCAAAAGATGCTAGAGTTTAAAATTCCCTCAGTTTTGCCAGAGAGTGGCCATAGATCTAAGTCCATTTGTTTTCAGGGCATTGAGAACTTCAATAGATTTGACAAGGTCAAAGGCAACAGATGAACATATATATCTGCCTCTTTTTTTTTTTTTTCCTTTGACAGAGTCTCTGTCACCCAAGCTGGAGTGCAGTGGCAAGATCTCAGCTCACGGCAACCTCCACCTTCCAGGTTCAAGTGATTCTCCTGCCTCAGCCTCCCAAGTAGCTGGGATTACAGACTTGCACCACCACACCCGGCTAGTTTTTGTATTTTTAGTACATACAGGGTTTCGACATGTTGGCCAGGCTGGTCTCAAACTCCTGACCTCAAGCGATCTGCCCGCCTTGGCCTCCCAAAGTGCTGGGATTACAGGCATGAGCCTCCGCACCTCGCTGTCTATCTGCTTCTTAAAAAGGTCTTAGATAACTGGCAGCCCTCTGCTGAACAATCTGAGGGAAAGCCTGGTTTTGCCAAGACCTCTGCTCTTTAAACCATCAGGGAAGAGTTGCCACGTGGGAGAAGGGAGCTATAGTTCAGAACTTAGGAGAGACTTTGGACTTTTCTCATGATATTCTCCAACTCCTCATATAATCAGGAAGCACCGTGCAGGGCTTACAAGAGTCCCAGAGTCTTCCAAGACTTTCCAGTGGGATCCTCAGACACGGCCTTATTTAACGCATGAGGGGATGTGACAACTCGGCATTGATCAGGAGCCTATTGAGAGCAAGGCCTGCTCCAGGTGTCACAAGAATAGGGAGATGAAAAGACATAGTCCCTACCCTCAAGGAAAATCTCACCTAGTAGGACAGGAGCCTTTACATAATAACAGGTCCTGCTTTCCAATTAGCCAGTGAGTCTTAGCTGGGTGTTTTGTCTTTCTCACTTTGGAAGGGTGTTGTATGTCTCACTGACAATGGAGTTCTTTTCATTGTAGTGACTTGTACTTTCTTGTTCTCTTTGAGAGAGACACAGCATAGGAGTTCAAAACAACGACTCTAGACATAGACTGTCCCTGCGTCCATTCTGGCTCTGCCGCTTACTAATTATGGGGGTTTACACAAGTCAGATAATCTGCCTATGCCTGGATTTGTTCATTTTAAAAACAGGGACACTAGCCTACCCCCTCCCTATCCCCCAGCTGTTATGAAAATAGAAGAAGTGGTCACATGTAAAGAATTTAGAATTATG
This sequence comes from Homo sapiens, assembly GCF_000001405.40. Taxonomy (NCBI): domain Eukaryota; kingdom Metazoa; phylum Chordata; class Mammalia; order Primates; family Hominidae; genus Homo; species Homo sapiens. The sequence continues at coordinate 10,258,030 of NC_000008.11, read as the reverse complement.
CCATGCACTTGGAAACGACTAAAACCTATTAGCTATTATTTTCTATCTCCAAGCTCATATGTAAAGGCCATCAACGTGTGTGTGTGGAAATCTCATGAACTCATCTCCTGCTTCTTAACAAGACATGCTGGTGTTCACCTCTCTGCTGCGCTGACCTGGCTGGAGACATCAGTCCCATCAAGCATGTCCTGTCAGAAAAATAGAATTACATCCTAGGTAAGAGAGTGAATTCTTGAACCAAGGCAAGTCTCCTTCTAAATGAGACTCTGCTGCTCATCAAAGCCTTGAGCAGTTAGTCCAAACACGGAGAGACAACTGTACTTATTTAACATCTATAGTCAAATGGGAGGCCATTGAGGTGCCGTTAATTGAAAGTAAATGAATCACCTGGGATCAGGAGTTTGAGACCAGCCTGGCCAACGTGATGAAACCCCATCTCTACTAAAAATACAAAAAACTACTTGGGCGCGGTGGTGCGTGCCTATAATCCCAGCTCCTCCAGAGGCTGAGGCAGGAGAATCGCTTGAGCCAGGGAGGCGGGGGTTGCAGTGAGCCGAGGTCACGCCATTGCACTCCAGCCTGGGCAACAAGAGCGAAACTCCATCTCAAAAAATAAATAAACTAAATGAAGAAGGTTTATGGACACACACAGAGTAGAATACATGGGCTGTCAGTGTCCAATGCATTGAGACCCAAGGTCTCTGAGGTCAAATGTTCCGGGGGTAAGGGTATTCCACATTTAATTACACTGTTTTTTGTGGAGACGGAGAGGGCCTGTCATCTTCCTCTTACTTCCAGGCTGCCTAAGGATCCTCTCAAGTCACTTGAATGCTTCTGTCTGTACGTGCCCATTCCTGGCCACCCCTGATGGAAATGGTGTCATCACCTCCTAAAAAATCCTTGTTTGTCTACGAGCACTAACCCTGCCTTGCAATGCCCTGGCCAAGAAAGGGCACATCAACATCTGAAGCAATCTTCCTGCCTGATATAACTAAAATGCTGGGTACAATATATTTTTAAAATATTTTAACATTTTTCACTGAGCTATTATGAAGGAAAGAAATGTATAAAAAGCCTAGAAGATAAACAAACTACAGACCTCTGAGAGTTTCTTCTGGACCCACCTTGGTAGCCATTTGGGGCAGGAGAAGGAGGGCAGGAGATGAAGCCCAAGGTCCTCCCAAACTGAGAAATCTTACAAGAAACACTCCCACTGGGCTGAAACTCAGGGGGTCAGAGACTATAGCTTCGCCTCGGGGGGACAGAGAAATACATGTATCTCTGCCCCACAGAAAGGGAAGAATGGACACATGCAAATCTGAACTCTTACACTCTGGAGAGAGAAAAGTACTGTTGGAAGTTTTCACCAGCCACCCACCTAGACAGAGGTGCCGTCTGAATTCTTCTTACTTATGTGGCTCAGAAAAGAAAAGTAAGTTTCAATGTTAAGTGCTTTTGATGGATGAAGCCCCCAGTTGCCTGATATCAGCTAGCAGAAATCCTCTCTGGTAGAACTTCATTTCAACCCAGGCCTCCAGGCCTCCCCCACTCCAGAGTTCTTGCATTAATCTCTACTGAACGTTTAAAACCAGTTTCCTATGTTGACAGCAGCTTCATCCGTAATTGTCAAAACTTGGAGACATCCAAGATATTCTTCGGCAGGGGAATAGACAAGCAAACTGGGGTACATCCAGGCCATGGAATATTATTCAGTGCTAAAAAGAAATGACCTACCAAGCCGTGAAAAGACAGGGTGGAAACTTAAGTGCATATTACTGAAAGAAGCCAATCCGAAAAGGACATAGGCTGTGTGATTTCAACTCAATGACATTCTGAAAAAGGCAAACACATGAAGACTCCGAAAAGATCAGCAGTTGCCAGGGGTTGGGGGGGGAGGATGGGCTGAATAGGCTGAGCACAGAGAATTTTAGGGCAGTGAAATTACTCTGTACAATAACTTCATGGTGGACACAGGTCACTCATTATACATGTCAGAACATCAAGAGTGAACTCAACGCAAACTATGGCTGCTGAGGACGTGTCAGTGTGGTTCCTGGGGTGTAACAAATGCACCACTCAGGTGGGGATGTTGATAGCGGGCATGGTGGGGGGATGGGATAGATGGGAATTCTCTTTACATTCTGCTCAGTTTTGCTGTGAACCTAAAACTGCTCTTTAAACAAAAAACAGTTTATTAGATGAAAAAATTAAAACTTGTTTTTTAAAAAAAAAACCAGCAGCCTCCCAATGCCCCCACACTGCCCACCGCCCCACTCCAGCCCCCAGTATGTGATTTCACCATTTTACGACCTGACTCTCAAAACCAGACAGATGATTGTTCCCCAGAGCATTTTCAAACTATCAAACGCAACCGAACACGCCTTAAACAAGGTGACAGATTATTTTTTCTTGTGCACAAAGACACACAAGTTCAGGTACCTATGGCTTTTTGTCAACCCATCCTTCCAGAGCCAAGCAGGTCTGCTGACAGGGGCACTGGTGTGACAGTCGCCAGCAGCTCCTTACCTGCCGGGACCGAGGGGGAAGGGACAGCTTTACATTAAATTCACTCAGGGAATCAGGCTGAAATTGAAAACGGAATTTCACTGGGAGAACGGGATGCTCTGGGACCTTGCTGCAAAACCTGGGACCTGTACAGAAACATCTCTGCCTGGGGCTCCTGGCCCGCCAGGGTGCACCTCTAAGGAGGCAGAGAATTAAAAGGCCCCTTCCCTCTGCACAGCCTCCTCAATAATCCTGCGAGTTTCCATGAGCATGCAAAGTGCAGCCTTGCAGTGGGCTAGTGATGAGCGAGGTGTGGAAGGCCTTCTCATTTTACTGCGTGTTTCAGCCCAAAGTTAACTTGGCCCTAGTCCTCAACTGCTTTACAGACTAAGCTCCTGGTAGGTTTTGAGGCAGCACTCTAGGGCCAGAATACTGAGGACAGTGCTGGGGGAAGCCCCCTCTCCCAATCACAGCATCTTGCACACTGTTTTAATAGACTTCTGTGCAAAATTTTTGCCTGAAGAAAAGATTGTAATGCCTAATAAAAGTTTCAAACAAATCACCGGAACAGATGACCTGTAAAGTCCATCCGGCTAAAGAAAAGGAAATCCCGTGTTTCTGTAGATCACATCCATCTAAACGCTTCCAGATCTCTAGATTATTTTTTATAAGCCATTTTCAAAACTTTGGCACAGCTCTAGCATAGCTTAATATTTTTAAATTATCCTAAAATGCTCACGAAAGACATGTGAAAATGCATTTGCTGGAAATGAGTGAAGGCTTAGAAGGAGACAGTCTTAAACATAAACCCTGTTTTATTTTCAATCCCACCAGCGGAGATTGTCAAAACCTCTAATGAGCCAGGTGGCACACTGACTAACTGTGCAAGTGTCTCTGACCCCTGGCACCTGTGTAAGGGGCAGCACTGATGCTGCTCTATCTCATGGGACTGTGACAGAGATTAGTAGGTAGAATGAGTTGTGGATTACAAAGTGGTCATGGCAAGAAACTACTATTGTAATACCCATTGAGAACATTATGTTTTCAATTGCTCTTCTAAACCTAAGATGGGTATTATGTGCTAAGTCACCAGTTTCTGTGACTTCTTTTAAGCCTTATAACAATAAACCAGAGTGGAAAAAACAACTTATCCTTAACTCAAGGAAAGAAGAAGCAAAAGAGAAGAGAGGGGAAGCAGGAGGAAGAGGAAACGTCAAGAAAGAAAGAGGAAGGCAACAACTATAAATAAAAGAGTTCAAAACACGTTGTGGGTAGGTGGTCACCCTCATCAGAACGCTCCAGTCAGAGACGTGATGCTACCTCCCATTCTCAAAGAACGAAGACGCTGAAATTAGTTCTGTCCCTCGGCATTCCCTGAGAGACTTCACAATTCCACGCCTCAGAGGCCAGGATTTATTAAGCAAAGCTTCTCCCGCAGCTGAGGGGCCTCGGTGGTTTGTAAATAACTCCCAGGCTGAGGAGTCCCCGGCAGATCGGAGGCACGGCCCCAGGAAACAACAGTGACCTCTTCCCAAGCCGCTCCGCTCACGTCTGGGTGCTTCACTCCCATGACGAGCAACCGTGTTTTTCTGTCTTGTTGCAATTTTCACTTGGCAGATGGATGGGCCAGTAATTGACCCAGATATTTATTTTTAATGTAACTTAGAAAAAAAAAAGAAACCTTTATTCTAAGGCTCTAAAAATTGTCAGTCATTATGAAGTAATTAAGACCCAGCATATCCCATAAAATTCCTGGAGAAGCTCAACCCCCTGACCCCCATAAGGTTATTTTCTCATATTACATTATGGCTCCATTAGATGTGATTTGAAAACATCAGTGTGGGCACATTCATCAACTGCTTTTGCAATTATGTTTTAAAAACTGCTTGCTATATCAAATTCCTCTTAATCTCCCTTCTAAGTCTTTGAGAATATAATCCTAAAACAATGAAAGAATAACCTATTTCTAGTGTTGAATGGGTAAAAGGATGTTTTTATTATTGTTCCTTTCCATTTGTTTTCTACTTAAATGCCCTATTTGAATTTTACCACCAAAATTGCTGAAATATTGACACATTTAACTACTTAAAGTCTGTCAGTCTGTTGACCTTTGACCGCTGCACCTGTTCCTCAGCAGTGATTTAAGCTGTTCAAGGAGAGACGTGAGTTGAACAGCCAAACCAACTATAGAATATTAAAATATCAAGGTCATATGAAGAACACGTAGCACATGCAATAGTCTTTAGAGAGTCCATAAACCATCCAATTCACTCACCCCTTGCCCTTCAATGACAAAGAACAGACCCTGACATTATTGGAGTCTTTAGCCAATGGCCTGAAGGGGAAGGAAAGGCACTAAATGCCTCTTTTTACCATTCGAGGACAGCAGGATTGTGGGGCCCTATGTTTTGCTGCTTGCCAGCCTTCAGTTATTTGAAGCTATAGAAAATCCTCACCCTCTCTGATGTCTAATGCTGGATTTAAATAACTGGGCAAACTTGGGATACCTCTAGCAAAATGTGCACGTCTCTTTGGTTTCAACTTTGAACTACCTATCAGCATACAGGGTTCATACCTACGTGAGTATGAGAGACCACATGATTTCGCCTAGATACTGCCAGAGAACCCCCATAGAGTCACTCAAATTTTAGAACCGGTGGATGAAGGACCTATGTGATGGTGAAAAATTGCTCTGAATTCAATAGCACTGGCTGAGTGCATGTTTTACTTATTGCAATGCCATCACCCTTGTATACTGTAAACTGGAGCAGGTGCGTACCAGCTTATTATATGTAAGGTCTGCAGCCCATGCTTCGTGGACAAATCAATTTGCAGTCCACTTGCCCTGATTCTGCAGGCCCAGGCAGTCCCCAGCCCAGGCCAGGAAGCCAATTTGCAGAAGCTTGAAAGGGAGGGAGGTGAGGGAGCAAGCATACCACTCCCCAGTTCAATGACTTCCTTTCTTAGTCCTAAGTCCTGGGCTCCTGCAGGCGCTCTTTACTGTCACACCCTTAGCTCTGCTACTGGCCATCGCAGACAGGACTTAAAGCATCTAGCAGACACAAGAACTATCTATCAGGAAACCCCAGGACTCAATACTGGTGAAAAAATCCAGCCTAACAGAAATCATAAACAGGAACCAAATGACAAAACTATGATCTCTTCACATCTTAACATTTCCCACTCCAAAGCCACCCCTACTCTGAATCCTTGACTGTCCACCTCACTGAGAGGAGCAGAATGGGTGTACGATTCGAACTTCTTTTGGGTGTTCTAGTCACACTGTGATCTGAGAAGACAAGCACATTTTCAACCCTTCTAATAAAATCTCTCAAATCACTTCATCTCTCTCAGCCTCAGTTCCCTTACTCGACAAAGAAAGCAGTCTTGGAGGTTTCCCAACATTCTTAATAACTTTTCAAAATAAGGTTATTAGTCAGGACATCAACATATAATACAGCTGAAAGCTGTGAATGGCCTCTCCAAGCAGCTTGAATCTTACCGAGTTCAAACATCATTACCTCTGGAGCTCCTGCAGAACCCTTCTGAAAGCCTGAGGGTTCCATGGTCACCCAGTTTGAAAGCTGTTGTATTGGAAGATGGTTAAGGCCCTTCTAGGTCTCAAATGCCTTGACGTCCCCATGACCTATGTCCCCCCCCCCCCACCATGTCAACCCTTCAGAGGGGTGCCGATGGTAGAGAAGCCAAGCTTGCTATTTCTGGTGATTGAGGTTTACAATAAACAAAACCAGCTGTTTTCTCATTACCTATACTTTTTCTTCAGGCAATGGGTCCATTCACTGAACTAATCTGTCTTGCATAGCTGCTTGGATGTGGGTGTGGGGAAGATGGTTGGGTGAGCAGATATCTTTGGTCCTAAGGGTATGAGTCAAGGGTCTCTGCTCTTGAAGCCTGCTTTCTGCCTCTTGGTTTGAGAGAGATAAGCGTTTTTATCCTGCCTGCTACAAGTTTAAGGTCCAATTTTACGCCTAAAATAAGAGGAATAAAAAGCGATCAAATTGCTTGTAGCAAGAACTGAACACCAGAATTCTTGCATTTTCAGGAGTATGTCAATAACTTAGTAATTTACCTTGACTGACATTGAAATGAGTACAATAAGACTGACTATGCACTAAAAAGAGATTTAATGCAGTCTTCAAGGAATTTAGAATGAGTTTTACATTGCTTGATAAAATCTGTTAATAAGAGAACTCATCCCTACTCTGAAGAATGGGATCATTCATCTCATGTAAGATACATAGACATGCGCTTCCACCCAAACACTTCAGAAATTAAGTCAAACTTAAAAAAAAAAAAGTATACTGAGTTGTCTTACATTAGTGGGGAAATTATTATTCCTTGCTCAGTTAGAGTTCTCAAGCATCAAGGAAAAAAATCACACGCATTTGGAAAAGGGGGTGACATGACCTGACCTCCTAAGAACACAGATGAAGAAGAGAAGAAAACGGGTTCCGTGTGCTGTGCCAGGCATACTTACCACAAGCTGGCCCCAGCCCTGCCAAGCAATGCTTCATGATCCATCATGTTCATCTTTAACGAGCCCAAGAGCTAGAAAGTGTGTATCCCAGATTTTCTCAAATACTCAGATTTGCAACAATTTTTTTTATTTTTATCATACTTTAAGTTTTAGGGTATATGTGCACAATGTGCAGGTTTATTACATATAAGAATCCAACCACAACTTGACTGGTTTCATCAAGCAGCATTGCCCCATTTTACAAGAGAGGAAACGGGCTCAGGACAGGACACATAAGCACCTGACAGTAAATATTTTAGGTTTTGCAGACCATACAGTCAGTTCCATCACCACCCCCAGAGGGTCACACGAGGACTCCCACACTCCGCTCTTCCCACACCTGGGCTCCTGCTCGAAACCTCTGCTGAACAGCCTGCTTGAAAATCCACCGGAGTATTCTGTTGATAAGGAAATGTCTGGGCCTCAGATTTCCCGTGCTGCTTGTGTAAATCTTACGAGGAAAAGTTGTGCAGCTCCTTTCATGCTTCTGGATTCAGTGCCACTTGGCTGTGCAGATTTCTAAAAGCTTTTGAATAGACTAATAAACATGGAATTGTTCTGAACATCTGTAAGCAAAATATGAAAAGATATTACCCAGTGAATGAACATCCTGGGTTTTCTTGCCAGAAATGGGGTATTTGTATATTAGGCTAATGCACTGAAATTAACCCAGAATGCTTATCCATTGCAGAATGTCTTTTCATATTTTCATCTGTACAGTCGTTATTACAAAATGTAAGAATAATTCTCTATCAGAGTATTCAGGAATCTGAATAGCTCAATTACTTCTAAAATCAATGTAGTAAAGCAACAGCATGCCAGTTAATCAGTTGGTTTGCATAACAACTGTTTGAGGGTGTGTGTGTGTGTGTGCATGTGTAAAGAGAAAACCAGTGTCAGCCCAACTTCTTAAAACAAATGTGAAAGATCAAGCTTTCATTTGACTATAGAGAAAATTCTGGAAGACAGGAACTAGTATTCTTTACATCAAAACCAACCTTCCCCTAGGACCTGGTGCAATGCTTTACATGTGGCACCTTTCCAGTAAGTGGCATATTTAATTTATTCAAGTAAGGCCTATATACAAGTTAGGCTCCTCATGGCTATTCCAGTCCACGTTCTGGGTTCCCTAGTGCCAGCCAGATGCTGAGCTTGTAGGAAACAGAAATGGATGGATGACTCTTTGGACATCATTTTAGGTACAAAACAGTGGCCACTAAGACATGAATTACTTCTCAGCACATCTCTTAGAGACAGATCAGAAATGCATCAGAACATGGCCCAACAGAGGTCTGCTGGCCATGAGAGATGCTACCCTGTGTCCCAGCCAAGACTGGGTGCCTGGTGCAGAAGCTGGTGGTGGGTGGCTTTCAGAGGGGTTAGAATTCAGGCCCAAAACATCTGGGTGAGGTAAGTTTCTCAGCCTGTGCGCTATTGGTTCAGTGCTTAATGAACCTGAGGAAGGGAAGATTATAGGTTACTTAAAAGTTACATACACTTTTAAAACAGGTTTAAATGAAATTATGGGCACATGCAAGGGATAGGAAATCTCCAGGGAAATGCAGGAGGCAACTGAAGCCTTGGAAGATCATGGAGGTCCGACCAAAACTCTGTTTTTGTCATATAACTCAGCCCGAGGTTAACTCAATTTGGAGAGAATGACCTGTGCAGACTAAACTCACAATAGACTGAGATATATATCTCAGAGAGGCATTTTATTGAATTCTAAATAAGAATTAGAACTGTCTGCCTGACTAACCTGATTTCATTGCATTTTCTTTCTGTAAATAATCCCCACAGGAGGACAAAAGATTAGAAAGTTTTACAGAGTATGGATCAGAACACGAGGTTAGTGATACAACTTAAAAGTGCCAGGGTATCAGGCTCTGTGGGTCTGCCCAGAACACCCAAGAGAGTGGCCAGGACCTCCCCTCTCCCAGGCTGTTCTAGCTCACCAACCTCCTACTGAGGACCTATGCTCCTTTTACACAGTCAGGGCATTCCACTAGGTTACTCTGAAATCCTACAGACACAGAAACCAATCTCTCTTCCAAGTGACTGTCCATCTCCACTGTGATTCAGAGCAGGCTGATTTTATACTGCCACTCTCAATGGGCGACTTTATTCTAAATTCCTAAGAGACCGCCCCCTTGTATTCTCTACGCATGTCGGGTGCAAGTGGCACCAAGCAATGGAGACTGCCCACCATGAACAGCCCCATTAGTGAGCCCACGATGGGCACACCTCCTCTCTCAGCTACTATGAGAAGCCATGTTATCTTTTCTATATGCCTAGTCACAACTCCGATTTGGGGTTCAGAGTCACTGGCCTATCAATTTCCACATAGAAATACCATTCGGATATGAATCCACACCCTCTCTGGACACACACTGCTTCTACACTCACATCCACACTCTCTCGCTCACTTCTCCCCTGTTGAGGCTGTGCAGACCCACTGGCACAGCAGGGGTAGCAAACTTGAGCCGATGGTTCCTTGGCCTGTGTTCACCCACCTGTGTGCTGAGATAATGCTTGTGGAAGCTCTGATGTGCGTCATCACATAAGAGGTTGCACAGAGCGGTGGTAAAGCTGGCCCTGTGGATTCTGTTAACCCCTCCTCCTATATTTCTGGCATCTGCCCCAAGAAACCACATGGTACCTTAAGCTCAAGCATACCGCTTTATGAGAGAAGGAATCTGCACACAATCCAGGTCTCTATGCTTCTTTTCTTGACAAAATAAAAGTAAAAATCTTTACAAAATATTCACGGATTGTGATCAAAGTTTTACAAACTTAATTGCAAGCAGATACTAGAGTACAGACTAGTATTTCTCCCACAATGGACCTCAGCAATTACTATGCATCTTACCAGAGCCTTGGGGTTTTTGTTTGTTTGTTTGTTTATTTTCCTTCTCTTAAGTCAGACCACTCCAGGGCTGACTTGTTCAGCAAGGCTTTGAGCACCAGAGGCTTCAGAGGGGAGGCCCGCCAGTGTAACCTGCTTTATGTCTCCCCCACCCCTCTCCTTGGTCAAAAATCTTTAATTAGCTAGTTACCATAATTACTCTAGCGAGGGACCTTATTTGTTCTCCTTCCCTGTTATTCCCAGGGATCTGAAGGCTGTACCACTTCTGTGCCAGAGGGACCTTTCTATCATAGCTCCTCTCTGCCTTTTTGTTTTTCCCTTTTATGATCAGAACAACAACAACAAAAAAGCCTAGGGAAAGAAATCGTCTCTCCTTCTGTGTATGGGTAAGACCCTATAACTATCCCTTTCCAATCAGGAACAAGTTTCCATGACAACCATGCTTCCCAATGCTACTGTTAACTTAGCAGGTAGTGTTCATATCCAATCGAGTTCTTTACCAGTCTCTGTGGTTTCCATACTTTACCACTTGCTAGAGGCCTCTAACATACCAGCTGTTTGCATGAACTGGCTTGGCCCTTTTTCCTTCTAAACATAAGAAAGACAAAAGAATTTCCTTGGCATTCTCCTTAATCATTTAAAAGCACACTAATATAATTAAAAATATACCAGAGGGACATATATGAAAGAGAATTTGTGACTTGGTGGAAGAAAGTGCAAAGGGATGAATGGAGAATGGCTGGGATATGATGACAGCTGGGAGACTTACACCATGGTCAATGGCATAGACTTTGAGCTGAGAGCTAATGAGGGAGGGATTCCTGCTAGGTATGACCTTAGGTAAGTTATTTATCCTCTCTGAGCCTCTACACTCCCTCTGTAAAAGATAGAAGCTGACATACTTCATGGAACTGCTTAGAGAAAAGCAAAGACAGAAAAAGTGCTTATTACAGTGTCTGGCATATAGCATGAGTTTAACACATGGCAATTATCATGTTGTTATTAAGGTAAACAGCTGAACTGAAAAGGGTTCGAGCAAACAAGGAATCACAATATTCTAACTGATTGTTAACATTTTGCTGCTTGAGGATAATAGGTATAAAGCAATAGATACTTGGAGGTTTTCTTAGCAACCTTTTTCTCTTAGGCCATTAAGTCACGTCTGGAATTACAGGAAGGAATCTACTCATTTCCATTCCTAAGACTTGAGAGGATACACCTGGGTGATCTCCAGGATTCATTTGAGTCTATTTATAGCTATGCATAAGCGTTTAATTTTGAAACAGAAGTTAAAAAAAAATAGGATAACCATTAAAATATTTGTTTGTTACACCACATTCTCCATACGAATCAGAATATTTCAATCCTTCTCTAGAGCAAGAAAAAATAAGAACATGCACATTTTTATAATATTTTCATTGTTGTACAGCTCAATTTTTATTTCAAAATAGAATTCATATTGTAGCAAACACATCAACATGCTCACTATTCACCAAGCTCCCAAACTCCAGCTTTTCCCCTCCATCATTCATGGTGCCCTTGGAGGGCTGAGCGCATCCTCCACAAACCACACTTATTTAAGACTTTATTTTAGAAAGATAAAACTGTTTACATTTTACACCCCATTTTCATCAATAATAGTGGACTATAACTCCAGATACTCCCTCCCTATTAAGACCTCTTAAAATGGTGAATATAATTTTTTTTAGAAAAACATTTCAAATGCTATCTGAGCTGGCAGGAAAGGAAAGGAAATCCTTTAGGTCAGAAACAAGTCCAGAGAGGTAATCTGGTATTCGAGACAGAATTTGCCATGAGGGCATCTGCCTACCCTGTTAGCCTAGAATAGAGGTCAGCAAATTTTTTTCCTGTAAAGCACCCAACGGTAAATATTTTAGGCTTTGCAGACCACATAGTTGGTTGCAAGCACTCAACTCTTGTAACTGTAGCATGAAAACACTCATAGATAATATATAATAATAACAATGAGAATAGCTGTGCTTCAACAAAAATTTACTTATATAGATAGGCAGCAAGTGGGATTTGGCCTATAAGTCAAGTCAATAGTTTGCTAGGCAGCAAGTGGGATTTGGCCTATGAGTCAAGTCAATAGTTTGCTGATCCCTGCATTATAGCACGGCTTTCAGTGTTTTTCCTTACAGAAAACACAACCAGTATCTGAAATGTCTGTCTCATGCGGTAGATTGTTGAAATAATGGTCCCGATTCTTGATACCTCCTATATCCTTGCCTTTGGGGAGCCATCCCATATTGGCTCTGGTCTAGCTAGCGCATATGACTTGCTTTGGCCAATGGTATAAAAGTGAACGTAACACAAACAGAGAATGGGCCTCATCCTCTCTTGCTGCTCTTAGGTTCTCTGCATCCACCACCATGTGAATTAGCTCAGGCCAGTGTGCTGAAGACATATGGTCCATCATCCCCATTACCCCACCTGGCAGTTAGTGCTAACCAGCAGCCAGCACCAACTGCCAGGCCAAAGAGTAAAGCAGCCTAGGCTGACTAGCCCCCAGGCAACCCACAGGTTGACCTTAGCCACATGAGCAAATCCCAGGTGAGGCTAACAGAAGAACCATAAAGCTGAGCCCAGCCTCAACTGCTGATCATCAGAATTACAAGCTAATAAAATGACTGTTTTAAGCCACCATGTTTTAGAGTGGTTGTTCCACAGCAAAAGCTAAATGGTGCACTCCACAGGAAGATTATCATCTTCTAAACATATAAAGTGAGAAGCTCACAAGTATATATATACAAATAATAAAGATTGAAGAAACATTTTTAAAAAAACATATTTCCATTTTAAAGAGCCTGTCACCCAACAGTAGTGACAAGCCCTCCCTTGTTTCTCCTAGTAATACAATAAAGCAAATTCTTCCTACCTGAGCAGACTTCTTTATAAGTAGGATTTGAAGTATAGCCTCCTGCAAAACCAACTTGAGTTGAATACACTCCTTTCAAGACCCAGAATTTCCTTTCAGCTCCCCAGAAACATCCCATTCCTTAAAAAAGAAAAAAGAAAAAAAAAGGATACTGATTATTCAAAACAAAGTGGTCATTGCACATCCACATACACCTGTTACATGAAGAAAAAAAAAAAGTTGCTCCTGTCATTTGATAACCAAAAATGACTAAGATTTTATCTTTTAAAGAAGGAGAGTTCTTAACATTGGTAAATAATTTTATTTACAATTATTTGCATAGAATATCTCTTTGCTTTAGCTGTGCAAAAACTTAGAAGGCCTCAAATTTAAAGGAGTTAGTAAATCTACACATTTCCAAATAACACAGTAAGGGGGTAACTATTTTCATATTTCCACATCCAATTCATAACTTGAATCAATAGAAAATTTACTGAATGATCCACTCCCTGGTCACATATTTTTAAAAAAATATTTTACCAAAGTATAGCACTAAGTTACCCATTTTAATGTGAAAACTTCCAAAATCAACATAAATTCATGCATATTTCCAATTAACAATGTCACATATGTGTTTAGTTTTCATTTTTTTAATCACTATAAACTTGCATGTGATAAATCACTGCTTACCCAAAAGTAAATTTTTCTGAGTTTTATTTCTGGATATAATGAACGCAGGAGAAGGGTTTGGAAGGGAGGCAGGGAGAGAATGACAACAATAAACAAACTCACAAAAGTAGCACTCCATTCAACTAGCAAACATTGTGTGTATACCAGTGGCCACAGGATCTCTTTGAACATCTGATGAAAATCACAACCCATCTCCCAAGAGCACACACACTCACGCACGTCGCAAATGTTGCCATGCACTTCCTTGGGCTCCAAATACAGAACCTTCATTTTGTACCATAAGTTTCTAAACTGTCCAGTACAATTGGTGTTCTATGGCCCACTTCTAGATGTAAAAAAGATTACTGCCTCACTCAAATTTTATATGGCTTTATGAAGTTACGTATAACTGAGATCCTGAGTGGAACAACAGTTGGCAAATTAATATACACTATACACCTCCCACTCCTACACTCACTCGATTTACCAGATTTGACGACAGAGCTGAAAGATAAATTAGAAGTTTACTGAAATTCTTGACACTCTTTAATATTCTACTCTAAAAATCCAAAGCAACAAAACCCAAAAAGTAATTTGAATAAAGTTATATATTATACAAAGATATTCTATTTGCTAAAATGTGTTAATCAAAAATAGGTTAAAATAAAAATATAAGGCCAAATAATAAAATTTAATGCAGTAAAAAATTATTTTGTGATAATATTGCAACATGGAAATATGTTTGTGATATCATAATTACCTAAGGCTAAAGTAAAAAGGAAAAAACACAATTACATGCACTTTTATTATAACTACTAAAGATTTTCACACCAAAATTAGACTGGAAGAAAATATACTAAGTATACTAAAGTGATAATAACCACTACTGTATTACAGTGGTGACAATTTAGGAATATTTTTTCATTCTTCAAATTTTTCTGTAATAAATTCCTATTACTTTAAGAATAAAAAATTTACATTTTTAAAGAAAAGCAAAATATTCAAAGAAATAACATAAGAATCTGCTTATGCTTATGTTACCCGCCACTATACCAGTTTACAAGTGAATTGCTTGCTGCTAGTGAATATAAATAAATATTTATTGAGTATCTATAAAAATTAAGTATCCACAGGTCTCCGGCAAAAGCATTCACTATTAATTTTCCTTTGTTGCATTCCTTGGGATGAGGGGAGGATGATAGGGATTCTCTGGAAAAGGACAAGCTGTAGGTGAGTGGAGCAGCTTCACTGCACATAAATGACCACGAGAGCTCCAGGATCTGTGCAGAGCACCAGGCAGAAGGCAGCCCACCCCTAAAGTTCAGGAGTCTGCAGAGTTTGTTGAATAAAATATTTCTGTGCTGCACAACGACTAACAGCGATGGCACCAGAGAGCACCAGAATCCTTCAACCTTCACGTACAAGGTCCGTGGCAGGCCATTTTAGTAGCTAGCCTGTCCTGACCTTTGCCCATGGTCCCACTCCAATAGCCCCAGGTTTTTAAAACTTAAAATGTTCTTGGCCAAACCAAGCAAAACATTAGCTGCAAGTAGAGAGATATTTAATCCCCTTTTAATGCTTAATAGGGATCAAGAAATGACCCCATGAGGAGGAGGATGAATGACCAGGATGCAGGTGGGCAAGGGTCTGGGGTGCCACGTGTGGCTGAAACAGCGTCTCAGGGACTGGAATATGGTCAATGTCCACATTTCTGGAGAGGAATGTGACTTAGGACACAGGTTGTTAGGAGGATAAAACTCCATGAAGCAACATTTCAACTAGCGGCTGCAGGTTTAAGCTAAACATTCTATTATGTGGCTTTGAAGGTGTGAGTGTGAAAATGTGTGTGTGTGTGTTTAAACAAAGAAAACAGGCTTATTTATAGCAAAATTACTCATAAATTTCAATAATCTGGTGATCATTATGAATATCAGCAAATAAAATATAGTATGCACTATTTTCTTTAAATACTTATTTTTAGCCTTTTGTTATAAAACAAAACTGATGCAAAAAAACCACACAAAACAAACATATATTTCAATGCACTGTTATTAGGCAAACACCCTTACAACCACCACCTGGGTCAAGAATCAGAAGTTTGCCATCTACCCTAGACATGCCTCCCTGTGTGCTACACTCCAATCCCAACAGAAACCTTATAGCCCAAAAAGCAACCGTTATCTGACTTTCACAGTAATCACTTCCTATGTTTCTTACACTTTATCATCTAAGTGTCCACCCCTGACATTATAGTCTTGCTCATTTTTTTAAATTTGATACGTCTTTAAGTTCTTTTTTTTTTTTTGAGATGGAGTCTCCCTCTGTCACCCAGGCTGGAGTTCAGTGGCGCAATCTCGGCTCACTGCAACCTCCACCTCCCGGGTTCAAGCAATTCTTCTGCCGCACCCTCCCTAGTAGCTGAGATTACAAGCGCGTACTACCATGCCCGGCTAATTCTGTGTTTTTAGTAGAGATGGGGTTTCGCCATGTTGGCCAGGCTGGTCTCGAACTCCTGACCTCAGGTGATCTGCCCCCCTCCGCCTCCCAAAGTGCTGGGATTACAGGCGTGAGCCACCACATCCGGCTGTCTTTAAGTCATTTTAATCAACACATTGTCTCCATTCTTTTCCTTTGACCTTATCCCTTGAAGATCACAGTCTACTTGACCTGTTCAGTTTCTCACACTGTGGATTCTGAGGACTGTGTTCTCATGGTGCAATTCAATTCACACAACCGTCCTCAGAGGACAACTTTCTGCAAGTTGACAATTGGATCCAGAGGCTTCATCAGACTCAGACTTGATCCTCTGGCAAGACTAGAGGTGGGGCTATGGATGGTCTTTGATTAGAAAGCACAAAATGTCTAGTTGTCTCTTTCATGTCTAGTTAGCATTGATGGGTGCTCAATGCCTAGATGTATTAATTCCTGGAGAGTTGCAAAATAGTGATCTTCTAATTCTATCACTTCATTTTCATACCTTATAATGAAAAGCTTCCCCTCAGCTACTACTTTGTTACTCAGTGGTACAATTCACATGGGACAGGGAAGATAAATGCTTGCTTCATCCATTTACATAGTGTCTTCAAGATGACGAACTTGCTATCTCCCAGGCTAATCGAAGAGTTTTTTAAACATCATCACAAACATATTCATTTAAACATATTTGATCGTTTCAATGACTGCTCTCATGTAAGCTTCAGCAGTCATATCTTTGGCCAGTGAGACCCTCTTCAAATTGGCTCCTTCTCCTCAGTTGTCTCATAGCTTCTTTGCTCTCTGGTTTGACAGGATGTCCCAGACTCACCTTGCACATTTCCTACCCCAGTCCCAGAATCGACCATTTCACCAAGAAGCCTAGTTTAATGGGAAAAAGCACTTCAAGATCATGACATGGGTGATAATGAAGCACACTGCACAGTGCACACCATGGCAGCCATGGAGCACTAGGGGATGATGTGGCTGAAATTTCCCATCAAAAGGTAAGTCCCATCAGACCCACCAGATTATAAGGTCAAGGGGCTACAGCCACAGTCTATCATAAAGAGGAAGTTGTACATCGGGAATCATGCACAAGCAGGACCAGAGGGCACGCGTGAGCTGCACGAATAGGAAGCCAGACTCCCCCAGCACCCACCAGGCTGCACCAACTCCCTCCCTCACTTCGCACCTACGGCTGTGTGGCGATCCTGTAAAACCAGCTGGGGGCAGAGAGAAAGGCCGATTTGGGGGATGGGGGTGCGGGGGGTGGGGTGTTGAATGGTTGGTTTGTTATATGGGTGCAGGCTGGAAATGCAGGGCAGCTCCACTGCAGCCTTACTCTAGAGTGGCCAGGAAAGACAGGGGTAAGGGAAAAATCCTCCCAACTGGTTCCTTCAGAGAGGGAAGAATAGCCCAAGTTCAGGACAGCTGTGGACTCAAGGGCAGCAGCAAGTGGCTTGGCTGCCTAGTCAGAGGCCAGAAACACAAAGACTGGAAGAGGAAGAATTAGGAAATCTGGGGTAGAGAGACATAGGTGGACATGTGGGAGTGAGTATGCAGCATGAAGATCTCTTTACCACATGATAATGCCAGCCAGAGGGCATCTACCATGAAAGAGGCACTCATCCACAAAGCATGGAAAGGGGCCCAGCCAGGGGATGCCAGCCAGTGTCTTCACTGGCTACCCTAGTACCTGCGTAATGGATGCAGGAACGAACTGGCCACAATGGCAGAGATAGGTTACACATGGCCCAACAGCATGCACACCCGCTCACCAAGGTCCACCTAGCTACTGCCACCACCAAATGTCCAAATGGCCAGCAACAGAGACTGTCACCAAGTGCCTCACACAGCACCACTCCTTGAGAGGACCAACCCACCATAAGGTGGCAAAGGATTACACCGGGCCCCTTCCATGCTGAAAGGGCCAGTGATGTGTTCTTACACTCACATACATGTATTCTTGGCACGTGTTTGACTTTCCTGCCTTCAGGGTCTTGGCCAACTTCTGTCCCCTAAATAACATCCATCAGACCAAGCAACTCACTTTGCAGCAAGGAAAATGCAGCAGTGAGCCCACAGCTGGTTTCCACCTGTTTTATTTTACTGCACGTCACCAGGAACTGCCGTCCTGAAAAAGCACTGGAATAGCCCCAAGGCACAGCCACAGCACCAGTTCAGTGAACAAACTGTGCAGGTGGGTGCCGGACTCCAGGACACTGAATCAAACACTCCAAAGGTAGGGACACACCATGTTCCCCAAATGAATAATACACGTGTTTGGAAAGCAAAGGAGAGAAACAGGATTGACTTCATTTACTATCTCAGGGACCCATTGGGAGACTTTGTAGCTTTTGTTCCCACACT
The DNA here is from genome assembly GCF_000001405.40 of Homo sapiens. Classification (NCBI taxonomy): domain Eukaryota; kingdom Metazoa; phylum Chordata; class Mammalia; order Primates; family Hominidae; genus Homo; species Homo sapiens. Next base: position 10,239,730 of record NC_000008.11, on the reverse strand, counting down.
CTTGGCTCTGTAGAGTTAGAGGTCCTAGTCCCCAAAACAGTACACTTTTATCTGGGAATATAGCAAGACTCCATTGAGTTATAAGATACAGCTATTGCCTGGGCACTCTGGGATCACTGCTACAGGGACAAGTAGGCAAAAGGAGTTTGCCAGGTACAATCGTCCTATAAGCAGTGTAGGAGGATCTCTGTTGTGCCACACCCTTGCAAGCATTTGGTGTTACAAAGTATATAAATATTTGCCAATTGGATGGGCTTAAAATCATATTTCGAGCCAGGGGTGGTGGCTCATGCCTGTAATCCCGGCACTTTGGGAGGCCAAGGCAGGTGGATCACAAGGTCAAGACATCGAGGCCATCCTGGCCAATATGGTGAAACCCCGTCTCTCCTAAAAACACAAAAATTAGCTGGGCATGGTGGTACATGCCTGTAGTCCCAGCTACTCATGAGGCTGAGGCAGAAGAATTGCTTGAACCTGGGAGGCAGAGGTTGCAATAAGCCGAGATTGCACCACTGCACTCCAGCCTGGCAACAGAGCAAAACTCCATCTTAAAAAAAAAAAAATTATGTCATATACATAGCTAATCACCACTGAGGTTGAGCATCTCTTCACATAGTATATGGGCCACTCACGTACACTCGTTTATAAAGTGCCTCTGTTCATTTTTCTATTGGGTTCTTCTATTTTTCTTGGTTTGTTGCAATTTTTATGTTTTGAATGCTATTTTTTGCCAGTTATATGATTACAGATATTACCTCATATCTGATTTGCTTTTCCCTTCACTTATGTCTATTGTCATACAGATGTTTTAAATTTGAATGTTCTTAAATTTCTCTATCTTTTCCTTTATCATTTATGTTTTCTGTACCTTGTATAAGAAGTCCATCCATATATAAAGATAAAGATAATATCCTATATTTTCAGAAGCTTTAAAATTTTAAGCTTAATTTTAGGTTGTTAGACCATATGGAAATAATTTTTATGTAGGGGGTGAGGTGGGGATTCAGTTTACTTTTTTCCATATTCATAACCAAGAATCCCAAATAAATTGTTATTAAATAATCCATTATTTCTCCCACTTATCTCCAATGTTACCTTTATATGACATCGTTGTAAGTAGTCCCGTTTCTGGGCTTTCTGTTACGCTCCATTCATTTGTCTATTCCTGCACCAATCCTATACTGTTTTTTCATCATTTATTCAACAAATATTTTTTCAGTGCCTACTATATGCCAGGAAGTGCTCTAAGCACCCAGGATAAATGAGTGAACAAAGCAAACAAGATCCTACCCTGTTTAGTGTGTATACTCTAGTGGGAAAAAGATTAAAAACACCAAAAATCCTAGGTAGATGACATAGTTTGAAGGTAACAAGAGCTATAAAAAATGAAAAGAAAAGCAGAGCAGGTCAGAGAGATCAGGTGGGCTGGGAAAGCACAATTTTAAATAGGGTGAGCCTCCAAGGGAAGGTGACTGCAAACAAAGCCATGGAGGCAGTGAGGCACTCACCCATTCAGATATCCCCAGCAAGGGGTAGAGAAAGCAGTCCTACAGGGGCAACAAGAATGTGCCTGCTATTTCTAAGGGGCAGGAAGGAAGCCAGTGTGGCTTGAGTGGAATAAACAAGGAGGAAGTAGCAGGACAAAGATCAGATAAGCCAGATAGTGTAGGACCTTGTGGGATGGTTAAGGACTACGGATTTTACTCTGAGTAAAATGGGTAGCCACATTGGAGTTTTGAGCGGGAGAGGAAATGATAAAACTTATGTTTTACAAAATCACTCTGGCTGTCCTCGGTTGAGAATAGACTAGAGTGAACCAAGCACAGATGCAGTGAATGGTTAAGAAACTATGGCTGTAATCCAAGTGAGAGATAATGGTGGTTTAGACCAAGTGGTGGTGGAGGAAGTCATGGGTCATGATTAGAATCTGGATATATTTTGAAGATAGAGCCAAAAGGATTTCCTGACAGATTTGACACAGAGTTTGAGAGAAAGAGAGGGTTATGGCTGACTCGAAGATTACTGGCTTAAGTGGGGAACCTTGTGGATGGAGCAGACGTGTAGGAAAAGATCAGGCGGTTGTAATCAGGCTAGTTTTAATGAGTCAAAATACCTAGTAGAGTAAGTCTTCTTACCTTATACTTCTTCAAATTTTTCTTTGTTACTCTTGGCCTATTACTATTCAGCTTTAATATCAGCTTGTCAAATTCCATAACATATCCTTTAAAATTTTTAAATAGAATTTTATTGAACTTAGATGAATTTGGAAATATTTTGTCATATTAGTAATTTGGTTTGGACACACAAGTTTATTTGTAAATTTAGTCAACATATATAATTGACCTACAAATGTCAATAGAAAGATAAATTTTAAAACCACCTGGAAGCCCATCTCTATAAAAGTGATTTTCCCCGGACAGTAGCCAGATGTAACCTAACCCAACATCATCTTAACTGGCAGACATTCAGTGGGCTGGAGCTTTGCGCTCCACCCCCACACCAAGTTTTTATAATACAAATGCCACAAGAAAAACAACTTCAGTATTGTTTCCTCTTAGCAGAGGAGAAAAACTCAACCTAGTTATGAGACCAACCACAACACAATGAAAACCTGCATTAACTAGTTCAGAATATTACTTAACAGGTGATTTTAGTGTGAATAACTCATATTTTATTCTAGAGCCCTTATAAATAAAATCCCGCAGTGAGTGTTTGTACTATCAGCTAGAGGGTTAGTTAACATGTGGTAGAATGAGGACTTACGCAAGGTTTTATTTTACTACTATGAAAACAATAACATAGCTCTCCACTTATTCAAGTCTTCTTGGATGTCCTTCAATACCATGTTATAATTATAATTTTCTCCATAAAGATCTTAAGCATTTGGCCAGACATGGTGGCTCACGCCTGCAATCTCAGCATTCTGGAAGGCCGAGGCAGCCAGATCACCTGATGTCAGGAGTTCAAGACCAGCCTGGCCAACATAGTAAAACCCCATCTCTACTAAAAAATACAAAAATTAGCCAGGTGTGGTGGCGTGCACCTGTAGTCCCAGCTACTCAGGAGGCTGAGGCAGGAGAATCGCTTGAACTCAGGAGGCAGAGGTTGCAGCGAGCTGAGATTCCACCACTGCACTCTAGCTTGAGTGAGCGAGTGAGACTCCATCGCAAGAAAATAAAGATCTTAAATATTTGTATTACATATAGTTCTATGTACCCCATGATTTGTGGTGCTGTTATAAATACTGTTTTTTCTACTATACTTTTTGATTACTTAGTGCTGGTGTATAAAAACACCCTGATTTTAGTATACCTTCCATACAGCCAGAAAGAGTAGAGAATTCTATTAGTTCTAATGGTTTGACTCCACCTTCTCATTGATTTCCTATACAGAAAGTTATATTCTGTACAAATGAGTTTTCTGTCTCCCTCTCCCATTCTTATTCTCCTGCCTTTATCTCATTGTATTGCATTGGCCTAGGACCTTCCATACAATGCTGAATAATGACAATGCTAGGAATCCTTGTCTCATCTTAATATTAGTGGGAAGGATCCAATAAATATGAGATTTACTGTAGGTTTTTGCAAGATATCCTTTATCAGGTTGAGAAAGTTTCCTTCCATTCTTACTTTGAAAAGCTTTTTATCATGCATGAGTTCTGAATATTAACAATGCATGCTTTCTTCTGAGATGATCATATGTTCTCCCTCCTTTAATCTCTTAAGGTAGTATATTACATTAACAGATTTTTCTAAATCATCTTTCAGTAAATCTTACCTACTCATAGAGCATTTTAACACTGAACTACCTGTGCTATTTTATTTCAGATTTTGTCATTTACGTTCCTTATGAAGATTTATTATAACTTTATTTTCTTATAATGTCCTTGTCCAGAATTGGTATCAAGGTTATACTGGCCTCAGAAAATTGGTTGGCTAGCCTTTCTTATTTTCTCTCCTATGTAACACCGCATTAGAAAAAAAATTATTTGTTCCGTGAAGTTACAATAAAATTTCCTGAAGCACCTGGACTTTGGAGAGAAGGAAGAGAATCATTAGGGGATGCTTTGTTTCATTGTCATGTATTCATATTTTTATATCTCTCTTTTTAGAGGTTTTCGTTGCAGAGCAAACCTTGGGTTTCACTGATCCTCTTTATCATCTTTCCTTTCTGTTTTCTATTTCTGCTCTTTCTTTACTATTATCTTGTTTTGCAGTTTACTTTTTGGTCTGTTAGTCTGCTCATTTCCTACCTTCTTGATATGAATTATTAGCTTATTTATTTTCAAGTGTTCTTTTCTAATACATGTTTTTAACCTCTAAGGTTTGTTCTAGATACATCTCACGTATAGATATGTAGTACTTTCATTGCCATTCTCTTCTGATGTAATTTCCATTTCATTTCCTTCTTAATCCATGAATTACTTAAAAGTATACATTTTTGCTTTCAAACATATGGCCTGTTATACTACCTTCACAATTTTATTTCCGATTTGATTGCATCATGTTAGAGAATGTGGTCTTCATTATTTTGAAATTTGTTCAGACTTATTTTGTCACCTACAACCTGGTGAATTTTTGTAACTATTCTATGTGTGCTTGAAAAGCATAAAATTTCTCTCTATGTGTTTCTTAGGTACAGGGTTTTACAGACATTTATGGACAAGCTTATCAATTTGTTATGTAAATCATCTATATCTGTTTAATTTTCTGGCAAATTGAGACATCTGATTCTTAGAGATTCAATTAAAATTTCCTCCTGTGATTGTGAATTTTTTGATTTCTCTTTTAGTTCTGTCAGTTTTTCTTTTACACAGTTTAGGCTATGCTATTAGCATACACAAGTCTTATTATCCTCTTGCTACTATTCCTTTTGTTATTGTTTAGTATTTTTAATGCTATTAAAGTCTTTTGTTCTTAAAATTATTTTTTCTAATATTAAGATACCTACATTACCTTTTTTGTATTCATTTACCAGGCGTATGTTTTCCCAGTCTTCTTTTTTAACCTTTCCATGTGTCTTTATTTTAGGTGCATTTCTTGTAAGCAGCATATAACAGGATTTTGGTTCTTAGCCAATTTGATAATCTCTTCCTCTAATTAGTAATTTTAATATATTTACTCTGGCTATTTAAACTTCTTTCCATAACCTCATTTTGTGTTTTCTACTTACCATCCTCTTCCTTTAATTTCTTTTCCCTCATTTTCTCTCTCCTATTAGTCTTTTCTGACTGCCTTTGACCCTTGGCCAATTTGGAGGCAAAACGAAAAAAAAATCTGTTCTTCTAGTGTTTACCCTTACAATTGTTACATACCCACTTCACTATGTTTTCCAAACCAAGTCTAAAGTTAGTATTTCTAACCTTCTCCCAAACTCAAAACCCGCCACACTGAACAATCTCTATCTCATTACCGCAGTGTAAAGATTTGCCTTTTTTATTTTCTTCTAACACACACACAGAGGGTTATTTTTTTAAAATTGCTTCAGTGATCAACATTTTAATCATTGTTTAACTAATTACTGTTTCTTATGCTTCAGGTCTCTCCTTTAATTCTTCATCTTACTGAAATATATCTTTAAAAGGGTTTTATAGTAACTGTCTATGAGTTATAAAATCTCTTAAGTCTTTTTATATCTGAAATATTTCTATTATGTCTATACTATCGAATGTAAGTTTAGCTGGGTATACATTTCATCAATACTTTGAAGATGTTACTCCATTGTCTTCTCACGATCATTGGCACTCATAAGCCTGCTGTCAGTCTGATGGTCATTTCTTTGTAGGCAATGTCTTTTCTTTCTACAGTTATTAATATTTTTTCATTATTCTTAATATTCTGGGGTTTATTATAAATCTAGATGTCATTCATTTTTATTTATCTTGCTTAGGGCTTAAAATATACTTTGAATATGATGATTCACATCTTCATTTCTAAAAAGTCTTCAGCTATTATATTCTCAAATATTGCTTCTCCACTATTCTCGCAATTCTATTTCTCCAGAACTCCCTTTACATGTCAGTTGACACATCTCAACTTATCCTCTGTGTCATTTAACTGCTGATTAATTGATAGATACATTCTTCTTTTTCCTGCTCTATGTGCATCAGAACTATTCACTAAAACATTAACTAAGTTCCTCATCAACTGGGTTCAATCTAAGAGTTCCAGGTATGGAATTATTTCAGTAGCTATTTTTTATTCCAAGTTTTATATTTAGTTCTTTTATTTTGCCTATTTTCTGTCATAGTTTATTATTTCTTCACTGACCTCTTTGAACATCCTAAACACACATTTTAAAATGCTTTTGTTTGTTATAAAAAATTAACTCGAGTCAATTTATATTTCATTTCTTCATATTGTTGCCTCCTTTCTTTGCATTATTCATATTCTTTAGAATTTGAGTTTGCAGGCTCATTTTCACAGTTGCACACACATGGGTGTGTCACCTTGGGCAGAAGGCAAGAAGAGAGAAGCACTTTCAAGTTGTACCTACACGAAGGTGATTAGAGTTTCCAGGGTTCCCTGCTGCAGCAGTGGCTACAACAAGAAACAGGTAAAACCCAGAGGGCCTGGACTAAAGCATAAAAGGTACCTCTTCCGGGATATATCTGAATTGTTCCTTACAAAATATTTAACCTAAGGTGATACTGATGACAGTGGTCTGAAAACTGGCCTTTGGAAGTCATAGACACAATGAATTTACCTGTCACCACCACCACCTCCCCTAGGAACTTCTGAAGGACATCTACATTCCGTAGAAATAAAGTTTTAAATTGAAGGAAAAAAATATTCAAACTTACATCATGACTTAAGCACCTAAGAGACTTAAAGAACATATCAAAATTACAACTGTGTCACTGAATCAAATTTACATTTTTGACACAATCATTACAAAATCATTACTTGGTAAGAATTTTCCAATAGTCCTACTGGATTGTTTTTATTTAGAATTACCTTAAGATTCCTGCATTTCTACTCACAATTTTAATCTGTCATTACTCATGAATATCTGTGTCTATGAGATTTTTTATTATGAGATTTTAGTTTCCCTTAAGATTTGGGTTCTCATATGAAATCTTCAGGAAGAACCTTAAAGAAAGTTCAAATTTTCATAAAGCCCTTTTCCAAACACATTGACACTGCAAATTTTGACCTGACTGGTAAAGATCTGTGATTGTGATTGTTCAAATGTGATTCTCTAAAAATACCTAAGAGGCCGACCACTACATCTTCCGCACTCATGAAAGGCAGTTTTCCAGATCTGACATGTCCTATGGGTTCACTACATAAATTGGCTAGGGCAAGTTCTACTAACTAGTACACTCCATTCTCTTGCTAACTAGCACACTCCTGTTAACTAGAATGCCCCACTCTCCACCTCTGCCTACTAAGGGTACCACTGAATAACAAACCCTCCAACAACAGATGGGGTAGGAAGAGCAGTCTGTCTTGTCAGAGTGGAAACCAACAGGGAGGCTGGGCTCCCATTAGAACATGTGCAGTTACCGCATGTTCCTTCAGTGTCTTATCCAAATGCTCCCTCTCTTCCAGCTCTTTCCCCTGCTTTTAGACTTCACTCAGAACACAGCCACGTACACAACAATTTCCAGGGCAGCCTCCACCCCTGGGATCCTAGAAAGTTAGGCTGGATAGGAGGAGTGGCACAGCCATTCCACCCTGAGACTGTACACTTTCCCCAGTGCCGTCACAGCTGCTGACTGTTCAAAGTAACAAACTGGCTTTGCCTGTTTTAGCTTGCTGTAAAGTATACACTTCACGCTTTCCTGTTTACCCTTTTATTTTTATTTTTATTTTTATTTTATTTTGAGACAAAGTCTCGCTCTGTCACCCAGGCTGGAGTGCAGTGATGCAATCTTGGATCACTGCAACCTCTGCCTCCCAGGCTCAAGCAATTCTCCTGCCTCAGCCTCCCAAGTAGTTGGGACTATAGGCGCCCGCCACCACGCCCGGCTAATTTTTGTATTCTGAGTAGAGACGGGGTTTCACCATGTTGACCAGGCTGGTCTTGAACTCCTGACCTCAGGTAATCTGCCCACCTCAGCCTCCCAAAGTGTTGGGATTACAGGCGTGAGCCACTGCACCCGACCCTTTTCACATTCTTAGAGCAGCCTCTTTCTATATAGTTCAAACCACATATCATCCATCTGAGAATGACTTAAATCGAGATGTCAAACCCCTAACCACCCACCTGAGAAAGCTTAAAAAAGACAGGCATTTCCAACTCTTGCTGGGGATCCCCACCTGGGGGGCTCCCTGACACGTGAAATTCAATACAGCTACCACCAAGCTGACTACCAAGCCAATATCTTCTGTCTCTGTTTTCACAGCATCACCATTTTCCTAGATCCTTCACAGAAAAGCTGGGAGTCCCCTCTGTGCTTCCCTCTTACTCATCTCAAATGAAACCGTTTCCAGTCTCTCAAATTTTATGTACTTTCTTTTCCCAGCTAGACGGTGACAGCAGCCTCCTCCCTGTCCGCCCGCCTCAGCTCCCTCACTGCAGCCCTCCTCCCTGTCCGCCCGCCTCAGCTCCCTCCTTGCCGCCTTTCTCATCCCTTCCAGTCAGTCTCCATCTCATGCACTTTCAAACCTGTCATCTTCCTTCTTTAAAACTACAGAACAGGCTGGGTGCGGTGGCTGATGCCTGTAATCCCAGCACTTTGGGAGGCCAAGGTGGGGGGAATCACCTGAGGTCAAGAGTTCGAGACTCGCCTGGCCAACACGGTGAAACCCTATCTCTACTAAAAATACAAAAATTAGCCAGGCGTGGTGGCACATACTGGTAATCCCAGCTACTTGGGAGGCTGAGGCAGGAGAAATGCTTGAACCTGGGAGGCGGAGGTTGCAGTGAGCCAAAATCACGCCATTATACTCCAGCCTGGGCAACGAGAGCAAAACTCCATCTCAATTAAAACCACAACAACAACAAACCCACAAATAGGTAAGATGCAAGAATCTTAAACAGTCTTAAGAATCTTACTGACTAAGATTACAGGTGATTTTTATGTTCTTCTTTTTGCTCTTCAGTTTATTCCAAATTTCTATAAGAAGTATGTATTCCAACTGTCAAAAGAAGTTTTTCAAAAATGTTTATACAGACTGACAGATAGTCTGGAAGAAAATACAATAAAATATTGGAATAATGGTTGCCTCTGGTTTTCTTTTGTATTTTCATATATTTTCCATATTTTCTGTAATGAGCATGCATTACTTTTATAACCCACAAAATGAGGGCAGTTGTTGAAGTTCTAACATCCATACCCCACCATCAGCCAACCTGAACCTTTGTCCTATGGCCACCCTCCTGACTGTGTGCATACTTCACTTCCTACACCCCCATCTCCACCTGAGGAAACCCTGCCCATCCACCCAGTGCCATTTCCGGTATAACCTTCTCCCTTAAGTCTTTCCAGAATGTCAATCAGATACAAAGCTCTCTTCTTAAAACCCCAAAGCATGTCCAAACCCCCTTAACTCAGGCACGTACATAGTCTACCCTATGGAATGCCTGCTGGCTTCCCTGTAACCCCCTCTCTGCAGAGAACTCTGAACATGGGGCCCACCTCCCTGGACACTGTATTCTGTCACATAGCACAGCATGCATTGCACCTTGCACGTATGAGGCTCCTCGGGTGGAAAAAATCTGCTGAATTAAACTGTAACACTTTGAAATTTTCACAGAGCATCTTTATCAATGTAGTGTAGTTCATAATGGAGGGATTCCTAAAAAGAAGAATGCCAGTTTATGGAGAATTCAGCCCATCCATTGAGGCTTCGAAAGTGGAAATTCACTGATTATATGGGGAGGACGGGGAATGCAGAGTCAAACACAGAAAGAAAAAGAGCTCCCATTTCACCTCTCCCTTTCCTCTTCCAAATTCCTAGATTATAGACGTGGATTCAGAAGTGTTGAATGGGGCATATTTCCATCAGACTTACGTGCTGAAACACTTACTGTGTGGCCTCAGGCAAATTCTCTGTACTCTCTAACCCTTTTTTTTCTCATCTATAAACTAGGAGTAAAGAGAATATTATTCACAGTCACTGAGGGGATTTCATCTATGAGGTACTCAGTAAGCGTTCGTGTCCACTCTGTTCTCTTAGGCTCCCTGCCTGCACCACCTCTGCCCTCCCCACATGCGCAGGCACACCCTCTAAATCCCCTCTCAGTCCACTCGAGGTCAGAGCTGCTCCTCTGGTCACCCTGATCTCTGAGAATCACAGCATGCTGTGGTACAGCCTCAGAGCCGGCCCCCAGTCCTCAGATGAAACGTACCATACTGCAGCCTCATAGCAGCCTCTCTGGACGCTGCCTACAGAATTCCTGAGCCAGTTTCTCCATTTCTCAAGCATAAAACTCTTTGGTTATCACCCAACTCAGATGATCCCTCTCTAATGGCTACTTCTGAACCCACAGCTTTGCAAAAGCTTAATGCGTCTTCATATATTGACCTTCTCACCATCTCCTGCTCAGTATCACCAGCCAGGTCTTTGTCACCCAAAACCTGCAAAGACACCTAGTCTCAACCAAGGGCAGGTGAGTGTGTGTCTCTGAGTCACACAGCAGGATGTCTGAAGCCTTAATCTGTCATGTAAAAAATGAGTAGAACTAAATTATTTATAACATCTCACTTGGTCATAGAATGATCTGATGGCTCTGTGGAAGGAAATGATAAAGAGAATCAAGATCTTTTTTCGTCTTTTTTTCTTCTCCTCAACTTTAACTGTGACATTACAATTGTGATCAGTGAGTAAATAAAATTTTCCCTACAAACAGCAAGTAACTGAGTATCGTTTTCTAGGAAACAGTATGAAGAAAAAGGAAGTTAAGGGAAAGGAATAAATGAGTTTGTATCCACCAAATGCCTGCTGTGAGCCACACACTGATATCTGTATATGTGGAATCCGGTGATAACCCTACAAGGAAGATGCTACTAGCCCCAACTTAAGGATGAGAAAACAGAGATTCAGAGAGGTTAGGCCACTTGCCCAAAGACATAGATAGAACCAAGGCAGACTCTGGATTCCCATGAAGGAAGGCCTGGAATTCAAAGCCGACGTCCTTTCTGCTATACCTCCCTGGAAACAACGTCAGAAGCTGGTCTCTGTGGACCACTACGGATGCCTGCAAGCAAGCTGAATTAACAGCCTCCCCGTGCAGACACAGGGTTTGAAGGATGGTGCTGTGGGATCAAATTATTCATTACATAGATTCAGTGGCACCTGATAAATGACATGCAGTTCACGTGGATCTCGGGAAGGGAGCATAATTTTATGGAGCACCCTATTAGAGGTGCATTTTCTGTACTGGGCATTTACTGGATATCAATAAAGTACACGTAGAGTCAGGGGCACAGAAACAGCAAACCACATGCAGCGCATTTCCAAGGTGCTCCTCTCCACGGCTCCCTGGCCTCTTCAAAGGCAAAAGGGCGCACCTTGATGAAACCTCTGACCAGGGCAACAAAAGGACCCTCAATTCCGGCTACAGCTGGATAGCTGTAGGTCCTTGATCAGAAGGTGGAACATAGGCAGAGACCAGAAATATCCTGAGCTCAACTCTAGAAAGGTAGCTCAGTGGACGAGAGACAGCCAGACCCTGGCCACGGACACACATTCCCAGACACCATCTTGGTGGCCTGGAGTAAGTCTCTTCTGGTCAGCTATCCAGCAAAGAAGAGAGCAGGGGAGGGGGGATTCAAAGACAGATTTCAGCTCTACGATGCTAGGAACAAGGAAGATGAATACGTGGCAAAAAATGTAAACATTTCAATTTATCTTCTGTGCTCTTTACTTTTCTGAAAATCTACATCATGTTAAATAATGCAACAAGACACCTTCCTTATCCCTACTCTTGATTGAAATCTACAAAATTTGAAAATACCTTCTGCTAATAAAAGAAACCATATAGCAATTAGCGGTTGATTGATATTTTCAGTATTTGATGGCAACTAATTACCTTCTGTCCACATCATTCCTAATGCTGCTTTAATTTGATTAATTTTTCTTTTCAGCCCCTTCCCTAATTTAAAATGTGCTCATATGCACGTGTACACTCCACTGTACCTCTGCACTGTGATTAATGCAGCTCCAGGTTCTTTATACACATTGCTATTTTTCAGCCTTAACCCCGGGAATATTCTCTGAAGAGTACCAGGTATGTATTTACCAAGAGGGGTCAAGAATCAGAATTCCAAGGTTGGAAGGGACCTTCCTTCTCATCTAGCCTCAATGCCCTGGAAATCTTCATAACCCCTTTCATATTACAGCAAACAAGTGTTCAGTCAAAGCTCAAATTACCCTCTGCCTCTTGAAGTAGCCCATTCCCCTTCACAGATCTAATGAGAGCTTGAAAGCTATTCCTACACTGAATCAAACCCCTGGTATGTTTCTTCCTTCACTCTAATTCTCTCCCTTGAGGTCACAAGGGACAAATTTAGCCCCTCTTCCTTATGACAACCTGCCAACACTCTGACCTCTTGAAGACAACTCTGGTAACTCCACGGGCCTCGTCGTCACCAAGCAGAATCCAAGCTCCTTCATCTGCTCCTCATTCAACACATTTTAGGATCTACTCACTATCTGCTCTCCTCAGAATGTGCCTCACTGTGTCTGTATCTCTGAAGGACAGTGGAGCCACAGCTGCTCCCCAGGGATGGACTGGTGAGCCATGGATCTCTAGACAGAATGACCTCTGCTCGTGGAAGCCCAGGCTTCTCAAAACCAGCTCCCTGGACCAGCACAGTTCTCCCAGCTGCTGGAAGGCAAGTGGTTGCTAGCTGGACATGGTGACGATAAAGGATTAAATAGCCAGTAGCACCACGGTCCAGAAGAATCAAACTCCTCCTGAGGACCTGAGAGCAAGGCTGAGATCAGGCAGGCTGAGAATGAGCTGTAGAGCTCTAACAGGACCTGACAAATATGCACACCAGCTGGCCTGGGGCAAAGTAAAGAAAGCCTTAACAAAAACAAAAAACAAACAAACAAACAAACAAACAAACATATATATATACTCATATATGCACACATATGGCACCCAGTTTGCCGAAGAGGCATCCTTTAGTAATTTTCTATTTCCTAAATGTGTCTGTTCATGGGCACTGACTTTTCTAAGGTTTCTGCAATTTGCTTTTCCCTACTAGAGTGGGTAGGAGATCTATGGAATTCCAATGAGCCAATGACCATGACACTGCAGTAGGTGTTGATTAATATAGTAGAATGATCTCAGCTCTAGCTCAATCCTAAGAGAAAATGTAGGACATATGGATGTGGGAAAGAGGTCCCAGATGAAGAAATCTTCATGAAAGGTCCCCAAAGCAATCTGCAGCCACAAGGGGACCCTCTTCTTAGCATTCTTGACAAGCAGTAAAACATCAGCAGATCAGCCTGGATCACTCCATTTCATCCCAGAAGGAACAGCAGAGCTGGGAGGGCTATTAGTGGAAAGTTAAACCTTTCATCTACCACATTCAAAACTGAGGCCTAGGCAAGACAGCTGGTTTGAGATACTCAGTGTTTTCATCACATGTGACCCCTCCCCTATAGTCACCTGAACAGTCACCTGCTGTAGAAATGGGGTGAAGAAAACACTAGAAGCCGTGGTTCCCTGCCACTAGCTTAGCCAAATCTCATAACAGGAACCATGAGGTCCAGAGGCTAAGAAATAACTTGACTAGCATCATGAGCTCTTCCCCAAGTTACTGTGCAGTGAATCTGAGGAATTTCACACTTCCCATTTTTTCCTATGGCATGCCACACAGTCATTTACACCTTACGTCTTTCTGGCATGGATAGAATACTTCCTCTGTCACTTTCCTATCTCCCAACCATTTTCCTCCCTTGGAAATCTCTGCCTTTCAGCATGGCTTGGCACCCGGTAGATGGTCAGTAAACACTAGTTCCCTTCACCTAGCACCTGCACCCTGCATCCCTCCTCTCTGAGGCTCCGAGTGTCACTCATCCAACGAGTACCCAGAAAACTAGGCTCGTCAGACATCTACATCAAAACGAGAGCTGGCACCATAAAGAACATCGGCCCATCAACAGCTAAAGCCCAAAGAAGTTTTCAGAAGTTCCCTTGAGACTTCCTCTTTAAGTCCCTCTCTATGACTTTTTGCTCCTCTATTCAAACCTAAACTTTTAAAATTAGTTCTTCCGCAACTCTGGGCAAATTAAATTTATGAATAAAAAGAATTTTTCCCACTTCTATCGACAATGTAAAGAACGTGATTCATCTAACAAGTATTTATATTCAGGGCTTATATTTGAGACTAGGCCCCAAGTAATCCAAGACCAGGCCCTATCATCAAAAAGCTTAGAGCACAGGCAGAGATGGGTAATCCATTCAATCTCTAATCATAATGCAAGGCGATAAACCTTATCCCATAAACAAAGGCACAAAGAAGGGTTGAGGGGGAAGGACTGAGGAAAGTCACAGAGACTTCAAGGAAGAGTAGGGTTTCAACTGAATACATGGGAGGGTGTGCAGTGGTTAGAGTAAGGGATGAGATGACAAGGCCTCAACACAGGTTGGGTGAGAAGTTGTATGCATGTATTTATTTATTTATTCTTGAGATGGAGTCTCACTCCGTCACCCAGGTTGGAGTGCAGTGATGCGATCTCGGCTCATTGCAACCTCTGCCTCTGGGTTCAAGCGATTCTACTCCCTCAGCCTCTGGAGTAGCTGGGATTACAGGCATGCGCCACCACGGCCAGCTTATTTTTGTATTTATAGTAGAGATGGGTTTTGCCATGCTGGCCAGGCTGGTCTTGAACTCCTGACCTCAGGTGATCCTCCCAAAGTACTGGCATTACAGGTGTGAGCCCACTGCGCCCGGCCCTAGTAGTAGTGTTCATTTAAAAAAGGCTAGGAGAGTAGATTGAAATTAGGTTCTGCAGAACCTTACATGTCAGACTAAGGAGTGCAGGAATCTTTCTAGTGACCAAGATTTCCCCAGCAAAGGAATGATATGATCACAGCTGTACCACGAGGAGTGTCTCTCTCTGATGGGGAGGTAATAATCAGATTTCTTAGAAATGTGGTGGTGATGAATCCAGGGACTGTCAGTAGAGGGACTCTCAGCTCTGTCCACTGGACTCCATACACAAGACTACCACCTGGTCCAGCCCCCATCTCTAACCCATTAAAGAGTGTGCCCTCTCTGCTCTTGAGAAAAGGGGACCCAGATAATTTTTATTTGGTCTTTTTTTTTCTTCTGGTAATAGTTGAGGCTGTGGTTTAAATAGGAAAATCAAGCTCTTTTGTGAAAAAGGAGAATACTGTTGTTTGTTTGGGAAGGGTATGAAGAGGTGTGTGGGCTGTAGCGAGAGACTTCAATCTGGTTTCTTCAAATCTTGTCTCACACCCTCATGCCATTCTTCACACTCAGGCTGGAGCAATCATTCTAACATGCAAAGATGATCCTATCATTTCCATAGTTCTTCACGCCCTTTGTAAAAAGTGTAATTTTCTTAATCTGGTTTATAGCTAAGTGGGTGAACGGTGACACCAGATAACCACAAAAAGAACTGGTTTGGTGGGAGAAGAAGCTACTATCTGTTAAGGGCCTAGCTATGATGTGCGCATCACCACCCTATAAAACGTACATATTCTACACCATTTAGACCTGCCTTGCCAAAGAGATATCACTATCTCCATTGAACAAATGATGATCCTAGGATGCAGACTATAGTGATTTGCCATGGACCCAGAACTAGTTAGATTAGGTAGAGCTGGGATTTGAACCCAGGTGTGAGTCCAAGTCTGTGAGTATTCCATCTGAACACACTGTCACCAAAACCCATTTGTTCTAAAAGGAATTCGGAGTGGGGAAATGAAACAGGGGCGGTCTTTGAGTAAGATGGGTCTTCACGTTTTATACCCATCTTTCTCCCCACCCAAAATCTTTTGTACCATGGTCTTGATTTGACCCCTGCCTTTAACCATCTAGATTTGGCATTCATCTTAACTACACCCCTACAATTTTTCATCAAATTTATGGTCATTATTTCCTCAAATACATTTTCTGTCCCAGTATCTGTCTGGGCTTCTGGTGACACTCCAATTGCACATACATTACACCACCTGCCATTCTCTCCCAATCACTGACGATCTGTTCATTCCATAACAATAGTTTTTCTCTATGTGCTACAGTTTGGAGAATTTCTACTGACCTGTCTTCAAATTCACTGACTGAAGCCCAAATGTGGCCGATAACCAATATCTGACATTCTATCCCAGTGGTCTGTGGAGGTAAAAGAGTTAAGAGATAGACGCAAATGCTGATGTACTTCATCGATACATTATAGTCTTATTTCAAGCACTGATTTCATATTCTAAATCACATTACAATGTTCCTTTGCCCTGTGCTCCATTCCAAGTATACCAGAAGTACAATCTGAAGTGCTTCTCAACTTCAACTCTCATGAAGTGACCCATTTTGTATGAGATCCAATGCACACTTTCAACATGATTCTGAGTGGTTTAAATCAAACCATTCTATCTAAAAATGCAGGTAATATTGACCTGCAAGTAAAGCAATAGTAATACCTAAATACTCTCTAGGAAGGACGTGTATCTGTGTTTTGCTAGTGTCACTTTTTATAAATTTACTTTTTAATTGACAAACACAATTTTATGGTGTAAAACGTGATGTATTGATATATATACACACTGTGGAATAAGTAAATTATGCTAAGTAACATACCTATCACCTTACACACTTAACACTGTTATGTGGTGAGAACATTTAAAATCTACTCTCTTAGCAATTTTCAAGTGTACAATGTATTATTATTAACTATAGTCACCAAGATCTCCAGAACTTATTCTTCAGGTCCAATTGAAACTTTGTACCCTTCGACCAACATCTCTCCAGCCCCTGGTAACCATCATTGTACTCTCTGCTTTGATGAGTTCGACTTTTCTAAACATTCCACATACAAGTGAGATCGCGCACTATTTGTTTTTCTATGCCTGGCTTATTTCATTTAGCATAATGTTCTCCAGGTTAATCAATACTGTTGCCAACGACAGGATTTCCTTCTTTCTTAAGACTGAATCGTATTCCATTGTGTATATATACCGCAGGTTTTAATCCATGCATCCACTGATGGACATTGTATCTTGTATGTTGTGAATAGTGCCTCAATGAACGTGAGAGTATGAATATCTCTGAGATAGTGATTTCATTGCCTTTAGATATGAAGAAGTAGAATTGTTGAATGATATAATAGTCTTGTTGTAAATTTTTTTACAAACCTCCACACTGTTTTCCATAATGGCTGTACCAATTTACAATCCCACCAACAGTGAGAGTCCTCACCAACACTTGCCATCTTTTGAATTTTTGATAATAGCCAAGCTAATGTGTCATTTAAAAGGGCTATTTAAATTCTCAAAACAGAGGGATAGAAAACCTTACAAAACTATGAAAATATGGCATTTGAGAAGGTCTATAAAGGCCTAAAGCTTTTTTTGTATTATTATTAAAAGTAGTTACGTTCAAAAGCCAAAAGTATTGAACTAGGAGGCAATAGCTTCCTAAGTGGTATTCCTGCTGCATCTCTCACCAACCTAAATATGCCATCTTCAACAGAGCACTCACGGTGGCTTTAAAAAAAAAAAAGTCACGTCATACCTCTGCCTTAAACCCTCTAGACTTCCTATAGTGTGCAAAATAAATGTTAAAGTCCCCACAATTACCCACGAATTACCTGTGAATTGCCCTTCATGATCTCGTAGTCTCTGACCTCAGCTGCTCCTCCTCCTCCCTTGCTGATTACACGCCAGCCACACAGGCCTCCGCCACTCCTGCCTCAGGGCCTTTGTACTTGCATTCCTTCTGCCTGGGACACTTTTTCCATAAATCTGTGCAAAACAACCTGTCTCAGGTATTTTTCCTTCATGACTTCTCTGACTATGTTATTTTAAATTACAACCCCTCAACCTAGCCTAGCATTTCCTATTCTCTTTCCCTGCTTTATTTTAATCAACAGCACTTATCATAATCTGACATGCCATATGCTTTACATATTTATCTCATTTTCTGTCCCACCCTACTGGAGTATAAGCTGCTAGAGATTTTTGTTTGTTTCCTGTTGCAATAAATAAACCATCTGATGAACATGTGAATAAATAATCTCAGTGCCAGGCCATTAACTAGTTCTGCCATTAACTAGTAGCCTGACCCTGGGGAAGTCAATGTCTCTGAGCCTTAGTTTTCTCATCTCAGAGTTAAGTGTAAAGAACAAATATATATATGTATATATACACATATATACATATATATATTTATAATATGTAGCTTAATATAGACATGGAAAAGCTGGGTGGTGCTGGTACAAGTGTTTAACAGCCTCTTCATTGCAAGGTAGATTAAAAATGTCTTACATGGGAGAAAAAATGGGGACAAAAACTTCAATACAGTTACCAAAACCTTCACAGCAATTGAAAAGCTGTTTGTCATTCAGTTGGTGCAGATGTCTGGTCATTTCTTATGCATCACTGCAGACCTATGTCTTGGCAGCAGGATAAAAGCATGCACTGGCTATTTGCTCGGGAAGGCGGCTCTCATTTTCTGCACGTGGGAAAGCAGAGCCCCACACAGACTCCATGCTATTGGGCTTTCCCCATCATGTGGCCATCCCACTGCATATCTGTACTGCAGAGCTGTCAGTGTGAGGCCTGGCCAAAGACACACCCGCCAGGCACAAGTTATTCAGCCAAGAGCAAGGAACGGGAAAGGGTTTCTGGGCTCATCTGTCCTCAGGTAGCTGTCACTTCCTGCTCCTAGTGTCATCACATTCCTGAAATTCCCCAGACGACCCTCCCCAGTCCTCCTCCCTTAATGTCCTTGTAAGATGAATCAAAACTCTTCCATGCTTCCCAATGTGAGTGCCCACTGCCACCCTGACAAAGGTCATATGCTGAGGAAACAGAATGCTGGTGAAAGAAAGGGTAATAAGAATGTCACCAAGCACTGAATCCATATAAGGGTGCTGGAAGAAAGATGGACGCAGGCTCCCACTAGAAACAGCTCCATCGTGACCTGACAAGTGGCAGAATTATGGAAATTAGGAAACTGGAAAAGGGTCATCACATAAAAACATGAATGCGATTCAAAGGACTTTTTAGGAGACAACAGGCATATGGCAAAAAAATAAAATAAAATTTCTTTTCCTAAGAAAACACAGTGCTGATTCACCCTGAGTAGGCTTGGTTCTGGAAGGCCACATCTGACTATGTGTTCACTCAGCTTATGCTAAGCATATTTTTGAAAGATTGTTTTGAGTTTCTTCATGGTAATGTCTACCATGATGTATCACTGATTATTTCCATATTATCATGAATGTTGGAATCCCAGCTGAAATCTGGAAGGATATAGGGTGGGACCTCCATCAGAAAGACATCCATCTGCAGGCACCACTGTTGCTCCCAAGGTCAGTGAGCTCAGCAAGGAAACTTGGTCTTGGTCAAATATAATTCTTTGTGTAAGTCTGGGACACTGATGACCCAGGAAGATGAAAAGTGTTTTTCCTAATAACACCTAGTGGTTATGGACATAGAATAATACAATGATCGTGGGCTTTTAAGACTCTGTACATAAGAATGTAGGGAAAGTTCACAGGTTCTTGCATCACTGTTCACACTACTTGGGCCTAAGGTATGCCAAGCTAAACGTCTGTTTCTCCACATGGTTCAACCATGTTGCTTCAACTGAATCCCACTTCTTAGGCTTTCAGTGGTAACATTTCCAGTTATTCCTGAAAAAAAAGAACTGGCACTGTTTGATTTTGATTGCCTACCAGGGGAAAACAAAAAACAAACAAACAAAAAAAAACCAAAAAGGTGTACATTGTACTGGACCTAACAAATATCTTTTTTTTTTTTTTTTTTTTTTGGAGACAGAGTCTCGATCTGTCGTCCAGGCTGAAGTGCAGTGGTGCGATCTTGGCTCACTGCAAGTTGTGCCTCCCGGGTTCACCCCATTCTCCTGCCTCAGCCTCCCAAGTAGCTGGGACTACAGGCGTCCGCCGCCACGCCCAGCTAATTTTTTGTATTTTTAGTAGAGACGGGGTTTCACCGTGTTAGCCAGGATGGTCTCAGTCTGACCTTGTGATCCACCCACCTCAGCCTCCCAAAGTGCTGGGATTACAGGTGTGAGCCACCGCACCCAGCCAAATTTCATTCATGGGAATTATTTTATTTTTATTTACCTTATTCATACACAACACTGTTCCAAAAAAGAATTTGAGACCACTTACAAAAATACATACACGAGATGTGTATGAGATTAAAAAAGAAGTGGGTCAGTAAATATCTCCCCTTCTTGAATCCCCAAAAATTTGGCAGTGATAACCACGAACAGTTTTACCTACACCTTCTGTGAGAACTGGAAGTATGGAAAATCCACTCTGGGGAGTGTCTTCTGCTACCCTCAAACTCATTCACGATATTAAGCAGAGGCGTGAAAAAGCGCTCCAGGTGAAATGGCCCAGCTGTTAATCTTCGCTATGGGCAGCATCCCTGAGCAGGCTTTGTAATTTCTTGACTGCTTCTCCATTTCTATCATTTCAACAGTTTGAAGGCATTGCACATCTAGAAGCAAGACCTCCTCCAACCCTCAGGCCCTCTCTGGAGTTGCTTTTTTAAACCTGAGCTACTGAGGGTCAGGACTCAAACCTGCACTGCAGCACATCCCCTGGTCACAAGATCTGGGGAAAGAACGAGAGAGAAGATCGCTGCTCCGTGGAGAGAGCTTTGCCTGAGAACCTGCCTTCTGCCACCTGACAGTGTGCCTGCTTCTTGCTTTACTCAAATCTGTTGCAGCAATCTGTACTGTGGCTCTATTTTCAAGTATTCACCCAACTGGTTACAAATTTCAATAATCTGGTTAAACGCCCAAGTGAAAATGGTCATTCCGTCAAATTAAGGCAGTTTCTATCCCTTGTTAAATGGCTTTTGACTTAAACAACTATCCATATATACACTGACACTTGGGAATACACGTTTAGAGCCATGCTCAGATACATGGAGCAAAATGGTACATAAGGAAAATCACCACTTATCCTGCTTTCTTCAGCAAACTGGATCTCACAGTAACCATACAGTTGATAAAGAGAAGTCTCTATTTATAGAAATATTTCAGCTCACAAATTTAAAAAATGCTAGAATTAGAATATCTTGCAGTTTCTAAGAAAATAATGGACTGAGGCAATGATCAGTAAGGGGATGCTAACTTCACCAAAAGAAAAGGAACCAGGGCCGGGCGCAGTGGCTCACACCTGTAATCCCAGCATTTTGGGAGGCTGAGACGGGTGGATCGCCTGAGTTCAGGAGTTAGACACCAGCCTGGCAACATGGTGAAACCCCATCCCTACTAAAAATACAAAAATTGGCTAGGTGTGGTGGTGCACGCCTATAATCCCAGCTACTCAGGAGGCTGAGGAAAAGAATCGCTTGAACCTGGGAGGCAGAGGTTGCAGTGAGCCAAGACCGCACCACTACACTCCAGCCTCGGCAACAGAGTGAGACTCTTTCTCAAAATAAATAAATAAATAAATAAATAAATAAATAAATAAATAAATAAATAGAAAAGGAACCGGGTGTTAAATGCCTCCTGAATGAAACACACCACCACTTACAGATGCTGATCAGCCCTCTCACTCTCGGTTTGTAGAAAATACAAGAGGACAAATGAACATGATCGTTCGGTCAAGACTAAAGGAAATAGGACAGGCTGAATTATTTAATTTCTTAAATAAATAGCAAGGGAAAGAGAGAAAGAAGGGTGAACTTACAGATGAAAAGAAACTATTTATATTAACCAATTGCAATGTATACGCGATCTGGCTCATGATTCAGATAAACAGTTTTAAAAAACATTTATGAGGCAACAGGGGAAATGGACTCACTGGAGATTTGATGATATTTAAAAAGTATTATTTTAGG
This sequence comes from Homo sapiens, assembly GCF_000001405.40. Classification (NCBI taxonomy): domain Eukaryota; kingdom Metazoa; phylum Chordata; class Mammalia; order Primates; family Hominidae; genus Homo; species Homo sapiens. The sequence goes on along the minus strand of NC_000008.11, from coordinate 10,217,755 downwards.
TGTAAAAAATCCATCTTATCTTTTAGAGATATATACCAAAATATTCATGGATGAGTTGATAGGGCAGCTGAGATCTGCTTTAAATATGCTAGGATAGAAGAGGGGGAGGGAGTGGGGATGTAGACAAGGCACATTTAGCCATAACTGAGACCTGTGGAAGCTGAGCGAGCAAGGCTTCATTATACTAAGCTCTGTATTTTTGTTTGAAATCTTTCACAATTGCAAAGTAAAAAACAAATACCTTTTAAAACTCAACTGAGAGAAATGATATTGACAGAAAATCTTCTAGAAGACAGCTGGTCCATTGCTTGTTTTAGATACAACGCAATTAACTTCTGGGTTAAACCAGAGCCAGCAGACAAGCACGCTAGCACCTGCAGAGATGCAAGGACCAAATAGTCCCTTGTGGGGAGAGGGTCACGAGCCCAAAGAGAAGAGCAGTGTGGCAAACAGCCACGAGACTTGCGCGCCGCTCACTCCTAGGGTGCCATCAGCAGTGCTGCCTAAATGCCTTGTAGTACATATAGTGTCCTCCTAAGTACCCTTGAAAAATTTCTTTCTGGTTCCAGAATCCAAAATATGTGTGATTCCCCCAAACGTGTACATTTTTAGAATCAGTAAGTAAAACTGAAATCCATCGCCATTTCACACCCATTAGGATGGCTATAATTTTTAAAAATAAATAAATAACAAGGGTTGGCAAGGATACAGAGAAATTGGAACCCTTGTGGTTCGCTGGTGGGAATGTAAAAGTATAGCCGTTTTGGAAAATGATATGGCAGCTCCTCAAAAAATTAAACATGGAATTACCATATGCTCCAGCAATTCCATCTCTGGGTATACACCCAAAAGAATGGAAAGCAGGGACTTGAAGAGAGATCTGTACACTCAGGTTCATCGCAGCCTTATCCACAACAGCGAAAAGGTGGAAGCAACTCAAGTATTGATTGACAGGTGAATGGACAAACCAAATGTGGTCTATAGATACAATGGGATAAGAAGGAAATTTTCATACACAATACAACATGGATGAACTTTGAAGACATTATGCGAAGTAGAATAAGCCAGTCACAAAAGGGTAAATACTGCATGATTCTATCTATAGGAGGTCCCTAGAGTAGTCAAATTTAGACAGACAGGAAGTAGAATAGAGGTTACCAGGGGCTGGGGGAAGGAGGACTAGACGGTGTTTAGTGTCTATGGAGCTTCCCTTTGAGAAGATAAAATAATTCTGGAGCTAGATGGTGGTGATGGGTACAAAACAATGTGAAGGTACTTAACACCACTGGACCATACGCTTAAAAAATGGTTACAATGATAAATTTCATATTATGTATCTGTTACCACAATTTTTTAAAAATGAAGTCCATCATGCAACCAACTGATTTTTCTTCATGTTGCTGCTAGGAAACATAGAGCCAAATTTATGAGCAAGTTTTATAAATTATGTAAGATTATGACATGCATTCTTTGTGTATTTCATTTCACTTTCTTTTCCTTTGGCCTAATATTTACCTAATTCTAATGCATGTTAGTTGGCTGTGTCTTGCATATATTTTAATTTTCCTTTAATCCATTTTATAACAAGTCCCAAGATAAATGGCTGGGGAGAATGAGAACAAGAAAAATAATATTAGGTTTTATATTATCTGAATTTGATCCTTGATTGCTCCGTATTTTTCTTAAAAATGCTAGTTGGGTTAAATTTAATAATGAGTAACTTTTTTCCTTTTAGTTGTTCTCTATACCTATGTTTCTCTTCTTAAAAAAGTTAATTAACAGAGAAGTAATAGAAAATATTTGATTGTTTCTCCTGAACATCCTGTTGAATGTATTTTCTCTGTAGAAATTTAAGAAATGTCCGCCACATTTGTAAAATAAATCTTTCTCGTTGTCAAAACTTAAAGGAAAAAACGTCAGTCAAGTGGGTGGTTGCTGTACACTACTGCAAAAAGTGAAAAAATTAGCCACATCTGATTAGCTTTACAGTTGAGGCCAAAAGAGAAATATAGTATTTTCTGAGAGCTCTGTATTGACACAGAAGCAAACAACCAGTCTCACTTGGACACATGGTGAGAGTGAGCCTGATAGAGAGTTTAATAACATGGGCTTCTCAGTACCCAGCCAATATTAGGTGAGTTCTCAACTAATGCTGTCTGTTATCCTTCAAAATCCCTGAGTTACGGGACTCGTCTGGTGTTATGAAGGAGAGGTGATGGATCCCATAGAGCCTAGTGATGTTGGCGTCACTCTCCCGGGGACTTGATCACAGCTCACCCAGAGTGAGGAGAGCAGGTGGTCTGCCAGGGAGCACCTGTCCGGCTGGTCTGTCATCCCCATGCCAAGGGGCCAATGCATCATTTCCTGACACTCTGACAACAGTCCTAGGTGGCAAACAGTTTTCTTGTCATGTTACAGATGAGAGATGGGGCTTAAGAAGGCGGAAGAAACTTGTCTAGAGTCAACAAGGATTACAGGACTCCAGTGACCTTTGGGAATTCTGAATTCTTTACAGACTCCTCCATAACCTTTTTGTGGGAGGAGGGCTTCACTTTCTGGTTCTTACTTACAACCGAAATGGGAGAAGTTCATGGATAAGTGATCTCTATACAAGTAAAGTGTTATTATATGAAACATTCTCTAACTTACTCCCCTCTACAATGGATTCTGTGCCATCCTCCAACCTACAGTCCACCTTCCATACTCTAAACATATGAACCCACCCTCCTCTGTGACTCCATAATTTGTTCTTTTCTGGACCAGCCCAGGTCAACGTGGCTGCACCATCCCAGCCAATGCTTTCCAAACCAAAAGAGATTTTCAACACAGGTTTTCAAAGGTCTCTTTCTCCTTCTCTATATTATCTGACTTCTCTACACTCAAGAAGAAAACGAAAGTTGAAATCATGCACAAGATATATAAAATAAAATGCATCTTAAACTATGTCTCCAATGACCATTGCCCCCTCAAGTTGCTTCAAATTACCCAGGGAGGAAGGCCTATTTTTATCTCTCCAAGTGTTCTACCATTTAAGAAGTTTGCACCAGTTAGCAGCCTGCAGTTCTGACCATCTTGTGAATTTAGATTGTTTCGCTAATTATAAACACATTTCAATGTCATTCTTTCTGGCCTTTTTCCTGGAATGAGTGGCTGCCCCTCCAGAGTTCACAGAATGGGCTTCAGTAGTTTTCAGTCAAGATTCAGGGAGAAATACGCCACACCGGGACTCGGTTATTTACCAACATCATGCTGGATATGTGCCAGTGAGACACCAAGACACTTCCCTTTGAAGTCTGACATATTGCCGGCTGCTTCCAATGTTGTTTTCTTGGCTGGCAGACAAATAACCGGGGCTGATTCAAAACTCACCTCCCATTCATGTCAGACAGGAAACGATTTCTTGTGATTGGTTCATCTTACATTGATCTCACTCTCCTTGGAGGGGCCGAAGGTGAGTACCCCAGAGAGGGACAAGTCTCTGGGCTCCTGTCAGCCACGGGCCCCTGCTCCGGGACCTGTCCATTCACACAGCTGTTCAAAAAAAGGTCACGCGAACACTCGGCACCTTAGCTGTCAAAAGAGATGTGCCGTGCGACAAAAAACACATTTTCCTAAGTCCTCGGCTTGGCTTTTGCTCCCCACTCTTGTTTGAAGAATCTTCAGAGAATCTGACCCGGAAAACATGTTTTCCAGTGGTTTGAGGTCAGAGAGACATTGCCATCAGGCTACTAGGAGCCTAAAAACTCACGACAACCCAAAGAATTTGCAGAGGTACTTCTGCTGTTGCTGCTTGGTATCAATTTATCAACATTAAGGTTTCTCACTGCAGAATCTTACCTTTCACCAAAAAGCCTGGACGTGAGTTCCCAAATGGTACGGGTTCACACCTTCAGATCCAGCAATCCCACTGCTGAGTATGTACCCAAAAGAGAGGAAATCAGTGTATCGAAGAGACCTCTGCACTCCCAGGTTTGCTGCAGCAGTTATTCACAACAACCAAGATTTGGAAGCAACCTAAGTGTCCATCCACAGAAGAATGGCAAAGAAAATGTGGTACCTGGGGAGGCCGAGGCAGGCAGATCACGAGGTCAGGAGATCGAGACCATCCTGGCTAACATGGTGAAACCCCGTCTCTACTAAAAAGACAGAAAATTAGCCAGGCATGTTGGCACGCACCTGTCATCCCAGCTACTCGGGAAGCTGAGGCAGGAGAATTGCTTGAACTCAGGAGGCGGAGGTTGCAGTGAGCCGAGGTCGCGTCACTGCACTCCAGCCTGGGTGAGGGCAAGACTCTGTCTCAAAAAAAAAAAAAAAAAAAAAAAAGAAAGTGTGGTACATGTACACAATGGAGTACTCCTCAGCCATAAAACAGAATGAGACCCTGTCATAGTGCATAGTGCAACATAGTGTTGCAACAACACTATGTTAAGTGAAATAAGTCCAGCACAAAAAGACAAACATCACATGTTCTCACTTATTTGTGGGATCTAAAAATCAAAACAATTAAACTCATGGAGATGAGAGTAGAATGATGGTTACCAAAGGCTGGGAAGGGTAGGTAGTAGGGGTACAGGAGAAGGTGGGGATCGTTAATGGATGCAAAATATAATAGTGAGAAAGAATGAATGAGACCTAGCATTTGATAGTACAACAGGGTGACTATAGTTAGTAGTAATTTAATTGTATATTTAAAAATAACTAAGAGTATAATTGGATTGTTTGTAACATAAAGGATAAATGTTTGAGGGGACAGACACCCCATTTCCATGATGTGATTATTACATACTGCATGCCTATATCAAAACATCTCACATGCCCCATAAATATATATACCTACTATGTACCCACAAAACTTTTAAATTAAAAAATAAATAATGATGGGTTCAAAGAATTTTGACTTAGCAGAATGTTTTTTTAAATGTTTCAGTGTTCCAAAACAAAGTCAATTCTCAGTAATTGAGAACAAAGGGTTTTAAAGGCTACATAGCCCCACCTCCAAACTGGTTAAGGATGACCACTCTACCATCTGAATATCTCAAGTAATGGAGAATTCATTACCCTACATCCCTGGAAAGTATTAGTACAATATTAAAACTGCAACTGTAAAATCAGATCAATTCCCTCACTCTTATTGAAGTATCACAAACTAGGTTTTATGAATACGCATTAACTTTCAAACTGAAGTTATTCAGGAAGAACACAACAATATTTATTGAATATAATTTCCAAAGTTAGCGTAACTACTAGTGTGGATGTGACATTATATACAATCCAATCTATGTCATTGCAATTTTTTCCATTTGTTCACTTTGTCTATCCAAGTTCATTATTTTTCCATTTCTACTTAACTTGGTGTGTATTTATTATTCTTGGTGCAATACGTTATAATATACAACCTCGTTAAAGGGGGACATTATATCCTAATTGCCTAAAACCCTCCAGGTTTATCCCTCATTATTTCATTATTTCAGTATAATTGTTCACAGCACTCTTTTTACTCTCGAATGTATCCTAGTTTGGATGACAAATTTATGTTCAAAGATAGTAAAGTTTAAATTTTTTTTTTTTTTAGACAGAGTCTCGCTCTGTTACCTAGGCTGGAGTGCAGTGGCGCGATCTCGGCTCACTGCAACCTCCGCCTCCTGGGTTCAAGTAATTCTCCTGCCTCAGCCTCCCAAGTAGCTAGGATTAGAGGTGCATGCCACCATACCCAGCTAATATTTTATATAAAATATTTTTTAATTGTACCAAGAATCTTCACAAATTAAGCTTGGAATCCCCTGCCCTCCATTTTCCACCCTTTTAAATTAGTAAGCTTTGATTTTCTCGTGAAATTACCCATCTTCTTGACTATGGAGTATTTTTAAGGCAATGAGTAGCTGGTCTGTGCTGAGAACAAGCACTTCTGCAGAGGCTGGAACCCGGCCCTCCACGTGGACAGAGTGGACCGTGGCCAACGGAATGTCACTTTCATTAAGATATTGACGGCCAGAGAGAACCTTTCTAAGACAGGCCCAGCAGGGTGGCAAAAGATGTTCTCATACCTGAGGAAGCCTCGGCCATGTTTCTTTAATCTCTGGGTGCCTCAGTTTGTCTGCCTATAAAGGAGCACAATGATGCCCACTACACAGGGCGGGCGCTCTAAAGATCAAATGGGTGAGAGCCAAGGGGGCACTCACAGCTACCAGGAACAAAGACAGGAAGTAATTGCAAAATGTGTGGCTCCACTTTTCCAGCTTGCAAGCAGAGGGCTCCCACTGACTTGAAAGACAGCATCACACACAGGTAGGAGAAGCCCCCAAGGAGGACCAAGCCTATTACCTTCGTTCTCATTGTCCAAAAGGGCAGAGGAGAGGGAGAGCCACAGAGGAAGCTAAGAATGATGGGGGCAGAAAAACCAGAGAGAAAAGGAGACCAGGAGAAAAACTAACTGTTGGGCTACATAAGAAAATCTGTGAAGACTGTATGCCAGCGACAGTTTTTAAGGAATCATCTATCTATTCTCTGATCCCTTGATATGACCATTCATGCATTTTTCACACTGGAATGCCTTTATCCCACACTCTATCTGTCTTTCCTGACATTTCACATTCTAATCTAAAAGCTTCATGGAAGTTCAATGGTCATCTGTAGAGTGGATTACATTTCAAAGTTCTTATTTCGGTAGCATTCTAAAGGTAAGGTATATTCAAATGATTAACCAACAGATAACGACATTGTGGCCGGGTGCGATGACTCATGCCTGTAATCCCGGCATTTGGGGAGGCTAAAGTGGGCGGATCTCTTGAGGTTAGGAGTTCGAGACCAGCCTGGCCAACATGGAAAAACCCCATCTCTACTAAAAATAAAAAAAAAAAAGGTGAGCGTGGTGATGCACACCTGTAATCCCAGCTACTTGGGAGGCTGAGGCAGGAGAATCGCTTGAACTCGGGAAGTGGAGGTTGCAGTGAGCTCAGATCGTGCCAGTGCACTCCAGCATGGGCAACAGAGTAAGACACCATCTCAAAAAAAAAAAAAATGACATTATAATTAGTGATACTATTTTATCACAAAATATGAAGACCTCCAAGGCTGAAGAACGGGTCTAAACAATTACAAGTGCCATCACTGTTTTGATGAACTCACAGTCAAGGGAATGTAAGACATCCTCCTGTGCATTAATAATACATGCTACTGTGGTCAAATGGAAAAGCATGATAGCCGTAGGAGATCTTGCTCCAACCAGTATTCTCCCAGCAAAGGCTACTTCTCAAGACTCCTTCAGAGCACTCCGGGAAGGCATGCAAGTATACAAATCGATTTGCTAAATGGGCCTGGCTGCAGATCATACTTTTGTGTGTGGACCCAGCTGAAAGGTGTCCCTGAATCTATAAGGCCTTCCCATGGTTCCTTGAACCAGTGCAGAGAGAGTCAGGGAACATCACAACAAGAACATAGATTCCAGGTCAATTAGACTTGGGCTCAAACTGTAGCTCCACCAACCACCTCCTTGGCCAAGTGGCTCTGGATAAGTCACATGGCCTCGCTAGGAAGAGGAGTATATGAGTCCATCAGCTTTGCAAGAGGCTGGCAGGATGAAATGCCCAATGTATCCCAAAGAGTCAAGCACTGTGCTGAGTTGACCTTTCCATTGCAGTGATAAACAACCCAGAATGGCAGAAGTCCACCCTCAAAACCCCCCAAATCCCCTACTCTACCCTAGCCCAGGGCGACAAGTGATAGAAAGTGAGGATCATCTTGAAGACATTAATATAAAATGCTTGCATATACTTAACCAAAATAAGGCCTTAATTTAAGCATCTGGAAGAGCTAAACTGCACTTCTAAAGTAAGAATTCTTAGATGTCAAACATATTCTACTTTATCATCTGTAGAATTCTGCTTCTTATATGTTGTTAACTTGTAGAAATTATGCACATGATTCATCTCTTCTAAAACCACACATGCTGGCCATGCACAGTGGGCCTCCCAGGGGCTGCCCCCTGCTCCAAGAGCTTTCAGTCCTGAAGGCGTAAGAGGTAAAGGCCAAGGGCCTAGAGCTGCAGAGGCCTTAGAGTTCACCTGTCAGCCTCCTCATCGAAAAGCGGAGGCTTAGAGAGGGGAAGTTGCCCGCTGAAAGTGAAACAATGAGGGCCTTGGGGAAGAATGTTGAGGAAGCCGCTATAAACCAAATCTTTCCACTGCAACCCCCCACTGCAAAATAAAATAAAATAAAATAAAAAATAGAAAGAAAAGAAAAGAAAGACTTGCCACAGAGCCTCATTCCCTGTTATTTCGAATTCTGTAGTCAAACAATGTCATCAGCCCATCTGGTACTGAATCTGCCCTTCAAGAAAGAAGTTTTACTTCAATATCACAACAGAGGGAAACCCACTAATAATAGGTTAGTGTCATTTACTATTTCCCAATATGACATAAGACTTAGTTTCTCATATGCCTGGGGTTGGCGAATCTGAGAGACTGGAAAATAAATAAATAAATCATCAAAAGACCCCTTTGAACATTGATATATGTGACATTTGCTGTCCCATGATAACAGACACCATGCTGGGACAGGAAAGTTAGCAAATCAAACGTTTTAGCACATGGTTTAGAGAGGCCATTATGCCTTCTACAAAATCAACTTCTCCATTTAAATTTCTGGGCATAATGATTTCTCATCACTGATCAGTATGTTTTAAAAGGTGATAGCCTACACAGAGCATGATTTACCAACACTGAGGTGGAACTGGGTCCCTGTTTATGACTCTGCAGCTGCTAATCCTCACTGATGCCTAATTCTGGTTCCATCTCTGGGAATAAGGGAACAATCTAACTTCAGTGTGCTCATTTATAGACCAGGTTGTTCTGAGGCTAATTTCCAGTTCAAACGCAATTCAAGTCTTCAAAGCAGTTTTGTACCCTCAAAGGAGATTACCATCAAGACCAGAGCAGGAGAGAAGCTACGGGAGGCGTGAAATCAGGGGACCTCACATTTTTAGGATGAGAGACATCACAGAACCTGTCTAAACGTGGAGGTGAAGGAACCAAGGGAGGCAGCTGAATGCCCAGTTGAAATTCCAGAGCACAGAGGTCGTCATTTTCAGTGGGTAACACAGGGATGAACCCCAGAGCACTGCTAGAGAGAAGGGGAGGGGAGGTGGGAGATGGGCCCAACAGAAGAAGAGGTAAGGAAGGAAAGAATGGAGAAAAGAAGGCAGGCAAAGAAAGGGCCATGTGCAGAGATATTCTGAAGGAAGTTTAGATGACATGAGGCATGGAGGGAAGGAAACACAGATTAAAAAGGACCTCTTCACCAAACAGTTTGGAATTTTAACAGAGAAGTTCTGCTCAACCACATAATTGTACATTTTAAGTATATCACTCAGGGATTGGCCTTTGCTGAAAACATTTTTAATTAATGTTTTCTCTTAAGGAGCGTGCTTAATTCATGATGGAGAAGGAAGAGATCATTCAATTAGATTAATCTTTGTGTAATAATAAGTCAAAACTACTTAAATTCCAGCCTTTAACAAAGTGATATATCTATGTGGAAAAAAAAAAAATCCGTGCTAGCAAAGAAAAACTCAAACCCTAAATTAGCAGGTTAATTCACAGTGTGGACATAAGAAATAGCAAATACTCAGTTTGATACGTGGTTGTCAACGTGAGAAAATAAAGCACGCTAAATTCTATAGAATAAGCTTTTCCAACCCCAGAAATTACTAGGAACTCAATAGTTTTCTTGGCTGTAACAACTTGTAAATATCTAGAAGAGCCCAGATTTTGAAGCCCTGAGAACACTTGCTAAAACTAAGAAATTTGGCACTAGTCTTTGCACACAATTTGGGTTTTCTTTCAGAATTGATATCTTACCAAATACAGCCATCTGTGTTCCCTCTGGGAAAGGTTCGACTGTTCTGTTGCCATTGACATGATGTTTGGCTAGAAAAAAAAAAAAAGAAATGCAAGTTTAAGTGTAAAGTTCTAACACATACTAACACATGTCATTAAATGTGTCAATGAGCCTATTTCTCCTTTGAGTTAAAAATGCACCCAAGCTTACCCTCTGAAGAGAGCTTCAATTATTTTGTTTTTCATCTCCATTGCAGAAGGGCCTAGAGATCATCTAGTTCAGGTATGTCATTTTATAAATGAGTAGGCTGAGGTCTGAGCTTGTGCAGAGCTGGACAATGGGTGGCTACAGACCCAGCCGGGCCTGAAGGCTCCCGACACCCAGCCAGAGTCCCTCTTCTGCCACACCATCTCTAAAAAACAAGCAAAGCTCCAACTTCCAGGCTGAACTGGGGGTGAGTCCCCCTGCAGACTCCTAACAATCAGAACACTGATGCACTCAGTATTTAAAGTGAGAAGTAAAAAGGGCAAGGTTCCATTGGGAGCAATTTTTCAAAAAACACAATAGCAGAACATGTCATTTCAGTACAGTACAAGCACTGTTCACCCAGGCCAAAGACACCAGCCTCCTTAAGAGCCAGAGAGATATTCCAGTGCCTCCTACAGCTCCTTATCCCCCCACCCAGGTCCTCCTAACCAGTCACCCTTCCCACCCTAGTAAACACTGAGGACTCGGAAGTAACAAGTGACCAGGTTATTGTTTTCCAGCATTAACTTGATCTTACAACCCCCAAACTGTGATCAATAGACAATATGAGTATTCCCCATCTATGAGCATTTTCTAAATAATATCCTCAGCAGGTTTTGAATAGGAGCACTTATGTGGAAAACACAAAAGAAAAGGATAGCTAAGACGCTTCACACTGCATCATCGGCAGAGACGCTTTGATGTAATGGGTCACACTGGATTGGCTGGGTTCAGGCAAAGGGCTCAGCACTGAAGCCACGCTTGGAGGGGTCTAGGGAAGGATGACACAGTTCCTGCCCTCGAGGAGAGTACAGTTATCTTCAAGAAATAACAACTGCAAAAACAAACATTAAAGAAGGCATATAATTATGTGCTAAGTCCTGCCATGTGGACGGAGGGTTCTGCAGGAGTGCAGGTAATTGTAGCAGGAGAGCTGGGTGGGAAGTCAGATGTGCTGCCAGAAGGCGCTGCCACTCCTGGAGTCCGAAGGAGAAGTCAGGTTTGCAAAGGCAAGGGTGAGAGAGCAACTTCAGTGAGGGCCAGGAGTCATCTTCCCGGGCCAGAGAACAATCTGTCTTGGTGCAGTGGAGGTGCTATTTTGAGAAGCAATGGCAAGTAAATCTCTTAGACCGAGACTAGGTCACGGAAGATCTTGAGCACCCATCCAAACCCATGGGAAGCTGCCTGTAGCCCTTAGGGATTCCATCAGTTCCCTTCTGGGGCTTCCACTGGTTGTAAAGTCATTGTGGCATTCCTACAAGCAAAAAGCCTGGGAAAAGGGAGAACCCAGCCCAGGGTTCTGAGGGCAAGGTGGTGGGCTCAGTGGCCTTATAGAGGTCTGTAGCCACTAACTGGCACAATTAGCAGATGTGTGATGGAAGGTCCCAGCTGTGTGATGGAAGGACCCTGTCAAGCATTCACTGATCTGGTTAGGACCACTGGTTACTGAATTCAAATAAACATGCTGAGCTTCCGTGTGGAGATCAAAGATCTGCCCTTTCGTTCTTGCCTCACAGCCCTGTCAGTGGTTTGGAAAACATTTGCCTTGACCCATATCACAAGTCAGAAACCAAACTCTTTAAACCCATGAATCCCACTCGTAAGAATACACCTTAAGAAAAAAACACACGAGAAGAAAAGGTGATACACATAATATCTATGAAAGTATTACCTGTAATAACAAAATCTTAAAATCAACTAAATATCCAAAAGTAGAGGAATTGCTTAGAAAATTACCATTTATGATTTATCAAATGAATGGAATATTACCCAACATGTTTTAAATGCAGCCTTGAGAGAGATACAGAAATGTGGGAAAATATTTGGGATAATGGTAAGGAAACACAATCCTATTACAACTTCTACATAGACTATAATGACAACTAATTAAAATATGAATATTTATGTGAAAAGACTGGCAGAAGAACATAAAAATGAAAACACAAAGACTATGCAAGACATTTATTTTTATTTATTTCCTTTCTCATTGTTAGATTCTTTTCTTTTTGTCTAGGGTGAAAATGTTTGAATTCAAACAAATGAAAATTATAGATTTTTCTATTTTTTCCACAGTAGTTGGTTTCCCAGGACAATCCATCAAGGTCTGTCGATGGCCCAGCTGAAACCCACATGTTCACAATCCAAAGTGCACCCTATCTGACATCTCCTCTGAACACCGCAAAACTACACAGGATGTCCTCCCATCCCAAACCAGCTTCTGTGCCAGCATCCCCCACCTTTGGGAATGGGCCTGCCATGCTCCTGCTTTCTAACTGTCCTTATCCCTTCTCTTCCTTCACTCCCCACATCCAATCTGCCACCACAGCCAGCGACTGTCCCCCTCCAGACACCTGTAGCATCCCCCTCACTTCTTTTTTTCATTACCGAAGCCTCCCTAGCCCCAAATGTCATGACCCCTTTTTCCGGACTCCGACATCTGCCTTCTAACTCTTGTATATCCCTTGTCCAATTCATTCTTCCCAAGGTAGCCACAATTATCTTTCCAAAGGGAAAAAAATCTAATCATGTGACACAAACTCCAAGACCCCTCCTCCCCTTCCATGGCATCCCATGACTCTCAGGCCACAGTCAAAGCTCTTTGGCATGGCCTGCAAGCACCTGCATGGTCAGAACACTAGCATCCCTCATCCATCCACCACAGCCACCCTGATCCCTCAGGACCAAGGGCCTTTCCTCTGCAGCACTCACCCAAGTAGCACTTTGCACTTATGCCACTGTTTGTACAGGGACTGCATCTATCAGTAGACTGCAAGCTCAGGGAGGGCAGGGGTCGTAGCTCTCTGACTCCCCATTTCCATAATCCTCTCTCAGCGTATGGACACAGAACGGGCATTTGATGAGTATTTGTTAAATTAACGAGTGAGGTAAATGGTACTAAAAAATCTCTCTTTAGCCATTATGAAAGATAACTTATTTGATCCATTAAAAATACATATATACAGTTATGCATCACTTAACAACAGGGATATATTCAGGGAAATCTATGTGTTGTCAGGTCATTTTGTCATTGGGCAACACAGAGTGCACTTACACAAACCTAGATGGTAGAGCCAACTACACACCTAAGCTATGGCTATGTGGTATAGTCTATTGCCCCTAGGCTATGACCTGTACAGCATGTGACTATACTGAATACTGTAGTCAACTGTAATACAATGATAAGTATTTGTGATCTAGATATCTATAAGCACAGAAAAGGTACGGTAAAAATACAGTATAAAAGATTTAAAAAAAAGGTACACCTGTCTAGGGTATTTATGACAAATGGAGCTTGCAGGACTGGAAGCTGCTCTGGGTAAGTCAATGAGTGGTGAGTGGGTGTGAAGGCCTAGGCCATTACTGAACACTACCACGGACTTTATAAATATCACGCACTTAGGCTACACTAAATTGTTTTTTAAATTTTCTTTCTTCAATACTAAATTAACCTCAGCTACTGTAATTTTTTACTTTATAAACTTTTAAACTATTTTTTACTTTTCGACTGTTGTAATAACATAACTTAACACAAGCACATTGTACAATTATATGAAAATATTTTTATATTTATTCTATAAGCTCTTCCTGTTTTTAAAATTTTCATTTTTTACTTTTTAAATTTTCTGTTGAAAACTTCTTCCTATTTTTAAAATTTTCATTTTTTACTTTTTAAATTTTGTTGAAAACTTCTATTTTTAAAATTTTCATTTTTTACTTTTTAAATTTTCTGTTGAAAACTAAGACACAAATGCACACATTCGCCTAAGCCTAAGCATGATCAGAATCATTAATATCACTGTCTTCCACCCTCCACATCTCGTCCCACTGGAAGGTCTTTAGAGGCAATAACACGCTTGGAGCTGTCATCTCCTATGGTAACAATGTCTCCTTCTGGACACCTCCTGAAGTACCTGCCTCAGGCTATTTTACAGTTTTTTATAACTGCAGGAGCACACTCTAAAATAAGGACAAAAAGTATAGTATAGCAAATACATAAGCCAGTAACATCATTGTTTATGATGATTATCAACTATTATGTACTATACATTATCGAATGTGCTGAACTTTTATATGACTAGCAGTGCAGTAGGTTTGTTTACAACAGTGTGACCAAAAATACATGAATAATGTGTTGTGCTACGATGTCACCATGGTTACAATGTCACTAGGTGATAAAAATCTTTCAGTTCCACTATAATCTTAAGGGACCACCATCATATACATAATCCCTTGTTGGTCAAAACATTGTTATGTGGCACATGACTGTTACATATCTTTATGTGTACATGCGTGTGTTCCTTACATAAAATGATCATTGAAAATGGCCCCTCAGAAATAGTTTCCCCAGCCAGGTGACCTGGATACAAGGGAACTCCTCTATTCCACTCCTTAAATCTCAACCCCTCTTCCCTTTCCCATTTACCTAGTCTCAACTGAGAGGTGGGCAGTGCTGGCTGAGATGGAAAGACCAGAAATACTGCATGAATTGGAGAAGGTGGAGGGAGTTCACTTGCTATTCCCTCATCACTCATGAGGTCCCTGGCGGCTTTGTCTTGTCTTTAATTCCAGAGCCTGAAGCCCAAAGATAACAGGTTCTTAAAACGTGATTTTGCACCTTCTACTGAAATACAGCTGAGTCTTACATCAGTCCTGTGGACCGCAGGCACAACACTCACAAGCAGGAGACAGGACAGAACTGGTGGCTAAGAACAGGCGATCCAGGACAAGACGGCCTGACTGTGACTCTCAGCTCTCCCACTTCCTACCCATATGATCTTGGCTTAGTCACTCAACCTCTTCATGCCTCTGTGTCCTCATCTGTAAGAATTTCTTCATTTTAAGTTTCCTCATTTGTACTTACTTCATGGGGTGTTTTGAGAATTAAATACAAAAAGCACTCAGAACAGTGTCCAGTACATAACAAACTCTATATAACAGTTAGGCTGGTATTATCACCTGTGTGAACTTTACTTTCCAACAGGTCTGTTTCAGGAACGGCAAATAAACATTAGTCACCTCCCCTCCACGACCATGCCCATGGCAGACATCACTAATCAAACACAGCATACTTTCTTGATCCCTGAATGTGCCCACAGAATCTTTTCTCAACACAGTACCCATAGAGTCTCATCGCTTAGAGGCATCATGTGTGATGAAATCATTTTGCCATTGCTGGTTTAAATGGATAAAACAAAGATGGCACAGGGGAAGAAGTCATTTTCCTTCTCATTTCTACACTGTGATAACAAACCTCTGAAAATCCCCCACACTATATATTGCTCTAGGGATAAAAGAATAAGGGGAAATCTGAGAGCTACTTTCCACTCCACAATGGGAAAATAGCAAGTTCTTTACAACCAAGAAATGACCCCAGCTCTATTCCTAGAAACCAAGGTGGAGTTTTTAAAGACATTTTCTCATTGAAATTCTGCTAAGGCAAGTATTTGGGGGCCAAAGAACCAAAGATCCTTTAAACCCTTCGTATAGGTTCAGTAAGATATGGGGGAAGGGTGGGCTAACCTGGGAACCTAACCCACCATTTACAAATTTGTTTCAAAATCAATGGCATGTTTCACCACAGAAACAAATTTATTAAACAGAAAAGCCATTCATTAATTGAGCCCTAACTATTGATTACCAGTAGAGTGTCAAATGGAGACACAAGAGTCTCCAACAGGGACATCTGTTACCCAGCCATAGCAGAGTGGGTGCCTCCCAACTGGTGGGTTGGGCACATGCCCCAGCCCCTTCTCTGCTACAAGGGGCACATGCCAAAGCCACATGCTCTGGGAGGACAACCTCTGCTGATGGCAGTGACGTGTCCTCCACCAAGAAGATATGAGGACAAGAAACAGATTTTCATTCATCTTGAGAGCGCAGTGCTTGCAGAGTAGCAGTTAATTAGACCAAGACTGGGTCAAAGTCAACTTCTGGATGTTGAAGGGGATCGGGGGGACATGTTCAAAAGCTTAAGAAGATGATACTGACATTGCTTTTTATTTTGTTTTGTGAATGTCTCATGCACTTCAAATTGTATGACTTTCTTCCTTGAAAAGGGCACAGTAAAACTGCTTGGTAACACATCTACAATAATGCAAAATCAGGCATAAACCAATCAGGGATGAGCTCCCTGTCCTGTGCTCAACTGGGAACACCTAAAATTCGTATCCTCTGGGTAAGGAGGGTGGGGAAAGCAGTGGGGACTGGGTGACCAGGGGACACCACCTAACTGGAGATTCCAGGAACAGCAGCTGCCATCTTGGGAGTCCTGGTTAGCCACTAGACACAAAATCATCTCAGGACTGGAAGAGTCTTGGATCAGACTAAACTCTCAGAACTGCCGGTCATCAAGAAGTACAATCTCATCGGGTCATGTTATTAACCCCATGCCAACCCAACCCATACCGCATGCTCCTGAGGGATCTGGACTGACGTATCAAGTGTTTCTACTGACTAATCCAGCTGCTACTACACTGAGCAGCAGAGAGGAGGGTCACGGTGGGGCTGGAGTAAAGTGCATTTATCTCAGTAATATGGTAAAAATCTGTCAACACCCCAACAAAATATGGTCTCACAGTCCCTCTTCTTATCTGTTTCTTTGTGGCTCCTTCTCCAGGTCACAAAGTCATGGTGGTTCAGGGTACAAGTCAGTCAGGAAGTAAGTAAGGTTCCTATGTGGCCCACAAGCCCTGGCCTCAGACTAGCCACTCCCATCTCTGCAGCGGGCCCCTCAAGGACACTGACTGAGCGTTCTGGGCCCTGATCCTGCCCAGGTCCTCTCCGCAGATGCTAAGGATGAGGTGGCTGTCACTCAAATCTGGGGCAGGGGCTCTGAGAGAGGATGGAGTCACGCCTCTAGTCATACATGCCCAGGGGCACTGAGGTTCTGGTTGTGTTTGTCCCTCACAGCTCCTACAATGTGCGATATGGTGTTTTAAGGTGCAAGTTAACCAAGAGTGGGTTTTGCCCCCAATAGCAGCATGTTCTATATGTCAGGAGAGGCTACGTGGGGACAAACATGGTGCTGGGTGAGTCACTGGGAGGGGCTTCTCCCCTCCCTGCTGACCACTACGCCCACTCATCCTGTGTCCCAGGAATTCCCAGTGCTCCTCCCTGACCTGGAAGGCAAGCGACAACCAGCAGCTGGGACCCGTGATGAGGAGCAGCAAGGCAGGGAGTCCCCCAGGAAGGCCATGGTGGGAATAAGGCAAATGTCCCCAGCTGCTGTGGGTACCCAGAAGGTGAGATTTACTCTCAAAGCTGGAGGTGAAGGGGAAGGCAGCTCACTGCTCTCCCCCATGGTGACCAGGGACCATATGCAAGTGGGGGCTGCCCCCAAAACAAAAGGTATGTGATGGAAAAACAGAGGACAATTGGACAACAGTGAAAAATCACAGCACGAAAAACAAATCAGGTGTCATTCAGGATTTTATCCTCTTGCTCTGACCACGGCCTCCCCGCAGTCAACCCCGCCCTCCACGACCATCTGGCCCGCTCCCTTTGCTCCAGACGCAGCAGAACGGAGATACACCTCCCGGCTGGTAATGGAGCCGATGCCCAGCTCAGGCAACCCCCATACCTCCCCAGGCAACCCCCATACCTCCCAGCTCTTTCTGCAGAAGAACAAGCCTGAGCTTCAAGAGGTCACAATAGGATGGGCAGAACAGGCCAGGCTGAAAGCCCAGCCAGCACAGTAACCCACCTTGGTGAGGCATAAGCTGGTACCTAGAGGCGGGTCCTTTGGCTCATGTTCACTCCCTGGCAAGGATGTTCTCCACATTGATAAGTGCCAGGAGTTAGTGTTGTGGGGCAAAGATAAATTTCACAGATCCTACACTCAAGGACTCCATTTCATCAACCAGTTATTAAGAAAAATCCTAAGAGAGGATTTTTAGCCCAAAGAGTGAGGAAATAAGGATGAGGACACATTTTTAATAGAATAAAGCATTATGCAAATAGAGGGCATTCTTCCTTCTCATGATTTGCCTGCTGCATTTCCTGAAGTCTGCTCAGTGCACAAGCCCACTAGTGTGACTACAAGCCTAGGATGGCAAAGCTGAATGGAGATGCCCCAACCACAAGCCCTTTTTATTCATTAAAAAAAAACTGGCGGGCAGATCACGAGGTCAAGAGAGCGACGCCATCCTGGCCAACATGGTGAAACGCCATCTCTACTAAAAATACAAAAATTAGCAGGGCACGGTGGCGCGCATTTGTAGTCCCAGCTACTCAGGAGGCTGAGGCAGGAGAATCACTTGAACCCGGGAGGTGCAGGTTGCAGTGGGCCAAGATCGCACCACTGCAGTCCAGCCTGGCAACAGAGTGAGAATGCGTCTCAAAAAACAAACAAACAAACAAAAAACCCAGCCTAGAGTGAGCCTACCGGCCTAGGGTGAGCCTACCATGCCCCCTATTCCCTGAGACTGCAGACTGTCTGGGGAGTGAAGAAAGGTGATCAGAGGGATCCCCCATTAGAGTGCAAGAGGAACCCAGCGGCCCTAGAAGACA
Organism: Homo sapiens; assembly: GCF_000001405.40. Taxonomy (NCBI): domain Eukaryota; kingdom Metazoa; phylum Chordata; class Mammalia; order Primates; family Hominidae; genus Homo; species Homo sapiens. Next base: position 10,199,167 of record NC_000008.11, on the reverse strand, counting down.
GCATGGAAACCATTTCTCCAGGCTCCCAAAGCAGGCATCCATGATTCTGCAAAAGACAGAGGTTGCATCACCAAAGACAAAGGGAGGAATGATGGGAACTGATATTATGCAGATAAATTGTTAATTATATAAATACACAATAGATGCTCAGTCTCAAAAGAGAGACTAGCTTTGATTCGTGCAAATGGCAAACTTGCGAAAACAATGCCGAGCACTGACCAGGCTTCAGTGAGACAAGCTTTCTCCTACACTGCTCATGGCACATGAAACGCTACAATCTAATTGGAAAGCAGTCTGACAATAGGTACCAAGAATGCCAAAAGCCAACCTGGGCAACATAGCGAGACTCCCATTGCTACAAAAAATAAATAAATAAGTTAGCCAGGCATGGTGGTGTGCACCTGTGGTCCCAGCTACTAGGGAGGCTGAGCCAGGAGAAACATTTGAGCCCAGTAGTTAGAAGCTGCATTGAGCTATGACTGTCCCATTGCACTCCAGCCTGGGTGACAGAGGAGACCCTGCCACAACTACCACAACCAACCAAGAATGTCAAAAGCATTTCCACCCTTCGACCTAGTCACTGCAATTATAAATAGCTACTGTAGGAGATAATCAGAATTGAGACAAAGAATTCCAGAGATGTTTACAACAGAACTGTTTAAAATACAGAAAAACTGTAAATAAGCTGAATGACCCCACACATGGAGAATAAATTTGTGACACAGTTCTAAGATACAGTATTATATGGTAACTTTTAAAGTATGACCATGAGTACTTTTTTCCTGGCATCAGGAAATAATAATAATATATATGGAGTTGAGTGGGGAAAAAGTAAGAACAACAAAAAAAAAAATAATAAAGTATCCTCCTCAAGTAAAGAACAAAGTCAAGGAAAATAACAAGAAGGAAGCATGGTGATGCTGTAGTCGTGGCTGATTTATATGCTGATTTATGGGTGATTTTGCTTCCTTCTTTATACTTTTATTTATTCCCAAATTTTTCTTAAGCAAATATTTCTTTGCTAATCAATAAATTATCAAAAGAAAAAAAAACTGAAAGCAACGCTTGAAAAAAGGAAAGTTAGCCCCTATCGGGTATATTTTGGAAGTTGTAAAATACTACGTGTTCTCTTCTAAGTCCCACTCCTCTGTTTTCTTTGAGCAGGAAAGAGAAAGCAGTCACCCTCTCTTCCATGACAACAACCCATGACCGGCTGCTTGCCTGCTCCATCACAGGAAGGTGCAGCAGAGCCCTTTTCTTCCCAGGGTTGTGGGCACCTTGAACTATCCTGGCTTGCTAGCTAAGAAACTGCCCCAAGTGACGCACACTCAAGCTGTTCGGGGACTTCCAGAATAAACCAAACCAGCTGTATTACTGGTCTTTGACATCCTCTCTGGTCAGGGCCAAGTCACTGTCCCTGTCTTGGAGAGGGCTTCTGAGCAAGCTTATCAACTCCCAGGTGGGCATGTGTAGGCAGGGCGGATGGACGTTGGCAGAGAGACCTGGGAACCCATATCTGCCCCACCAAGGCCTGGGGATCTGCATTTCAGCCAAACCCCATCACAGTTAGAATGTGGCTCCTGAACACTGGTATTTGCACAGTGCTTACTGGTGGTGATACAGACGGAAAGACAACCCTGGCCCTCTCTCCAGCCTTCACCAGCCCGCAATGCCCGACCCACTTCTTAGGGTTGCTGATCAGACACGTCAACACATGCCTCTGTGTTGACAGCACTGCCTGCAGCTCTCCAAGCATCCTGCATCTCCGGCAAGCACCAGACTAGCCTGAGTTCCCAACACAAGCACTCCATCATCATTAATTCCATTTTTAGAAGAAATCCATTTTCACCTTTGTAATACTTTTATTAATTGCCACATTTAAGTACCATGTCTAACTTAGGCGTCTGTGATAAGCATATAATATTACATTAATTGATGGAAATTTTCCACCTGACTTTTATGAAATCTCACCACCACTATTAACACAAGTAATTCCTAATGACTACCAAAATTAGATAATCTTGAGAATATAAATGACAATGAAAATAAGGTTATTTTAAGGATTAAAATCTGTATTTCAGCCTGATGCCTGTGACACCCTTGTGAATAACAACGTTGAAAGTAGGTGTACTGAAACACATGGCTATAGACCAAAAGGAATTTGTTTTATACTAAGACATGTGTTTCCTATTGAGTCTAAAACATATTTTACATTTTGAAGATGAATGTTAAACATATCTATAAAGAGTCATATACAAATCATACTTATTATTCTTGTTTATAAAGGTACTGTCCTGGCCAGGTACAGTGGCTCATGCCTGTAATCCCAGCACTTTGGGAGGCCGAGGTGGACGGATTACTTGAGGTCAGGAGATCGAGACCAGCCTGGCCAACATGGTGAAACCCCATTTCTACTAAAAATTAAAAAAAAAAATTAAAAATAAAAAAAAATTAGCCGGGCATGGTGGTGCATCCCTGTAATTCCAGCTACTCGGGAGGGTGAGGCAGGAAAATGGCTTAAAGCCAGGAGGCAGAGGTTGCGATGAGTCGAGATTGCACCACTGCACTCCAGCCTGGGTGACAGAGCGATAATCTGTCTCAAAAAATAAAAATAAATAAATACATTTTTTAGAAAAGGTACTGTCCTTCAAAGACGTGTAGGGGCCTCGCTTCCTGACCCACAGAAGCAGCAAAGTTATTTCCTTCCTCCCCAGCATCTGTCCATGCTGGTTTTGCCACATTAAAATCTCAGTGTTGTACAGAGTCCCCAGGTATTGTGGATGTAATTAAGGCATAAGGCCCACCGAGGAACTTGCTCATCCTATCACCCAAGTCATACTGTCACTCTGGAGCCCAACGTGTGCCTCCAAAACATCATTAAATGTTTCTACAAGCAGTTCTACACCACAGCACGAAGAGAAGGTGGCACACGTTTCTAGAGAAGCTCCACAGTATACAGCACATCTCTCTTCCTTGTGAACATGTCAGCGGCCTTAAGCATGTACCACACTGTCCCTTGAAGGCACATCGTATGCCTGGAGGTTGCAAGGGGCACTGTCAGCTGTCAGAGAGCAGCTGAGCGGGGAGTGGTCCAGTGGCTCCCCCACCCCGCACCCTCTCCTCTCTGACAGTGATAAATGATCGGAGGTAATGGTCAGCTGAGCCTGATGGGCCCACACCTCCCCTTCCAATCTGTTCCAGACCAACACCAACCTTTCACCCTTGAACACTGCTGTCAGCTTTACAAAGCAGGCCTGCTGCAGGGTAAGGTCAGGGCTATTGGCTTTCTGGCTGCTATTCGTTCGTGAAAACGAATTCTGGCTTTATTTCTTGATGGAAGCTCCCCATCAAAAATGGAGCATGAACTGTGTCATTATAAACTTTACAGCAAACTTGTCTTGATTCTCTTTTTACATGAGAGATGAAGGAGATAGCTAAATATGTGACTTTAAGAAGAAAAGAGGAATCATTGTAGATATAAACATAGATATCAGTTTTGCTCAGGCCAGCTGGCCTCCATTAAAAACACAAGGCTTCCAATTTATTCAATTATTGTCTCTTGCTGAGGTTCAGAAGACAAAGAAGATTCTACAGGAAATAATATAGTGATAAAGAGATAGAAAATTAGGCCAGGCACGGTGGCTCACACCTGTAATCCTAGCACTTGGGGAGGCCAAGGTAGGCAAATTGCCTGAGCTGAGGAATTCAAGACCACCCTGGGCAACATGGGGAACCCCCATCTCTGCTAAAATACAAAAAATTAGCCTGGCGTGGTGGCATGTGCCTGTAGTCCCAGCTACTCAGAAGGCTGAGGCAGAAGAATTGTCTGAACCCGGGAGGCAGAGATTGCAATGAGCCGAGATTGTGCCACTGCACTGAAGCCTGGGCGACAGAGTGAGACTCAAAAAACAAACAAACAAAAAAGATAGGAAATTAACATGGAACATTAACAAGGTTCATCCCAGTTGAGCTTCCATAGCACAGGCTTTGCTCACGGACAAAGACAGTCATCACAAGATTGCTTGTAAAAATACTGGTCCTAACAGTTTGCATAAAATAATCCATGCTATGCAATAATCAGCATTGTTATAAAGAATAGGGTAACTATAGTTACAGATATGAAACTATCTACCAGATACACAGTTAATTGAGGGAAAAATCAAAGTGCAGGAGAATAGTACTGCATTCTATAATTTGTTTTTAAAAACTCTTGTTACTTTTGAACTTCTGTGTGATGTATTACTTTTTCAGAAACGGAAATAAAAAATATTTTAAACATCTCCAGTCTTTGCTCCCCCAGTGAACACCTGGAAGCCCAGGAGTCTCTTCCCAGGGCTGAGGGCCAGGCTGGGATGTAGGAGTGGCTGGCAGCTGCAGGTAAGCAGCCCCTGAGCTCTGATCAGCCTCATGCTTAAACTGCATCCAGTCCCAGGACAAATGTCAAAGATGATCCCATTTGTATCATATGGTAGAAAAACTGCAACCCAGCTTTAAAATTCCAAGTAAGTACCCTAGAAGGCCTCAAGATAGAGCTATCACTTCATTTCCTCTACAAAATTGGGCTGCAGTCCCCAGAGTAATATGTTAATTGTTTTTTGGTTTTTTTCCTCACTCTGTGGAAATGAGGAGGCAGAAGTGCATTAGCATGATCTTGGCTCACCGCAACCTCTGCCTCCCAGGTTCAAGCCATTTTCCTGCCTCAGCCTCCCAAGTAGCTGGGATTACAGGTGGCTGCCACCACACCTGGCTAGTTTTTGTACTTTTAGTAGAGACAGGTTTCACCATGTTGAACAGGCTGGCCTCAAACTCCTGACCTCAAGTGATCCACCTGTCTCGGCTTCCCAAAGTGCTGGGATTACAGGCAGGAGCCATGGAGGCTAGCCTTAATTATCTTCTTTTTAAGGGGGGGAAGGATTTTAAGAGGATCAAGCATGCAAAATTTTGGATAGAAATAAAAGATTATTCAAAAATGAAGTATTTGTGGGTTCACCCCTTTTTTACTTTGGAGGAGAGAGGGGGAGAGTGAGACTCGTACAGCAGCAAGTATTTTGCCTTTCTGGAACTTGGTGCTGTTTGAATTATTGCTCCATCCCTCTTCCCTCTCATCCTTTCTGTTACTCTCTCTCTTGCAATTTTTCTTCCATAACAGAAGAGTATCTTAAAATCTATTTTATATGTTCACATTCTGAATTCTAAAAGCTGTTGGAATGTTATATATTTCCCTTAAATTATCAAGTTTTTACTATGAAGCTCTCAATTGATTTTCAATAAGTGGGTAGATTTTTTTTAAAAAATCCTGCCCTTACTAGAGATACAGCACATGTAAATCAGCTACTCTAACATTTTCTTCTAAGGACCTGTCATTCTGAGATAGCAGACTTGGTCCCATGGCTAATTAAGGGAAGTTGGATAACCCAGCGCATATTCATATTAAGAAACATAATGAACAAAATCTTCCACTTTGGTTCTACACACGACACAGACAGGCGCTTGGTGGTGCTTTTTTACACTTGCCTTTCTATGAAAGATGGAGGCGAAATAGAACATCTTAACTCAGGGAAGTCAGTGGAGATGGTAGTGGCTCTTTAAACACACTGCTGGGTGCCTGACTTCACTAACAGATGGAGATTAGGGATAGCAGCACCGTCTGCTTGGTTATCGTCCCTGAATACATGCTCAATAAAAACTTGCACATTCTAGCAATGGACACTTCTTTGATGGATTCTGTAATGACTGAATGGAGCTTTGCTGAATAAAATTACCGCAGTGTCTGAAAATATCAAACACAGGGGAGACAGAGGAGGCGGCCTCACACTGAACCCACTCTGGAGCCTGCGCAGTGTCTCTCTCAGCGGGAAGGCCATAGGCCTCCATAAAGCCATGCGCTGAATGGGGTCTAAGGCAGGCCCAAAATGTTTCTCATGTGCTAATTCTGATCAGATGTTTTTGGAAGCACCTGAATAAGACCCTAGAATTCTAGAAATGTAGAAGACGAGTGTGACTTGGCATACCTCAGCTATAAGAAGACTTCAGCATAGGCCTTGCAGTAAATCTGATTTCGAGGAGAATTATGTCTTGATAGGTCTGCCAGGATATTAGTGCCAAGACTAAATTATAGTAATCTCTATTTTCTGTCACTTTTTCTTCCCAAAAGGCTTATAGCTCAAAATGTAAACTATTGTTGAGAAGGTTTCTGGGGAGAACATAATATAATATGGGCAAACCCCCAATTTAAAAATGAGTCACATTTCAAAAGCATGTTTATGAAATGGGTGTCTGAGATTTAGAAACCATTTTCCATGAACATGCTGTTATAAACGGTGGTAAACTTGCCCAGAAGGGCCTCCTCAGCCCATAATGAGTCTCATATATAATTCTTTCCAAGGACCCTGAGCACCATTTACAGAATACTGTTTCAGTGAGAAAAGCATTCTAATTTCTACCCTATAACATCAAGAACATACCCTTACATACTGGTCAAGCTGGTTGCAAGCTAGGATAGGGGAAAAGAATACATTTCCCATCCTTGCTTAAGCCTTTCAGCTACTAACTATAGACAGAAATCTCCACATTGTGCTACTCATCACTGAGGAATGAGTTTTCTTCCCATGGAGAGGAGGAACTCCCTTGTTGCACAACAACCACTGTTCAATTGCAAGGTACACTTTAAGTTAAGTGGTCTAATTTCTTATTAGAATAGGAAGCTGGGTGTTTCTGGCTCAGGGTGTCCCACAAACATGCAATCAAGGTGTCAGCTGGGCTGCGGTCTCATCTGAAGGCTTGGTAGGGGGAGGATCCACTCTACCGCTCACTGGTTGGAAAGGCTCAGTGAACTTGAGAGCAGATCCTCCCCTGGTTCTAAAGGTATAGCCACAAATTCTGATACTCTTCTGTCAAGAAGTGGAGCTTAATCCCTTTCCTTTGAGTGTAGGCCGAACTTAGTGATTCACTGCTACTAAACAGAACACAACAGGAGTGATGGGGGTTTGATTCCGTGAGTGGATGATAGACTATGACTTCCATCTTGGGTGCTCTCTTGTTCTCCTTAGATGGCTTGCTGTGGGGGAAACCAGCTGCTATATCGTAAGGCAGCCCTATGAAGAGGCCCATGTGGCAGGAAACGGAGGCTTGCCAACAGCCCTGTGAATGAGCCCCAGAAAACACAATGCAGCTGACACCTTGACTGCAGCCTCGTGAGGAACACTGATCCAGGGGCACCCAGCTAAGCCATGCCCACAATCGTGACCTAAGAAAACTATGGGATAGTAAATGAGTGTTGTTTTAAACTGCTAAGTTTTAGAATAATTGATTATACAGTGATAGAAAATTAATACAGTAATGTGTTCTAATAAAAGAAAAATAATGCAATTTTTTTCCAAAGGAAAACTAATGACATAAGCCAAAAAAAAAAACATCTTTATAATGCCAATTTCCACAGGAACAATATATTTCCAGTCTAACTGATTTACAAATCGACCCCTAGAACATGACCCATTTCTAAGTTGGAGACTATCTCTATGTGGTTTATTTTCTCCACAAACTTTGTTCCCTCGTGTGCTGGCATTGCTAAAACAGGCATTTCTGAACCACTAAAGTCTAGGAATAGAGTGTAAGATATCAAAGTAGGGCTTTTAGCACTTTTGTAATAATTCTGGCAATTTTTATTCATTTGCATTATCCAGGGGATTGCTACTTGCTTTTCCTGCTGTTTTGTTTGGGGAAGTTATACCTCTGCCTCATAGGGCTTACAAAAACAATGAAGAAAAATGTTTTTCCAAAATTCCCAGGGAGGCTAAATTTAAGTTAATGCCAAAGGCCTAACTGCAATGGGGAGAATATTCTGTATTTCGGTGGGGTTTTGTTTTGTTGATCAGTTGGTTAGGTGAGTCTGGGGTCTCTTTTCTCTGACTAGACAGAAGTAAAAAGATGGTGGGGTTATTCCTATTCATAATGATGTCTATAGTAAAATATGTTTTTTCCCTTTTGCTATAAAAATAAAATAAAATCTAAACATTAAAATTGTTGCTGCTATTAAGCTAGGTGATTTATTAGCCTAGATACTTCATCCATAAGCAGCTTAAGGTTATAGGACCTCTAGTCTAAGCAGCAGAAGAATGGGACGCTATGCTTATAGTGTCTCATAAAATCCTCAACATCTCTGCTCACGGTCATGAGACACCAGAAAACTAATGCTGAAGCTGATCGACCAGTCATGGCCCTAGTTTACTGACTCCTGAACTTAGTCTCACTACACTCTGGTCTCCCTCTTCCTCATTTTAGATTTTAGTTAAGTCCCTGGCAAAAACACGTAAGGACGGGATGAGTAAAGAAAGGAGGAAAAAATACCAGTTGAACACATAGCAATGTCTCCTACCCTTCTTGAAAATGACAAAAACCATAGGTCACAGAAGTCTCAACTCAGATACTGCTTACAAGAAATTTTTGGATAACCATTCAGGAGACACAAACCACACAGTAGGTTAATGGAAAGTCTAATATAAAGAATACTACAATAAAATAGTAACTACGTGATCTAAACTCTCTCTGGCAAACACGGACTGACAGAAAGTGCCCAAGGAAGACAGACATGAAAGGACTCAGATGTCTTGGAGAAGGTGTGCTTCAGCCACCAGACGGCTGAGAAGTTTGCGGGCTTGGCCAGGCCAGAGCTGATCTGGAGACACCAGACAGGCAACATCACCCTCTGGATTGCAGATTGTCAGGAACTAGCAGCATGACGTGCTGGGGGTGTCCAGGCACTGACGGGGGCAGGAGGCCTTGGAATCATCTGCGGGGATGCTGGGCACTGCCACGGACAGAAGCGGCACAGGCAGGGGCGGCCCAGGGGCTCTGGTGCCCTGTGGGGAGGGCTGCAGAAACATTACCACCAGGCTGAGGGTTTGAGGTCGCAGAGACTGAGTTCTGGGGCCATGACTGGGGCAGGCTCAACGGAAGGTCCTCATGCCCACAAAAGAAATGGCAAGAGAGACTTCCTCCAGCAATGACCCCCCTCCCCCAAAGCGCCCTCTACTGACAATGCTTAATGTCGTGCTCACATTAAACAAGAAACACCAAGGACATTCCTTGGCTTATCACAGAGCTTACACAGAAAGATGTATTTGGAGCTAAGAGGCAACAAATTAATAACAGACACACTTCAAAAGATACAAATCACCAAAAAATAACACGAGAAATAGAAAATCTGAAATAGAAAACTCCATGCTCCCAGATTTTCACTGAGAAACTCTAGATACATTCAAGCAAGAGATAATATCAATCCTATGTAAACGCCTTGAAAAAAGAGGAAGGGGGAACCTTTCCCAGCTCATTTCATAAGACCCACATTACTCTGATGCCAAAACCAGACAAAGACACAAGAAAACTAGAGACAGATCCCCTTTATGAACACAGAATTTAAAATTCTTTAATAATACTGAATTCAGGAATATATAAAAAGTATAACAATCATGGCCAAGTGGGATTCATCCAAGGAATTCAAAGTTGTTTTAACAATGAAAAAATTCAATTAATGTCATTTACCATATTAACTGGCTAAAAAAGAAAAAAAATCTGATCAACTCAATAAATGCTACAAAAAAGCATTTGATACAATTCAATACCTACCTGTGTTTAAAAAACTTTTTTTAGTCAACAAGGGAGATAAGCTAATAAAAAAAATCTACTAAAAAGCTACAGCTGCATCATACTTTATGGTAACAGACCGAACGTTCTCAGCCTTAAATTAGGAATGAAGCTAGGGTTTACACTCACTCTACTTCTATTTGACATTGTAGTGAGGTCCTAGTCAGTTCAAAAAAGGCAAGAAAAAGAAATAAAAATCGTACAAAAATGAAAGAAGGAAAATACTTTATACGCAGACAACATGATTGTGTAAGTAAAAAATCCTAAGGAAAAAAGCTATTTGTACTAAAAAGTTTACCAAGCTCACCAAATGTAGGTCAGTATGCAAAAATAAACTATAATTTTACATAGTAGCAACAAATGAAATGTTAATTTCTTTTTAAAAGAAGTACTTTACATAATAACAACATATAACATGAAATACTAGGGAGATTTTTAATAAAATGTCAGTAAGGTCTGTACCCTGAAAACTATAAAACACTGTTGAGAGAAATTAAAGCATATAGAAATCAATGGAAAGATACATCATGTTCATAAACTGAAAGACTCTGTAAGATGTCAATTATCTTCCAAATTAATCTGTAGTTCAGCACAAAGCTGATGGAAACCTCAGAAAGGTTTTTGTAGACATTGATGAATTGACTCTAAAGTTTAAGTGAAAAATTAAAATACCTAAAATAGCAAAAACAATTTGGAACTATCAGTTGGAATACTTCCACTACCTGATTTCAGGACTTACTGTAAGGTTACAGTAATCAAGACAGTGTGGTAATGGCATAAGTTCTACAAATGAGTGGAACAGAATAGAGAAGACAGGATTTAATTGTGACAAGGGTGCTGAGATAATTCAATCAGGAAAGGACAGTCTTTTCAGCAAATGGTGCTGGAACAACTGTATATCTAAATGGGACAAAATAAACCCCAACTCTTACGTCAAACCTTATACGACAATTAACTTTAAATGGATCGTAGCTATAAATGTGAAAGTGCTCACAACCTGAATACAGTTCCCCATTCTTTTTCTTTCATTCACTCGAAATCCGTAATTGTGGAAATCAACTGAAAACTAAATACTTTCTCAAAATCCACCTCTGTTTTTGTTGCTATTTTGACATCCTAACGAAACAGTCTGAACACAACCTTATGAGAGGAATGTGACTGTTAAACGATAACATGAGGAAGTTTCTTTGGAGTGATGAACAGTTCTATAGATCTGTGTTACACAAATCCACAAATGTGATATAATTTCATAGAACTTACACCAAAAAAAGTGCACACAATAACTGGTGAAATCCAAATAAGATCTGTATTTAAAAGTATTACACCAATGTGCATTTCCTGGCTTTGACAACACACTGATTATGTAAGATATTAACATTGGGGGAAGCTGGTGTAAAGGCACATTGGAACTATGTACGATTTTTGCAGCTTCTCTTCAGTCTTCAACTATTTCAAAAGAAGTATTTTTTTTAATCTTGTGAGAAATCCTCAACATGTAAATATTCCCTAATTGTTTAAAAGGTGAACTTACAAATACTCAAAGTCTGTAAAGCAAATTGAAAAGATTTTCCTTCCCACAGCATAATGTTCAAAGTTCTGAGGCAGGAACCTGTTCATTAAATTAAATCCCATGAATTTATAGTCTACATGTATAATGACTGTAAGATCAAATAATTGATAGTTCTTTCTGTTATACAACAGAACTACTATAGAACTACCTCTGAAGACAGAAATATCCAGAGTACAATTCCTTGCTGGCAGGTAACATGATGTTTATCAAATACACTTAAAGGACCTTCTAGGATTAATTTAAAAACAATAATAGCAAATAACTATTGCCTGCCGGTAACGCTTAGTGTAATCAAAACACTATGGGAAGAAATACAAACCAGGAAGTCATGCCTTGTCATTACAGTGGATAGCCCACCTATTTATTTCTCAGATTTCCAGGCCTCAGTTTGTTGAGAAATGTATTAAGTCAATGTTGCCTTGGGCTGTGGAACGATTTTTGAAAGGGTGGTTGTGTAAGTCAGGCACCTGCACAGTACTCTAGCTGCTGCAGTCCTAGTAAGCTTCCTAACATACAACATGCGGCAGAAGCTGGTGGTGGAAGGTAGCTTGGGTACCGGTGTAAATCAAGTTCCTCATTAAATCTCCATTTCCTTTCCTGTGCTTCTTTCCAAATTCCACAAATAGTGGAATACAAAAATTTTTACTCCAGGACACATCCAAGAATGAGTAAAAAGGAAACCCTTCAAGACACTCCAGGTATCACCGGCCAAGTTTCAAGCCATGCTCAGTCACTGTGGATCATGTGGAGACCAAATGTCAAAGGGGGCTCAATCAGCGGCTGGTCGTACCATTTCCCGAAGTTCTCACACTGAGGAAAGATTCTAAAACAATCCTCTGTAGCATGCTGCCAGGTACCCATGTCTTTAAAATCTAGTTGAGATGAAAAGTATAGCTCCAGTTAAGCTCAAAGTAAGTCCCAATTGAAAGAAACACTTCATGAAATTGTACAGAAACAAAGGCAACCCTCTGCCAACACTAAAAAGCATGAATTTACAAGATCAACAATCGGAATGACTGATGACAGCTCACACAAAAAGATCTAAGGCTGGTATTTTTACAAAAACCAAAGCAAGATCTTTTTCTCCATACAGAGCTCAAAGACAAATGACATATAGGTTTTAAATCTAACATTTCCACTGAAAAAAACAATAGCAGCACGGCAGGACTAACGTTATGTTAGGCAGAGGCAGCTATCTGCTTGGTGTGACCTCTCCCCGCCCCACCCATCACAGCCACTACTACCCCAAATCCCTTTAGGAGGCAACAAAGCCTTTCACCTGCAGTTAAAGGTTTAAATTGTATGCGCTTTCAGGAGAACTAACACAGTGATGATTTTACCCAAAGGTAAAGGATTACTACTCAATTAGTTATAGAACAGGGGATTGGCAAAACCATGGCCAGCTACCCATATCCAGCCTGCCTCCTGTTTTTGTACAGCCTATGAGCTAAGAGTGGTTTTCATATATTTTAATGGCTGAACAACCATTAGAAGTACTTCATGACACATGCAAATTCTAAGAGATTCAAATTTGAGTGTCATTAAATAAAATTTAATGGGAACACAGCCACACTCATTCATTTATATACTGTCCATGGCTGCCTTCACTCTACAATGGCAGAGTGCAGTCATCGTGACAGGAACCGTATGGCCTGCAAAGCCTAAAATATTTACCATCTGGCCCTTTATAGAAAATGTTTGCCAGCCCCTGTCCTAGAACAGGGATGAGAAGAGGATGGCAAAGTGAGGTTACAAGGAAGCACCTCTTTCAGTGAAGAGGTGAATACATGATAGGAAAAGGGCCACGTGAGGAAAGGCCAGGAGCACAGAAGGCCAACCTGGCTCACCTTGCCACTGTGTCCTGGTCCAACACGGTAAGGATCAGTAAGAGGCACGCTGTTCCGATACGTATGCAGTATTGTGTGGAAAGTGCCATGGTCAGGGGACAAAGGAACTGAGTGTGCAGCTCCCATGGGTTCCACTCCCCCCAACCCAGAACTCCTCCTTTGCACAGGTCAATAACCCCTCTGAGTTGTGCTTTCCTTCTCTGAAAAAAAAAATGAATGGAAATTACCCCTATCTTATGGAGCTGTTGTGAGAATCATAAGGGGTGATTCACACGAAAGCACTTGGTCCTGGCATTAGAGTTGAGCCTTGCAAGATGAGTGGGTTTCCGTAGGAACACAGGACTCAAAGGTCCAGAGGACTGAGTGAATGGTCAGTTCAGGCCTCATCCAGGATTCCACAAAAAGCGTCACAGTAGCTGAAACAGAAAATACCACCAGGGCCTGGCTCTTGAAGATCACAGAGAACCATCTGCTACTTTCTTCTCCATTGCTCTCTCTTTGGTTCTTTCCCTCTTCTGTCATGGACCTTCTCGCAATGACTCACAAAGACACCCTTGAGCATTCCTCGGCCCACCAGAAGCACTAAGGATTAAGCTGTGCCCAGAGCTGATTCCCCCAGTGGCATCTTCAGGGCATTAACTCTGAGGTAGAAAGGCAGAAACAGGGTTGTCCATCTTACCCCACCCACTCATCATCAGATCGTTTTGCCTATTTGCCCCTACCCACAATGCTTAGGTAAAATCTTTGGGGGAAACCCTAGATCCACAGCTGGTAGCATCTTCCAGCTGCTGAGGGAGAACTAAATGAGATTCCTGGGACTCAGAGTAATTTATAATGAATTCTAATGACTGCCAAGCCCCAGTCGTGATGCATACTGATGAAATGCCCCTTGCAGACAGCTGTCCCTCAGTCACCAATTGTCCACAGGGGGATTCGCATTCGCTAAGGGCACAGCCATCTCCAGAGATGAGAGATCAGCAGGGGCTCTGCAAAAGGAGCAGCAGCCCTTCAGCCTTGAGAGAGAGGATTTCATGGTAAATGTTGGGAATGTTTACCAAAAGCAGAAGGCATGAGGAAAGAACAGTTAAGAACCGGGTCTCAGCCCTGCAATAAAGATCAAAAGGCTACATATGCAAACTGTTTATTCTCATGTTTTATTCAACATCATTTACTTTCTCTCCCTTTGTTCACCCTTGATTTCTTTCCTTTCACAGGTCAAGTGATAAAATCAGGCTATTTTTCAGTACAATGTGAGTGCTGGATTTGGAGTGGGAAGACCTAGGTAGGAATCCTGGTTGCATACAGTTGTCAGTTATACGACTGTGTGTCCTTTGACATGTAAACTAACTTTTCTGAATCTAGATCTCTTCATCCACCAAATTTAGGTCATGCCTGCTCTACCTGTCTACACAAGTTGTTAAGTAGATCAGTGAAAACAAATGGGGAGATGGACGAGGCAAGCTGAATGCATCAGACAAGGCATCCTTAGAGTTGTTTTTAATATGCCTTCATCCTTAAAAATGTCTTGCTAGTTTCTAAAAAAACCGATCAGGGAAGTGTTAAAAATAATAATAACCCTAGAATCCAATGTAAATCAAGCCATTTAATCCCAGTCTGGAAAGAGAAGGATTTTCTGCTATTTTCACCGAGAATAACACCAGCCAAACCTTTTACATCTAGAGAGAAAGTAGTTATCAAGGTTTACTGTTCCCAGGCAGGAAACTGATTCTTTCTGCTTCTTTGGAAGAGGTTTAGAATGTATTAGTGTCTAAGGTGGGGCTTAGAGGGTAAGAGTGGGGATTATTTAAGAGGCTGGCTGTGTAAGAGAGCAGTGAGGGAACTGCTCACTACCATCAACACCAAAATCATCAACACAACCACTTCCATCCCGACCACCACCAATGGCAACAACACCACCTCCACCAACACCATCAACAATAACACCACTATCAAGTCTACCAACACACCATCACTATCAACACTAACAGCACCACCACCAAGACCATCAACACTACCACTCACAATAACACCAACAAAAAACCACTACCAACACCAACAACATCACGAACACCACCAAGACCAACACCACCAACACCACCACCACCTAGTAGCCAAGAAAACCAGCAACACTACTGTCAACACCATCACTACCAATACCACCAGCAGCAGCACCACCACCAAGACCACCAAGACCATCACCACCACTACCACCACCAACACCACCTATACCAACAAAACCAACAACACTACTGTCAACACCATCACTACCAATACCACCAGCAGCAGCAGCAGCAGCAGCACCACCACCACCACCACCACCACCACCACCACCACCAGCTCAGCTTGTCACCCTGATGCCACACCGTCCTCTTTAGCTCGCAGAGAAAAACACTATGCCTCTGTATCTAGGCCTGGGCTTCCAGGGTAGAGTGGGAAAAAAGATTGAAAAAAGAAAGTGTGGGGACAAATAACCTAGCCAGAGATCAGCCTGTCTCCTACTCTCTGCTTACTAATGTTGCTATTCTCCACAATCTGAACTTCTATATTTTGAACCATTTTTGCCTTGACCGCCACTTCTTCAAGCTCCCAGACCCTTGGTCTGCCCCTGACTGTAGCTTCAATGGCCTTCCAAGCACTGTTATGACCTCCTAGTTGTAGGATTCTGCCCTGGCTTTTAATAGTAGGTCCCAGGTGGCATCTCAGCTACTTTGTAAACCTTATACTTTCTGACCCATTATCACACTTAGCCCCTGGCAAACAGAGGCCGTAAGTACCAGATGACACATTGCAGGTCTGTCTTCGGTTGGTTCTCACACAGCCTTGGTCCTAAGCCTAACTAAGCTGTCTTTATCACCTCCTACATCCTAGTGTGACAATGGCCTAAAATGACACTCTCCTGGCTGGGACTGAGGGAGTCAAGGGAGTACCAAGTCTAGGAAGGCAAATAGTCCTCAAGAGCTAAGAGCAAACACAAAGTCAAGATTTAAGATAAACTAAGCTATAACATGAGGGTTCCTAACATGGTCAGCTATAGCATCAGTGGAGACGATAAAGGAAAATGTTATAGGCAGGTGAGGTGGCTGGTTGGCTCATGGAATGTGCTATTTTAAAGACTTGGTCTACACAGTATTATCTGCTTCAAAGGCATGCTGATGTAAAGGGGGAAAACAGAAAATACAGGATTTCAGCTGGATACACTTAGAGCCTTCTCCTTGAGTAACTTGCTTCTCACTAATAGAACATGGCAACACTGAGGACAGCCGCTTATGTGATTAAGTTACAAAGCACTGTGACTAGGACACTCTCTCTGGTGCTTTGATGAAGCAGGCTGCCATGTTGGAAAGGCCCATGTGACAAAAAACTGGGTGTGGCCTCCAGGCGATGGCCAGCAAGGAAATGAGGCCCTGAGCCCAATGGCTCTTGGAAACCTGAATCTCCCCCATTCTCCATGATGTGATGATCACACACCGCATGCTTGTATCATAACATCTCATGTAACCCATAAATACCTACTATGTGCCCACAATAAATAAAAAATAAATAAATAAATAAATAAACTGAATCTTGCCAACAACCACACAAGTGAGCCTGGAAGCAGATCCTTCCCCAGTTGAGCCTTCAGATGAGCTCTCCACCTTATCTAACATCTTGAGGGTAGCCTTGTGAGAGACTCTGAAGTAGAGGACCCAGCTGAGCTGTGTCCGGATTCCTGACCCACAGAAATTGTGAGAGAATAGATGTGTGTTGTTTTAAGGTGCTAGGTTTATGTGATGCATCATTCAGCAAGAGGTAACTGATACACACAGTTTAGTTTATACTCTTGGCCTTAACAGCCTGCACCTTCATCTCTCACTTTGCATATTCTTAGTCATTCTGTAAGTCAAATAAAGGAATATCTGGAATTGGGGTCAGGAATCAGGAAACCTGACATAGCTGCTGCAGCTTAGAGGATAAACCAAGCAAGTCCCTGAAGCCTTTCAATCACCTCCCTGTCTAGTCCCCAGCCTCAAAAAGTTAGGAGGTCAGAGCTAAGCCAAGAGATCCAGATAGGAGCTGTAGATGGGGTCATGTACCAAGAGAACTATATCCTCTCCCTGCCCCACCCTTGTATTTCACCCATATGTCTGTATTTTGAAGAGAAAAAAAAATTTCTTACTTAATCTCCTGCTCACCCCCACTCACCCAAAATGCACACCAATCACGAAGTTGAGCCAAGGCACTTGGGGTCAGGATAAAGGCTTTTCCCATGCAGGTACATGACCCAAGGGTAGAAGTGAGGTCTCCAGAGCACTAACACTGTTGGTGAGACTACCTCTATGTGACCCCAGGAAGTCCCACCAGCTTGACCTTCATAATACGTCTGGACCACGACCACTTCTCACCACCTCCATCATGACCCAGCAAGTTCATCTATTTCCTCTGCTAGTGAATTGCCTCCTGACTCTACTCTTGCCCTCTCTCTGGGCTCCTCTCCACCCATCTGTTCTCCTCAGTAATTGCCTTAAATGTAAATACAATCATGTCATCCCCAGCTTCCATGTTTCCTGTGGTTGTCCATGACTTTTAGGATACATTTCAGTCTTCACTTTGGCCTACAGGGCCCCTAGAATCTATCCCTGATGGGTCTTCGGCCTCATTTCCTCTCCCATTGTTTTTTTTTTTTTTAATTTTATTATTATTATACTTTAAGTTTTAGGGTACGTGTGCACAAGCTATACTGCACGCTGTCTTTTGATCATCTCAAGATTCTTACCCCCACAGGGTGTTTGCACTTGCTGGCCTACTGCCTGGAACATTTCTCCTGCAGATATTTCACTTTCTGACTTCATGCAGGTTTCTACTCAAACCCTTGCTCTCTAGATAATAGCATCCCCTTCTGCTCCCTGCCAGGCCTTCTGCTTTAAGTTTACTTTGAAACATGTAGCACTATCTGAAATTATAATATATCTGCTTACAGGTTATGTTCTGTCCCCTCCTCCCATCTGCGGACAAGTATTTACTGGGAGCTGTAGACGAATTTTTCTCATTCTCACCTATCTCCAGTTTCTAGGATAGTGCCTAGAGTTCAATAAATATTTGATGGGTTAACGGTGGATTTGATAGAGAAGTCCAGAGACGAAGACTAGCATGGAACGTTATCAAGATTGAAGTCATACACAAGAGGTAAAGTCCAGGAAGTCAACTAAAACAGAATTTTCCAATTTCAAAAATGTGGCAACATTTGGAAGTAGTGAAGAAATAGATGGAGCATTTTAGTACAGCTCTTAATCCAGTGTCTTCCAAAAACACCTGATTTCCTGTACATTTCTTCGGTGCAACAACTGAAGTAAACTAAACCACAATTTCCAACAGTGTCTGATACCAGACAAAAATACACGAAATATATACAATTATGACACAAAAAGGAATATGTATTTGCTCTCTGCCTCTGGTTCCTGGTACAGCGCTCCTAAAACCCTTGGTATTCTGAGTGATGGGGGTAAGGGGAGCATCTTGTTAGTCATAGCAAACCCCTTTCAACCTTACCTGAGTTATGCTAATGAGGTAACTCCAGGTGGCTTGGGACTGGCTCCCGGAGGAACCAACTAGGTCATTAGAGGATTGGAAGTTTCAGCCCCACTCTCCAACCTCTGAGGAGGGAAGAGGCCAGTGATTTAATCAATCACTCCTACATAATGAAGCCTCCATAAAAACCCTAAACAATGGGTTCCTAGAGCTTCCAGGTTGGTAAACACATCACGGTGCTGTGAGGGAGGGTAGCACCCCAAAGGGCCTGGAAGCTCTGCACCCCTTCCACATACCTGACCTATGCACCTCTTCCATTGGGTTGGTCCTGAGTTGTATCCTTTACAATAAACCAGTAAATATAATAAACTGTTATTCTGAGATCTGTGAGCCATTCCAGCAAATTATCAAACCTAAGGAGGGGGTTGTGTGGACTACTGAGTCAGGTAGTCAAGTCAGAGAGAAGTGCAGGTGACAACCTGGGGACTTGCAATTGGCATCTGAAGTTGGGGGCAGCCTTGAAGGACTGAGTCCCTTAAGCTGTGGGGTCTAATTCCAGGTCGTTAATGCCAGAATTGAATTGAATTATTAGACACCCAGTTGGTGTCTGCAGAGAACTGGAGAATGGCTTGGTGTGGAAAATCTATACAGTTGGTGTCAGAAATGTTTTGTGAGTGTAGAGGAAACAGTTTTCCCACTTAGAACAACTTTGGGGTTGACATTTCTGCAAATAAAAATCTTTACATGGGGAGAGGTGTAGGAAACCAGGAAGGCATCGGAAGGTATCAGGCCCTGAGCTAAGCGCTTTACCTTCAACCTCTCATTGAATATCTTACCTCAACCCACAAAGTCAGCATCCTCTCCATTTTACACATGAGAAAGCCAGATAAACTGAGGTTTGGAACTGGAACATAAACCCAGGTCTGTTTAACTCCACAGCCCATGCTCCCAATTAATATGCCCCATCAGCTGGGTCGATTCAGGGCTGGACCAGAAACCAGGAATGTCAACAAAGAAGAAAGCAAGACAAGACCTTGCCAGACATTAGGGAGAAAGCATCCATTCCACAAAAATATATACACCATTCCAAGACAAAACCTTGCCAAGACAAAAACCCTTCTGTTCAGAATGACTGAAATACACAGATGCAATATGCATTATAATTATAAATGATCGACTCTCAGAGCTGAAAGTAACCATGGAGATTGCTCAGTCCCACCCCTTTACTGGAAAGATGAAGACACCAACCCTTACAGCCCAAAGTCCCACGATTAGAAAGAGAAGATGAACCCTGTCTTCCTTCTGTCCTTGGTACCTATTTAGCATGCAGATCCAAGTATTTCCAGCTTCTTCAAAAAACTGGGTAATTTTGCTATATGTTAAAAAATAGATGATGATTCTGTCTTATCACATTACTATAGAGGCAAAAATAATTCAATTATTAAAAGATAATGTTGTCCTGTGGGATGCCATGACACAGGATGGGGCACTGACTGACTCACCATAGTCATCAGTGAACTGAACTCTGCCAAGGGGGAGATTGTGAGAAATAGGGAGTTTTAACTCTTTCTAGTGCTCACGAATCAACAGAGCATCAGAAATTTGCATGCAGGTATGATTCCTAAGAGTCATATTCCTCTAGTAAAAACAGAAAACCAACAAAATTACCAAGAAAGAAATGAACAAGAGCCTTAATGAAGGAATCCCTTCACTGGGCTGCAGGTCTGAGATTCTGGTGCCATCCTGTAGTTCTCAAATCACAGGAAACAACAGTTATTTTATTTCCCTGCCTCTTTATCTAGTAAAACATTCCAAAGTATCTCAACCTAGTTCCAATCTTTGACAAAATTGAGAGTTTCCAATCTTTCAACATCACAGCCTACTTATGAACCTGGGTTACTTTGAATTTCAACTGAAGAAACAAAACCTGAGTTACTAAAATGATCATTATTGACACTGATGTCTATGCAAAGTCAATCTATGCTTTCAGTCACTAAGGTGAATTTTCATTTTTCTTACACAAAAATATGTCTATTATATCTTCATCGCTGCACTTATAACTCTGTGGTAGTTTCCGCATTATAAAATTAGCAATATGGATGATAGCAGTTTTTTTCAATTACTTTCCTGCTTGGAATGTTATTGTGTTTTTGTTTTTATTTCAAATTTTTTTTCAAGTAGAGACAGGGTCTCGCTGTCTTGCCCAGGCTGGTCTTGAACTCCTGGGCTCAAGTGATCTCCCCTCCTAGGCCTCCCGAAGTGCTGAGATTACACACATGAGCCACCGTGTCCGGCCTGGAATGTTAATGTTAAGCAGCTCAGATTCATTTGATTTTTACTGTCAGAGTATGGTAAACTAAGCGAAATCTATCAGGAAGTGAATACACCCCTGGGTCTCCTGATTTTCACACTCTTAGCTCAAGGACAATGCAGACATTTTAAATGTCATGGATAATTAGGCAGCCTCTTTACAAATAAGATTTCTTGCTCTGATATAATCACAAAGTTTGCCATTCTCAGGAATAGATGTACTCATTAGGAAGTGATCAGATGTAAAATATTTGTCCTGGAAAAAAGAGGCAGGTGAAGCGGTAAGGAGGATATAAACCCCACAGTGAGATGAACAGGTTCTTGACCTGGTTCAAAGTAATTCTAGTGAAGTCACTTTATTTTTGTTTTCTTAACTTAGGACCAAGGAGACACTCCCTGGTCCCTAAAATCCCACTCTACATCAACTATAGATAGACAAATTCAATTGAAACAAATGTTTTGCAGGTAACTTGAACTTTCAACTAAGCATCCACAGCTTTTCTTCTTTCCAAGACTGGTTTTTAAAGAAATTTCAGGGCTGTCCATAGACCTGCTGCTAGAAAAAGCTTGCCAATAAATAAAACGCCAACAAATAACCAGATGTAAGCTGAGAACTTTGTGATCAAAAAGATCTTAAATTTCCTTAATGGTATACATCATGTCACCAAAACATGTAGCAAATACCTACATGCAATTTTTAAGTCAATTCTGATATAGCATATGAAACAGTGACTTCTATAGCCATCAGGGTAAGTACTAAAACACAATCCTTTCCTCCCAAAGAAGAGGTGGATAACAACACACTCATGAAGCCAGCTCGCTGAACTCAAAGAAAATGTATCAACAAAAAGTTATCAAAGCTCAAGAATCTTTTAAAAAGCAATCGACTCTAGGATGCCATACCATAAGCATCTTGATTCAAATAATCATATTCTTTATCCTCCACCATATCCATCAGTGTGTTGTCAGTTACATCAGGTTTATTGAGTTGTCAAAGTGCATAATTTAGAACTATGGGAAATAAACCAATCCCCCACCAATGAATCAGCACCACCTGTCTGTCCTGAATTCTGTGAAGACTCTTCCAAGTCACAGGAGGTTCAAGGTTGGAACATTTCACCAGTACCAACTTTTTCAACACCATACTAGTACTACTCAATACATCTACCATTTGCAAAGATACAAGAGACTCATTGAATCAAACAGCAAACAGCACGTAATAAACTGAACAAGTCTTGAGAACCATTTCTCATTCTAAGGTCTCTATTGAGAAACAGGAGCTCCATCATGAACCTGCTTCATTTATGAAACTGGGTGAGGTTACAGCCCCCATCAATATGTCTCCAGACAAGACTCTGTACTAAGAGGAAGCTAAATTATTTAGGGCCATTTCCCAGACAAGAAGAATGATACAGGTTATTGAAAATAACTCAAAAACACAACAATCCTGATGACCAGAAGTTCCAGTTGTAACACTTCTGAGAGTGATGGCAGGAGCCCTGGGTGGGGACTAGGTTCTGCTCTGAGCCCCCATTCCAGCATTGATTGACCTATGACCTGTGTAAACCAGTTCACTTCGTAAGTCTGGTCTGGAATCTAAAGAGGATGGCCTTTGCACAGAAGTATCTTGGGTCAAATTTCTGTACCTTTATTCTTCACACGAAAAGGGGAAAGAAGAAAGCAGTATTTGGGGAAAAGTTAAAGTCTTCTGCTGCTGAAACAGGAGATGAGCTAATGATACACAAGTGTGAGCATTCAGCCCTGGACCCTACCATGAAGAAGGAAACAAAGGAGCTCCTGACTTGAATGCATTCACTGAATCCATGGCCCAAGCCTCTGGGAAGCCTCCTGGCACCACACAAAGTCCACCATCCTCACATCCCCTCAGTCCCCTTCTGTCCTAGATCCTTGTGAACTAAGCCCTATTCTTCTTCGTCTCACCCTGCCTGCACGGACTGCCCAGACAGAGCTGGCATCTCTGAGGAGGCTTGATTTGAGATGAACAAATGCTTCTGATTTTAAAAAGGACAGATTTGAGGACTTTTCCACAGGCAGGCTCTCCTGAAACTTCAGTTCTCATCCTGAATTTTAAAACCATAATGTGACATTTTAACATATGGCAAAGAGAGATGAATTTGAGATCGTTTCAAACTGCTTAAAAGATCTGCATTAAACACAGATTTCCATTATTACAGATCTAATAGGTCCTATTCTCATCTGGGCTATCAGCAACAGAGTAAGTAATTACCATTCAACTTGGGCCCTTCCAGTCCATTAGCCCAATACTGATGACTCAGGAAAAGCTATACATGAGAACTAAATGCTGATAAAAGATAAAATGGAATGGAAGAAAATGATGCTGCCTTATCCCATTCTGCTACATCTATTGTAAGGAATGAATAAAAAATAAACAACTTGATGGAGTGATAAAGCCAAAAGTAAATATTAAAAACGGCGAATAGAGTTGTGGCTACCCACACAAAAGGAGAAAGTAAAATGCCCCCTTGGCATCACAGGTTTTGAAGACCCTTTGGTCCTCCGTGACAATGATTACCTATGTACAAGGACTGGATGGAAATGCTACCAAACATCTTCAAAGTGAAAAGCTTAAATAAGTCAGGTATTCATTCAACACACTAGCCAGTACGTAAGGCTCCATGCTAGGGGCTGTCAGTATAAATGTCAATGAGACATTATCCTCTTAATGAGATATTCAAGATAGTCATTTTAACCATACCCAAAGTGAGGGTATTTTCCACCCAGCATAATTACTTTTAAGATCATCAGACTAAAATTTGTCTTTAATCTGGAATCTCGGTTATCAATTAGTCAACACTTGTTGATCCTGTGTTACATTCTTGACACTTTGGGGAAAGCAAAAATAATGATCGTTGTGACTTGATAACAGCGTATGTTCCAACAGGGTAAACATGTTCCAATTGCGGAGATAAGACCAATATACTTCAAAAAGGGAACACTGAGCATATACGGTTACATGCTAAATTGTGTAGCAGAGATTATCGATTCTAGAGGAAGTCAAATAAAACAATGGAATGACCGAGACAGGCTGGGAAGGTTTCAGGGAAGGGATGCAGTGTGACCATCGTGGCATCTCATGAGTGCCAGGTGCTCCAAGATGGTGAAGTGACCGGGACGGCCATAGTAGAGGAGGGTGAGTGCAGAAAAGTTGTGGGAAAGGGGCTAGACAGGTAGAGTAGAACCAGAAATGTGGATGGTGAATCATGTTCGGGTAGATCACAAGGGACGGATGAGTCAGAGAACGTCAGGGGCTATAGGAATTAAGTTCAGAAGTGATGGCTGTGTGGATTAACAGGGAAAGGGGCAAGATCGGCAAGGCTGTGAAGGGAAGCTGAAGGCAGCCTGTCTGGGGAGATGAGATCTATTGACAGACACCAGAGGACAGAATAAAATGCCATTTGAAGAGATGAAAGTGAAGAGTTTGTTTTTTGACAAAGAAACTCAGCGTCGGAGGGCATCTCTGAGGTCAGCTCATGGACTCCTCCAGTTGGATGTCTGAGTGCAGCACGCTGAGCCGGAGGTGACAGAGATAGCAGTAGACACGTCTAACCAGCAATGAAAGATGGAGCAAGAGGGCGGATGGGGACAAGACTGCAGACAGGCTGGGGAGTCTGCTCCAGAGGGGTGAAAACAGAGACTGGGGGCCTGGATGAGCTCAGGGGAGGAAGCTGAGAGAGTGCGAAGAACGTAGGACTGCAGGCTGGGGCCTGAGCTCACAGAGGGGAGGTGAGCTGGGAAGTCATGGGAGAAGAGGCCTCCAGTGGACGCAGCAAGAGAACCAAGACAGTGCCACAAGACCCAAGACAGAAGGGTTGTGGGAAAAGCATGGTTGCGTGACACCAAACACATAGACTTGCTCCCGGGAAGCCTCCTGGGCTCCTCCATCCCGAGTCCACCCCTAGCCATGCCTTCGCTCACCTGCACGCCATCTGCTCGGCTCACCTTCTCTTTTCTAGCTGTCAGCAAGCTCCTCTATCTGTGTCCTTCATATCTTCTCTCTCTTTACAAAGTTGGAAGCAGGCTCCCCTCTCCTACCTCTCCACACCCTCACCAAAATATCCAGGAACAAATACTCAAATCCCTGTTTGGAATGTGCAGACAGCTAAGGCTGCTTCTAACCTCCTTCCCCGAAACCTTCCCTCCATTACTGGTCTAATTGGCACATTCCCTAACCTCTGCCCCTCCACTAATACTTTGCCATCAGCCAGAGTTCCAAGCTAGAAGATACCATGTAGACACGAGTCCTCACATCTTGTCTTGTCTTAGAAATCTGCCCAGGCCCACCCACCTCAATGTGGATGCTGACCTCAGCCAACCAAACCCACAGCACGCTGGGACCATTAGCCCAGGTCCTCAGTCTTCCGTGCAGTCCAGGTGTGTCTTTATGCAGCAGACAAATGCTGCCTGGTGTGAATTAAATGTTAATGTAGTCATTTGCAATTGCAAATGCCTAAGATGGGACAGACTAGGCACACAGATGACTGCAGGAGAAACCAAAAGAGTGACAAGAAAACAGTGACAAAGAAGGGGCTGCAGATTGAGTTAATCAAGGCAGGATTTGGAAGACAACATCTTGAAAAGTTGAGCCTGGCTGCAAGCCCGGAAAAGAGACAAGCGGAAAGATTCCTGGGCATGGGGCCCAAGGAGTGCTGAGCATACGTTTGAGGTGTCAGGGAGATGCCTGGAGAACAGTTGTAGCCTCGATTTATGGGCAATGCCTAAAACCAGCCAGAGGAGGCCGATTCCTTCAGGGTTCAGGATTCACGGAAAGAAGACTTGGCCCAGTATAGATGCAAGGTGAGGCTAACTATTGAAACACGAGCCCTCTCTTTGGCTTGACAAAGTTAAATCATGACGCCAAGCCGTTTCGATTTGTCTGGTCTTCACCCCCAGATTCTTCACCAGAGCGATTCCTTGATTTCACAGTAACTGGGTGTGATATTGCTGACACAATTTTTCATCTTTTACATGGCAGAGAACAAAGGCTGCAGGCAGACACGGAGAGCCTTCGGCTCAGAGGGGCCCTGGCATTTAACCGCCTTCTCACTGTAAAGCTAAAGATCACATAGTCGAACCAAAAGCACTAAGATTTTAAATAAAACAGTTTGTATTAAGGAAGACTTTGAACAGAAAAAGGGCTGTAAGACCCAGATTGCTGTGAGAAAAAGGTGGCCCTCCAGAAGTGTGCTATTTTAAATGGTCTTTATACATGCTTTCTCTTTCTCTCCACCTAGAATATTCTTCTTCCCTATCCTCTCCCTGCTTCACCTCCTCACTTTGCTCCAATCTGTGTCATGGTTATTTCCACTCGGTGTTATGCTGAGAATGACTGGTCCCATCTGTCCCCTTCTCACACATAACCTCTTTAAGACTCACTTTCATCTTTGTAACACAGCACCTATGCGTGGCACATAATCGGTTCTTGGTATGCATGGCCCAACAAATGAATCAAGATCCGAGTAAGCGAAGGGGTGAGCTACAGGCAACCTGAGTCCCTGCTGCCCAGTGACCTGGCCTCCTTTCCCATCTCTGGTGAGTCCACTATCCCCATCATGGGAGACTTTGGGCCCTAGATTCTTAGAAGTTCACTCCAACTTCCAATTGGTATTTACAATATCAAGTGGAGCCATTTCTTTTGCCCCCTTAAGACTGAGTTCTAAGTCTATCTTTTATTTTTAGGTCAAATATTCCCTCCATTACTGGTCTAATTGGCATATTCCCTAACCTCCGCCCCTACGCTAATACTCTGCCATCAGCCAGAGTTCCAAGCTAGAAACCTGCGTCCCCTTTGCCTCCCCCTCCCCTGCCCTGCTACTTCCACTGACCACAGCTGGACTCTTCCGCTCAAGCTTCAGAGACAGCGCCAGAATGAAGCCCAGGAGCCATGTCCTTCCTACCAGTCCCATCTTTTCTGGCTTTTGCCACCCCTCCAACCCCATCAGCACCTCCCAAGGCCTCCTAAATGGCATTCCTTTGCTGATCTGGAATCCATGAGCTCCTGTAGCAGCCCAGTATCATACCCCATGCAGGGTGACACACACCAACCCATACTCCCGTGACCAGATCCCACTGCCTTTGTCCGTCACTCCCTTTCCACACATTGGCATGGAGGGAGCATGCATCTGTAGTTCTGCCACCCTGCCATTCCTGACCCCGGCTACAATGGAGGCTCCTCCTAGTCCCCATGGAAATCTGGGAGTGAGTATATTAGTTTCTATGTCTTGTTATTACTATGATATATGGGATATTACCTATATACCCCCATCTCATAACCTAAGTTCCTCTGGTTCCATTACCTACTTCAGATACTTCAGACTTCACATAGTGCATTCTCTCATCTATTAAGAGGCACATAAACAGCTTATAACATTACACAAGAAATGCTTGGGCAAATCTAAACAACAGAAATAATACTTTCTGATTTCAAGCAGTTGTTAACAGAATTATTAGAATGCTATTACAATGACTGATACTTTGTACAAATTCCACTACCACCTAAACAAACTGCAAAGACATTTTAAAGATGATGTTCAAAGTGTTTACACATGGTTGAGTTGATGATTTAGCTTTTTCCAGTAATATAATCTTTAGGTAATTAACTGGGTAAGTCCGTATCAGTCGTTTGCTGTGGTTGCCTGTGCTATCAAATGTGCAGCAACTTGGTCACTGAGGGAAGGGCAATGCTGACAAATTAAAAAGTATATTTCTTCTTACATTTTACTCAGTAGTAACAGTTACTTGATGTCTTATCATCAAAGGTGTAAGGCCCTTGTTTTCTCTCACGGAAACTAAAAGGTGAAAATTTGATCAGAATTCCTGCTACAAATACAAGAAAATGTAGAGAGCTGTTCATTTCCTTAAAGCTCTGTTAAAAAAAAAAAAAAAAGTACAGTTTAAATTGGGATAGTGCTCTTAAAATGTCAGGTCTGTCACTACTTTTTTCAGGACTAGGGAGTGTACAGGAATAAGAACAGACTAAGAGGAATGGCACATAGAAGAGAAAGACAAAGTATTTCTAAAACATATTCAAACTCACTCCCAACCAGCAGCATTCTAACCAGACTACATCTGGCCCAGCTTCTCTTTCTCTACCATTCAGCAAAATGTTAAAGGTATAGGAGGAAAGTCAGTTGCAAGTCTTTAGCCTTCCCATCCATGTGCCAAAAATAAAAGTAAAAATGACAGTGCTCTCAAAAGACCTACAGCTGGCATCATTCTTCATGGTGAAAAACTGACTGCTTTCCCCTCGGATCAAGAGCTAGGGGAAGATATCCACTCTCACCACGCCTATGCAACATCATGCTGGAGAGCCTAGCTAGCACAATAAGAAAAGGAAGTAAAATTCATTGAGATAGCAAAGGAAGAAATCAGCTATCATTATTCGCAGAAGACATGATCATCTATGTCTTAGCCAACTTGGGCTGATTGGACAGAGTACCATAAAAATGGATGGCTCATAAACAACAGTATAGTTGTCCCTCAGTTCCTGCAAGGGGTTGGTTCCAAAACCCCATAGGTAGCAAAATCTGAGGATGCCCAAGTCCCTGACATAAAATGGCACAGTATAAGCATGTAACCTATGCACATCCTCCCATATACTTTAAATCATCTCTAGATGACTTACAATACCTAATACAATGTAAATGCTTTGCAAATGGTTGATACACTGTATTTTTGTGTTTTTTTTAAAAACATTTTTGATCCAAGTTTCGTTGAATCCACTGATGCAGAACTGACAGACATGGAGGGCCAAGAGTCATTTATTCCTCACAATTCTGGAGGCTGGGAAGTCCAAAACCAAGGCACCAGCAGATTCAGTGTCTGCTGAGGACCTGCTTCCTAATTCATAGATGGCTATCTTCTCACTGTGTTCTCACATCACAGAAGGCGCAAGGCAGCTCTCTGGGGCCTTTCTTATAAGAGCACTAACTCCATGCCTAAGGGCTCCACCCTTATGACTTAATCATCTCCCGAGGCCCCACTTCCTGATATCATCACATTGGAGATTAGGTTTCTACATATGAATTTGGAGGGAGACAAGCATTGTCCATATAGAAAATACCAAGGAAGGCCCGGCACAGTGGCTCACGTCTGTAATCCCAGCACTTTGGGAGGCCAAAGTGGGCAGATCACCTGAGGTCAGGAGTTCAAGACTACCTGACTAACATGGTGAAACCCTGTCTCTACTTAAAAAAAAAAAAAAAAAAAAAAATATTAGCCAGGCGTAGTGGTAGACACTTGAGCCCAGGAGGTAGAAGTTGCAGTGAGCCAAGATTGCGTCACTGTACTCTAGCCTGGGTGACAAGAGTGAAACTCCGTCTCAAAAAAAAAAAAAAAGAAAGAAAGAAAATACCAAGGAATGGGCAAAAAAGTTACAAGAACAAATAAGTGAGCTTAATGGGTCTCAGAAGACAAGGTCAACATACAAAACTTATTAAAACAAATTATTAAAAAATAAAATTATTAAAAACAAATGTTATGTACTAATGATGAATGGTTAGGAATTTTTCAGTTTTTAAGGTATCATTTACAATAGCATCAGACAAAATGAAATGCTTGGGAATGAACATGGGCAAGATTTGTCTTTTCATTTTTCTGAACAATGTTTTTGAATAACATTTTCATTTTATGAAGTCCAATCTATCATTTTCTTTTATGGCTTCTGGTTTTTGTGTCTTATCTAAGAATCACTTGCCTAACACAAAGTCACAGAGATTTTTGCCAATGTTTTCTTCACGAAGTTTGATGGTTTTATGTTTTACACCTAGGTTTATGATCCACTTTGAGTTAATTTCATACAGGGTGCAAGGTACATAGCTCTAAAATAAGCAAACAGTAATAAATGAAAGTGGCAGTAACACACAGGGAACTGAGAAACAGGCAAGAATCAGAGCACATACTCACACAGCTGAATACCCCTTCCTGCGAAACTTCCCTCAGTTAAGGCAAGTATTGTGCTTTCTTCATGAAGAAATGCAGGTTGGTAACAATGTTAAGGCTTTGGCCAATTTTCCTATTGTGTAAATTCTTCAGCTGGCCCATTAGACCAATGAAGGGGTGAGGGAGTACCAAGCACAGCCACAGATCAGGAGTCTGCCCCTGTCTCTGGACATCATCACACTGATGTCCTAGAAGGTTTTCATAACTGTGCCAACTTGAGAATTTGGAAAAGAGAGCTATCTCCTGCCAGCATGAGAGAAGGTTATGGGGAAAATCATACGAATGCAAAAGTACTTATAACATTCCCCTCATGAGGTTCTACCTCAAGACCTGCCCGTGCCTCATAGTGATTAGTAACAACTCAATCTTTATATCATGAGTATCTACACATGCCTGAAAATCAACTGGAATTATCTGTGACTGGAAACAATATATCAGGTGTATTGATACATATTTAGCATGTTCAAGATGTCCTAGACTTCCAAATTTATGATTTACTTTAGTGAAGCCTACATGGTCAGTTTTTGGGAGTGTGGAAGGAAGGATTCCTGCAAGGATGGGAGGCTGGGCTGTGAGAGCTCAAATCCCCGCAAGGGATGGGCACTTCTGAAAACAGAAGTGTGGTCGAATCCCAGCTGAGTCACTTACTAGCTATGTGACATTGGGCCAGTTGCTTCCCTTCTCTGAGCTTCACTTTCTTGATCTGTAAAATAGACTACAACTCATTATCGTATAGGGGTTTTGCTACTAGGTTTAAATGGTACTGTTTAAATATTAAATCAATGCTACTTCCCTCCTCCCTACTTTCCAAAAACCACATTTATACACTAAAATTTTATTAAAAATTATTTGTGTGCCAGGCTGCCACATTCTGCATGGAGTGGAAGGAAGAACAGTGGCTGTGCTGGAGATGCCCAGTGACATCTGAGTTGGCCAGGGATGATAGCACACCAGCGACGTGGAAGACCAGGATAATACAGTCATCTATAGAGAGAGATACTGTTTAGAAGACTGGGAATTCCACATATAAAACAACACAAGGTTTTAGAACCAAGATTATTAATAAAGTAATAGTAGTTAACATGTATGTGCCTGATGCTGTATTAATGATTTTACATGTATTAACACACTTGATATGCTCACAATTATCCTACAAGGTAGACACTTTTATTATCTCCATTTTACAGATAGGAAAACTAAGGCACAAGGAGCATAGGGACTTGCCCAAGGACACAAAGCTAGTAAGTAACATAGATGAGATTGCAACCCAAACTGTTGGGTTCCAGAATCCCTACTGCCTCATAAAGATCAGAAACAGTCAAGAAGTGCCATGCCCAAGTCCTAACAGAGCTTCTCCATTCCTGGCCACCCATGTGCCTCTCTTCCGCGGTCCATTTTCTTAAATAACATCAGGGTATAGGGCCTTCTAGGGCAGTGGCAATGTTTTTTTCCTTAGGGGTGGGGGTAGTTACATGGGTTTCTATAATTATTAAGTTTTATGTACCCTTCTGTTTGTACATCTCACTATGAGAGAAAGTGGATCAGCATTCATGCATGGACCCAACTCTCCAGGCTTTTGACATCATGGAGGTTTCACGTTCAGCCGTCCCTAAGATGAACCTAAGACACAGCACAAAGGTTAGGATGTAGGGGAGCAAAAGATGCTAAGTACGCTCCTCCCCTGCCTCCTCTGCAGTCCTTTGAATTTGCATGCTAGAATTACTAGAGCAAAAGCTCAGCTAATCTCCTGGCTGGCGTGATTGTTATTATCATGCGGCGCACACAGGCATATTCATCCAGATTTAAAGGGAAGAAATAAGCCTCCCTCATGGCACTGCTGATAAACAACCCCCCAAACTCTTTTCCCTATACTCAAACCAAACACATCTGAAGCCTTGTCATACTTAAAAGTGATTTGCCCTAAGTCTTTTACATGTTAATAACACTGTGCATTGAATACTTCATTCCCAAGATCATTATGTGATTGGTTTCCATGTGATTTTCAGCACAACAGAAATGGACAGAGCAGTATCGGCTGCCTTTGGACACCAATCTCCAGTTAAAGCTCACAACACTGACATCAGAACATGCAGAACTCAGCTGCAGTGGGAGCCCGGCCACGTTAGTCAAGCTCACTTGTTTCCAGACAAAACATTTTAATTCCTGGCATGGGAGAGGGGACCTGGGGAAGCAGTGTTGGAAGAGAATGGAGAGGAGGGAAGAAGAAGAGGGGAGAATGAAAAGGGCATCATTAGCCCAGCGCCAAGATATTTGGCTCTGCACTTTGCTCCAGCTCTTGTAAACTGACTTCTCCATGTCACCTCATCCTCTTCTCATAGGTTGGGTGAATACAGCCAGTTGTTTCTCAACCCTAGGAATACACTAGACCCATCATGGCTCCCGAGCAGAGGGCCTGATTTAATTAGGGGTATGGGGGCATCAGTCCCAGATGATGCTAAGATGCTTCCAGGGTTGCAATTCTGGGGTAAGTCCATGGGCTCTGCTGACAGATGAGGGCCAGGGAGGCCACACACCTAGAAATGGGCAAAACCACCAACAAGCAAGGGCCCAGCTAAGATGGTAAAAATGTCACAGAGTTGTAAAAGTATGATCAAGTGAATGAGTGAGCTTGGGTAATACAAGAGGCTGGAGGGAAAAATGCAGATCCCCAGCCCACAGAATGCAAAGCTGAAGAATGAGACAAAGTCGCTTGTTATATAATTCTCCAACACACAAACACACATGCATACACAAACAACCCCATACAAATGCACATGCACACACACATATGCACACACACACAAATGCACATACACACATATGCATGCACACACATATGTAGTCATGTAAATATAACATATGTAGTCACACAAATGCATACACACGCACAGACATATGCAAACACATACACACATATGAGCACACACTATCATACAAATGCATACACGTGCATGCAGTTATGCAAACACAAAAACACACATGCACATACACACCATTATGCCAAAATGCACTCCTGTACATTTCAACCTTACAGATAATTTCATTAATAATATTCTGAGTTCATTCTCCCCTGCTACCTGAGAAACCAAAAGCTCCAAAACTTCTAAAGAAGCCTGTCACCAACACCATCACCACTACCATACCCACCCACCTCATACCCAGTGTGAGACTGCCCTGGCTCTCCAGAGTGAAGCTGGGATCACTGCTGCTCACACACCTTTGACCTTACCAGCCCCGGGTTTCATTCGCTGCCTTGAGGGTCCATCCTGTGCCCACACGGTCTTGGGTACCTTGTGCACTGGACACAGATGTTTTACGCCCAGACTCTGGAATCACTGCCAAGTTCAAATCCCAGCTATTCCAGGGACCAGGCCAGTCTGCTTGGCTTCTCTGTGCCTCGATTTCCTCCTCAGTATAAGACAGGTGATAAGGTAACTGCTCACAGAGTTATTTAACACGTTTTAAAACTGAGAATGGTGTTTGACACATAGGAAGCATTTATTTGTCAGCAAGCTTTTCACCCGTGCTGCAATCCTGAGGAGGACTCTGCAATGCCTCCAATTGGCAGATGGGGAAACTGAGGCTCAGATTCCAGCTACAATGTCCACGTGTATACTCTCCCACTTACAAGACTATGTGTCCTGATTTGGGGGTTAGGACGTAGACTCGGTCTACAGAGATATCATGGCTTTTTCATTTTATCAGGAAATTGAAGCCACCTGGGCACAGACTGCCACTCATTTTCTGGCAGGTGACCCAGGTACCAACGTGCTGCTGTCCCCTCTCCCCACCCAGCCTGGTCTTAGCCCCCTTGCCTGTCTTTAGTCTCCATTTGTCAGGAAGCCATTAGAAAACAATTATCTAAAATTTTGTTTGACTGCAGTTCCAAAGTTCTGTTCTGGCCTAAGCTTGGGTTTTTAATCGGAAACTCAGTTTTTTGTTTGTTTGTTTGTTTGTTTGTTTGTTTTTTAAAAAAAGAATAGAAGCACTTAAGCCAGAGAAAGTAGCTATATTGTTGGAGAGCAGAGTGGTTGTTCTTATTAAATTTAATGTAAAACAAAGGCATTATATTGTAATGATATTAACTCTAATTAGAAGCCAGCAGCTCAAAACGTATAAAGCAAAAAGGCGGCCAGCTGTATTCTTCTAAGAGCTGATCTTCTCAACCTAGGCCGCACATTAGAATTACCTGGGGAGCCTTTTTAAAATATTAACACCCGGACTTCACTCTCCAAGAGTCTGATTTAATTGGTCTAGGATGCAGCCCAGACATCAATACAGTTTTTTGTGTTGTTTTTTCACTCTGTCGCCCAGGGTGGAGTGCAGTGGCATGATCGTGGCTCACTGCAACCTCCACCTCCCAGGTTCAAGTGATTCTCCTGCCTCAGCCTCCTGAGTAGCTGGGAATACAGGCGTCTGCGACAACACCAGGCTAATTTTTATATTTTTAGTAGAGACAGGGTTTCACTATGTTGGTCAGGCTGGTCTCGAACTCCTGACCTTGTGATCCACCGCCTAGGTCTCCCAAAGTGCTGGGATTACAGGCTTGAGCCACTGGCTCAGGTGATTTTTAAGTGCAGCCCAGGGTTGAGGGTGACTATTCTACAGGGAAAGGAAACTAACATTTTTTAAAGTCCTTCTACGTCCTAGGCATTATACTCTGCTTTCAAATATAGTATATTATTAACAATAAGCATAAAAAGTCTATTAGGATTTGGGTACAAGTATGTAATCCCAAGAGTTTTCCCATTCTCTGTGACATTGGGTTGTTTATTAAATATTTAATTTTTTCTTCGGCCTATTCAGGAGTCCTAGAGAGGAAGGAAGGGGTCAAAACCAGCACAGCCTAAAACTTCTAAAAAGCTCAGGAAGCTAACGAGGGCCATTCCTTTGCACCGAACAGCATTAGCTTGGAGAAACCCAGCCAGCAGCCAAGGGAAGGGATCTGCTGCCAAAATACACGACAGCCCCAGGCGATACGCAGCCCTCGGAGGGATTTTTCACCTAGGAAGGATTTACAGGAAATTTAACAGGAACATTTTAATCAAGAAATGAGGTCAGGACAGATAAGACTAGGATAACATTAAACTGTGAATGGCAATCGTTCATGACTGGTGAGAATGATACCTGCTAACACCTTAGACTTTTCTCTTTAGGTCCAGTTAAAAGTAGTATTCTGCAATAAAACGCTAGCTGTGTAAGTATGCGGTTTTAAAAAGAAAGACAGATTAACAGGAGAACAGAAAAGAAAAACTTAAGAGAAGGACCTAAAGAATCAAGTACAAGATAAGACAGGCTAAGAGAATTTCTTCTTACATTTCCAGGGGTGGGCCCAACATTATTACTGTCCCTTGTGGACTCAGAATATGGAGACAGAAAGGCTGGTTCTAGATGACACGTAGCATGTTCAGCTGTGGGCCAGCAACAGCCGACAATGCCGACTGGGGCAAAGGGCGGAGGGGCCACACTGGTCTGTGCCCTCGTCTGCCACACCAGCATGCGGTGTCCATCTGGGTAGGGCCTGTGGCCCCCTTGGAGGGTCTTACCCCAGCCATCCTCCCCTTTGATGACGCCTCTGGCTGCCATGTTATCCTTCCTTCACTCTTATCGATAAATAGACGGTCCTTTGATCTCGGCTGTCATTATCGTGCAGTAGAATTCTGTTTCCACCCAATGCCATACTGATTTCACATTTCATCTTGCATCTTCCAGACATGTGCTGGCTTTATCTGACTTTCCAGCGTGGGGCAGAAACAGGAATTTTTCTCTACGAAGGCACAAGGTGTGATGCCCTCCCAAGGTGAAGGGCAGAATGACTAGCTGATGTCAGTGAGGAACGGCCTCCGGGCAGATGAAACGGGCCAAGCAGCGGCAGCTGATTAACAGTGGGTGCGCCAGTCCACACACTGGCCTCATTTCCTTCTCATAGCAGCCCATAAGGTGGGTGCCGTTTAGAAAGAGAAGACAATGGAAGGTGACCGGCCACCATGACATGTCTACCCTACATTCTCAGCACACCTGCTTCAAATCCTACAGCGTGGTCTGAGTCGGCGGGGGCTGCTATAACGAACTGCCACAGACTGGGTGGCTTATGAACACCACAAGTGTATTTCTCATGGTTCTGAGGCTGGAAGTCCAAGATCAAGGTGCCAGCATGGTCAGGCTCTGGTACAAGCCCGCTTCTGGACTACAGTTGGTCAACCTCCCATTGTGTCCTCCCATGGTGCAAAGAGGTCCCTTTCAGGCAGGCACTAAGGCTCTTGGTCCCATTCATGAGGGTCGCACTCTCGTAACAAATCACCTCCCAGAGCCCCCTCCCCAAATACTAACTTACGAATTTGTGGGCTAGGATTTCAACCTAGGAATTTGGAGAGGTGCAAACTTTAAGACCACAGGAGGCCCCATGATATTCCGTGAACCCACCTTTACACACGACTGTCGTGGCTGAGGCGGGGAGGGCTCCAATGAGTTCTCCCACCTATGACCTGTGTGGCCTTGGGCAAGCCACTGTGACCCTTGGTTTCCCCATCTACAAATGGTAATGGTTTCAGTGCCTACCTCTTAGGGAATCATAAGCACTAAATGAGATGGTATAGTAAGGCACAGAGCTACAGGTTTCCCCTTCAGTGCCTACCTCTTAAGAAATCGTGGGCACTAAATGAGATGGTATAGTAAAATAGTAAGGCACAGAGCTACGGGTTTCCCCTGTGCCACAGTTTGACAGGCCCCCTGGACCCCCATGGTAGCCCCCACTGACGGCCGCCAGTCCTCCTCCCGTCACCTGCCCCACTCAACAGGGGGTGCCCATCAGTGCCATCAGAACAGGCACCCCCAGAAATCAAAGGCTTTGAATTAAAGGAGAAGCACAGTTGGCACTCAATGTAGGTTAAACACCCTTCGTGGTAGCAGTCAGGTTCTGGTGAGAACATTTTTCTGGGCTACAGATGGCCAGACTCCCATTTCGTCCTCCCATGGTGCAAGGAGAGAAAGAGACATCTCTGGAGTCCCTTTTATAAGGCCACCAATCCCATTCATGAAGGGTCTGACCACTCACCAGACTCCCAAAGCCTTGATTCTGCAAGTACCCTGTCCAAAATAAAAATAAATAAGAGCCTTGGCTCAGAGTGGCAGGAGTTACTCCAGCACTGTTCCACCGCAGACCACTCCCCTGTCTCAGGCCCAACTCCGTCACTTTGTTTATTCTCTCTAATCACCTCCCATCGGAATTCCTACGGCCCTGCTTCAAAGTGTCACGGGCTGTGTCTCACAGAATCTAGGACATGAGGGAAGCGAGGGGCGGCGTCCTGTGGGCACCTGCTGCGAGCTGGGATCCGCACAGGACCATGCAGTGCGCTCTTGTATTCAGACCTCCGGACCACCCTGTAACAAGTGGGCAAAACAAGTGGTGTATTCCCATTTTAAAGACAAAGTGTCAGAGGCGGGGAGAGATGGGGTGACTTGCCCAGGGCCCATGGTTATCAGGGGCGGGGCGGGATTCACGAAGGTCCCACTCCAAAGCTGAAGTGGCCTTGGAGAGCCACAGTCCTGTTCCATCGCTGCCCAGATGCAGACACCCCGAGACCCAAGGAAGGTCAGCCTGGCTTCAGCTCTGACCCCAGATGCAGAACCCGGGTCTCCTGCATTCTCTCCAGCTCACCACGTTCTCACTTCATCCGCCTCTTCTTACCAAAAAGGACTTTCAGTATCACCATTTGTTGAGATTGTATAAAAGGAGGCAAAGGAGGCTCTCCTAAGAGACCAAAGCATTTCCCAAAATTGTTTTCTAGAAGAACAACTTAATTTTTTCCTTCTTCTTCACACCAACCAGTTCAAGCTGCATAAAACCTGCCCTACTTAGCGCTTCTATGGAAGGTTGGGCCTTTGCACAGGGTAAATCAAATTCAGCAGTGCTTGGGGACTCATCACCCAAGTACCTAATGAAGATAATCCATCAGCACTGCAGCAACTTTATTGTGCCATTCCTGCCCAAGGAAACAGCAAAAACAGCCAGGGGGTTGGGGGATAGCCACCAGGAATTAAATGGGGAAACAGATGATATTTAATTATATAAATATTCTCAGCAATGCTCTGAGGAATGGAATTATTGGCTTGCTGGGCAGCCCCTCATTGAACCAGGCGGCAAAGGAGATTTATACCACAGAGCTGATGTTTTCATTAGAATTCACACAGACCGTATTTAGAAAGTGGATATCTGGAAGCTTGATAATATTGTGTGTTCATAATCTGACACTGTAATATAGTGGCTTTAAAAAGAGGAGGGGAGGCTCTCGCCTTATTCATTTGATATTTACATTTTATTAGTGTTATTATTTGGCATAATTACAAAGAATTAGCAATGTTAATTAATGCTGCACTAATGCAGTCATAATTACTTGCATTTATTCTAGAACATAAGTAAATTTATAAATTTATTTATTTGGAACTCAAGTCACTTCTTGGATTCATGTTTTTTAAAAATGAAATCTCGGCCGGGTACGATGGCTCATGCCTGTAATCCCAGCACTTTGGGAGGCCAAGGGGTGTGGATCACGAGGTCAGGAGTTCAAGATCTGCCTGGCCAAGATGGTGAAATCCTGTCTCTACTAAAAATACAAAAATTAGCCAGGTGTGGTAGCAGTCACCTGTAATCCCAGCTACTCGGGAGGCTGAGGCAGAATTGCTTGAACCTGGGTGGCAGAGGTTGCAGTGAGAATAGGATCCTCCTGCTAAATTCATGAAACGGAAAAAATAAAACTGTTTTAAGGACGTGTCATGGATTCATCCTATCTATAGAGATCTATATAGATTTTTTTTTTTTTTTAGATGGAGTCTCGCTCTGTTGCCCAGGCTAGAGTGCGGTGGCACCATCTTGGCTCACTGCAACCTCTGCCTCCTGGGTTCAAACGATTCTCCGGCCTTAGCCTCCCAAGTAGCTGGGACTACAGGGGCCCACCACCACGCCTGGCTAATTTTTTGTGTTTTTAGTAGAGACGGAGTTTAACTGTGTTAGCCAGGATGGTCTTTGATCTCCTGACCTCGTGATCTGCCCACCTCAGCCTCCCAAAGTGCTGAGCAGGTGTGAGCCACTGTGCCTGGCCCCATCCTATCTATATTTCTAATCACCTGTTGGGGCTGTATGATTATCATTTTTAACCCACTTCCACTGTAATGAAGCTGAATTAAGTGGCCCGAGGGAAATTTCAAATGGACTTCTTTGCACATCTTCAACTGACAAAGTGTAAAAAATGAAAAGAAGAAAAGCACTTGATCTCAACACCCTGCTAAGAATTATATAGACCACTTTTCTAAAGGGTTTTTTAAAGATTTCATGTTATAAAAGTATCTTCCTGGGGAAAACCAAAGGAAACTTTATAAGTCGTTTCTTCCTAACTTAACAGACAAAATTCCAGTAAGAATTAATAATCCAAAATTAGGCATGTATCTCAAAAACATAAAAACCTGTAGGAACCACTTAAATGGGTTAGATATTTAGAGATTGTTTTCTATCACTGTACCTCTTCATGACATATGGTCCACCCACCATTTAAATCTAAACAGCATGTTAAGATTGTTGCTGGAAATGAAGACTTAAGAGATAATGCCAATCAAATTCTGCCTTACAAGAGGCAACCCCCTCCCCTCTCCCCACTGCAATACACAAAATTTACTTTACTAGAAAGCCTTGTAAAGTGCTTTGACAGAGATGTTATCCTGCAACAAATTTCAATAAAGTGAAGGAAATGTTGTTCTTTAACTGTATTCCATATTGAGTAAAAAACTGTACTTCCATGCATTTTTCTAAAAGGGCAAAAGCATCACAAAGCTCCAGAAGTAAGAGGTAAGCTCAAATATCCTAGTTTCCTCTCACTCTCCAACCTCAGCCATTCCCAGTTCTGGAGATACTGCTGATATATATTAACAATTCCCAAATGTCTGCCTCCAGCCCAGAGACCACTCCTGATCTCCTCTCTTGATAGTAAATGCAAACTCAACCCCTCCAGATCTGCACACACCACTCTCCACTACCCACCCTGCTCTGTCCCCTCTGTCAATGGATGGCCTCACGCAGGTGCCCAGGCAGGAAATGCAGTTTCAGCGCTCCCCAATCCTCACATCTGACCAATCACAAATTCTTACGGACAGTATTTCTAGATTCCCCTGTAATCCACTCACTTCTCACCATTCTTACTGCCACTACCTTGGCCTGTCTGCTGCCATCCATCATCTGGTATCTGGTAATCTGCCTGCACCTCTCTCATCCATCCTCTTTGATACGGTGACAGTGATCTTCCTAAAATCTAAATGAGATCATGCCATTTCATCCCTAAAACCCTCCAATGGCTATTGGTGAAATACAAATCAAAATTACAATGAGATAACATTTCACACGCAGTAGAGTGGCTATAATCAAAAACACAGACAACAGCAAGCGTTGGAGAGGATGTGGATAAACTGGAATCCTCTGCAGGTGGGACTGAAAAATAGCACACCTACTTTAGAAAACAGTGTGGAAGTTCCTCAAAATGTTAAATGCAGAGTCACCATATGACCCAGCAATTCCATTCCTAGATACATATCTAAGACAAAGGAAAACGTGTCTACACAAAAAAAACTGTACACAAATATTCACAGCATCATTATTCACAATAGACAAAAAGTAGAAACAACCCAAATGTCTGTCAACTGATGAATACATAAAATGTGGTGTCTCCATACAATTATGGATACATCCATGCAATGGAAGATGACCAGCAATCAAAGGGACTGAAGCACTGATGCATGCTACAACACAGATGAATCCTGAAAACTTATGCTAGTGAAAGAAGCCAATAGGCCACATATTATCTGATTCCACCTATGTAAAGTATCCAAAATTGACAAATCTATAGACACAGAAAGTAGATTATTGTGCCGATAGCTGGGGGAGTGTTGGGAAGAAGTGAGGAATGTCTGCTGACAGCTATGGGGCCTCTTTTTGAGGTAATGCAAACGTTTTAAAATTGACTGTGGTGATGGTTGCACAACTGTCTGACTGCAGTTCATACCCATTTGCTACGGTCTGAATGTTTACGTCCTCTTGAAGTCCAGATGTTGACATCTTTCCTCACAATGTGACAGTATTAGGAGGTGGAGCCTTGGGG
The DNA here is from genome assembly GCF_000001405.40 of Homo sapiens. Classification (NCBI taxonomy): domain Eukaryota; kingdom Metazoa; phylum Chordata; class Mammalia; order Primates; family Hominidae; genus Homo; species Homo sapiens. The sequence goes on along the minus strand of NC_000008.11, from coordinate 10,158,173 downwards.
GTTATTAGTCAGTCATGAGGATGGGGCCCTAATGGATGGGATTAGTGCCCTTATAAAAGAGGCCCTTCCAGCATGTGAGGACACCGTAAGAAGGTGCCATCTATGAAGCAGGAAGTGTGCCCTCATCAGACACCAAATCTGCTGGCTCCTTGATCTTGGACTTTCCACCTCCAGAACTGTGAGAAATTTATCTCTGTTGCATATAAGCCACCCAGTATATGGTATTCTGTTATAGTAGCCCAATGGAATAAGACACCATTGAACTGTACACATTAAATAGATGAATTGTACGGTATGTGAGTTATATGTCAATACAGCTGTTATTAAAAGATAGAGGGATGGAGAGAGGGAAGGGAAGAGAGAGACAGGGAGATGGGGAGAGAGAGAAAGAAGAAGAGGGCGGGCAGAGAGAGGGGGAGAGAGGCCTATCAGCAATTGCAATGTGTGAACCTTCTTTAGGTCCTGATTTGAACAAAGTATAAATGAGGGAAATTTGACTCTGACTCTCATATTTGATATTAAAGAACTATTATTATTATTATTTTAGAGTGTAAAAAACCTATGAGAACTTTCATTGCCCCTTACAAAGTTGGAAGCCCTAACATTGCCTACAGACCCCTAATAACCCAGCCCCTACTCCAGCCACCTCCCACTATCCCAAGCCCTCCTCATGCACCTCCACCCCCAGAACTTGCTTCTGCCACAGTAATCTTTTTAAAAATTCTTTGAAAATGTCATGCTATTTTAGTTTCCCAAATTAACTGAGATATCAACCAGACCAACCAATGATTATATTTGATAAGACTAAGGCCCTCAAATCACACCATCAGACAGTGAGAGAACTGGAAGCAGAAGCCAGGGTTCCTGAATCTCAGTACAAGTCCATTGCTAGTGTCTTCTTTTCACACTTAAACTCAAATACCATACATCAAGGGAGTGTTAACGAGATCTTTACTACCATGAATTTCCTTTAAAAATGTAATCCCATTAGAAACTATGTAAAATGGTTTATTTCCAGGCATACAGGTAGCATGATACTGGAGGATGAACATATAGGTAAATTAGAGTCAGAAAGAACTGGGTTTAAATTTCAAATCTACGATGTATTCACCACGCGGCCTTGCAAAAGCCACTTGTCATCCTGAGCCTGTCTCCTCCTGGTAATGTGGGGATGATGAAGAATGGAGAAGACTTAAATAAAAGCACAGCACAGTGCCAAGCACACAGTAGGTCTTCATAAATGACAGGTATTGTTATGCGCTCCCATGTTACTTTACTTACCATGGAAAGTCTATTTTGATTATAGACTTGACTAAGTAAAGAATCCAATTTCTAAAGAATGAAGCTAAAAAAAAAAAAAAAAAGGAATGAAGCTTATCGATACAGAACCAGAAGGCAATAAGTACAACTGCATGACTGGAAAATTCTATTCCATCACCACTGGTCAAAAGAAGTGAATCAGCATTCACATTTCTCTGGTAGGGGCAGTGGAGGAAGAATATGCTCATCTTGCAGAAACTATTTCCCACATGCCATCCTAGCACCATGTCTCTATGTGTCCATATGAAAAGAAGAGATTAATTTCTATGCCACTTAGTTTTACTTATTGTTTATTTTCAAAAATATCAAACCTACAGAAACAAACGATATAGCATTGAATACTGATAACTCTCCACCTACATTCACCAAGAATTAATATCTTCTCAAATCCCCTCTCTCTCATACACACACGTACACACACATGCTTTCCTTTTACCAAACTATCCAAAACTGGACTTAAGACCTTGTGAAATTTCACCCTAAGTAATCCAAAAGGCATCTCTCAAGAATAAACACCTTCTCCTATCCAGTCACACCTTTAAAAAAGGAAAGGGTGATTCAATACCATCATCCAACATACAGTCCACACTCACATTTCCCCGATTGTCTCAAAAATGTCCTTTATAGCCATTTTGTTTGTTTCGATATGGAATCCGACCAAGTTTCATTCACTGCAATTGGCTGTTATTTCTGCTTGGTCTCCCTAATCTGAAACAGTTCCTGCACTTAGCTCTGTACTTCATGACATTCTCCTTGGCAGCATCGAAGCCACTCTTCCCAGGGGCTTCAGGTATCCTCCTACCGCATCACATCAGGACTCCCACCATTAGTGACGCCAAACCTGACCACTTCATTAAGGTCACGGCCAATCTCTACATTGCAAAAGCACAGAGAATACTGTGCTAACATCAACAGCCTCTCATCCAATAGTTTTCACATCCATCCTGAATCAGTTGATTACATTAAGGTTATAACATGAGGAGTTTCTAATTCTCTAACTCCTTCTATATTTGTTATCTGGCATGTTCCTATAAAGCAGAGCTTTCCCCTCCCTGCTCCAGCCCAACTCTCATCACTGTGGACTCATATGGGTTTTTTTAATGTACTTATAATCCATGATCATTAATATTCTTTATTGATGTTCCAACCATCCCAAGTTTGACCAGTGAGAGACCATGTCAGCCAATGTCCTGGCAAGCCCTCAGCTCTCCTTCCATACTTCCTTGCTTTTGGTGCAATAAAGGATCTCAGGCTCGCCATTTCTCTCATGGTTTCTTCTAGTGGAAAGAGAAATTCAGAAACGAAGATCTGGGCATGAGAGATGCTCATAATGGCTGGGATGGCACAGCTTCTACGCTCTTCAGCTGATACAACTAGAAAAGTGAGAGAGAGAGAATGTGTGCGTATTGGGATGGCACAGCTTCTAGGCTCTTCAGTTGATACAACCACAACAGTGAGAGAGAGAGCGTGGGTGTATTTTAACATGACTTCATACTGATACTTTCAACTCAAATCCAGTACCTCACATTCCTCATATTTATGTCTCCTTCCACAGTGAAAATGTTGGTGTCCAACACATCAATTCACTTAGTTGCTCATTTACTCTCTCCTAAATAAACACAAAATAGTTTCAGAATGTCATCAATATCCCTACCGACATAAGCCTACTTAAAAAAGTTCAGTATTTCTTTATCCTTATTGTCGTCATTAGACTATATGTGGTGTGAGTATAACTTTTTAAATCTAGGACTCTGGCAAGCTTACAATAAAAAATTTTTAATGATTCTGTTAATCATAAAATAAGCTTGTTCTCTTAAAATGCGAATGCAAGGTAAAACCTATATATATATAAAATATATACACATTATCAAACTATTAAAAATTAGCTTTCCCATTAAATTTTACTGTACCTGTGGTATTTAAAAAGGTAATGTTAAGCTTCTGTAAATCAATATTAAAGAACATTTAAAAACTACACTTCCTTTTTCCATTAAAACAATAGATCACTATTTCCAAGAAAAAAAAATTAAAATCTTTTTCAATATACATGTGATTTTCTTTAAATGATCTTCATACAATTGATATATTTTATCTATACTTCAACATTATTTCACAAGAAAAAAGTAGAATTGTTTCATTTAAAATGGAAATTTATTCTTCCTATAAAACACAAACCTGGCTGGACGCGGTGGCTCATGCCTGTAATCCCAGCACTTTGGGAGGCCGAGGTGGGTGGATCACGAGGTCAGGTGATCAAGACCATCCTGACTAACACGGTGAAATCCTGTCTCTACTAAAAATACAAAAAATTAGTTGGGCGTGGTGGCGGGTGCCTGTAGTACCAGCTACTCAGGAGGCTGAGGCAGGAGAATGGCATGAACCTGGAAGGCAGAGCTTGCAGTGAGCCGAGATTGTGCCACTGCACTCCAGCCTGGGCGACAGAGCAAGACTCAGTCTCAAAAAAAAGAAAGAAAGAAAAGAAAAAAAAAACCACAAATGTGTCCTTCAGCCTTCCATCGTATTGAAGCAGTGAAGCCGATTTGGGTGCTACCTTATTGGGTAGCACCCCTGCCCTGCCGTAACCTTGGTAAGAACTGTAAGTATTTTTGATGGCTACTCTTCCGCAAGGTTTTCAAGCACGCGTGTCCACCACACAGATTCAGTGACTGCGTTTGACAAATTCCCATCCCTCAACAAGATCAGGCCTTTGCCACCCTTGCATTCTACTTTCAACAAATATACAATCTATATTATGGGTTAAGGATACCAGACTATTATTTCCTCTTCTCCACTGCTATCTATGATGGTACAGATTCCTGAAGCCAAGACCACATTGGTTTTGATTTAAACTTTGACCACAAGGCATTGAATATCCACATGAAAATTGTCAAATTTTGTCAAATACACCATTATGTTTATTTCTATATAATGTTAAACATTTGGATAATTTTTATTTAGTGATATCAGAGAGAGAGGCATCCTAAAGCCTGGATCCGAAATAAAAGGATTGAAATTAAGAATATGAGATTTGAAAACCAACTGCATGTTCTAGCTCTAGAATTTTTTTCTGAAGCTGTTGCACGGCTTCCTCCTCGAACATATTTCTTAACGTGATAGCGAACACTTTGTTATGAAGGGGGCAACATGGAAGAGCAGCCAGCGTACTTCATGGGTTTCTCAGACGGTGGGCGACACCCTCACCTGTGCTACCACTGCTGTCGCTTTGGGAAATGACCAATGTCAATATCCCTAACTGCCACCAAAAAAAGATCAGTGTATCTCTACCTCACCCAGTGACCTTATGCCACTGTCGGTCTTAAAATGGCAAAAAAAAAGGAAGGTAGAAAGCTGTCCTGAAGAAAGACGCTGGTGTGAGCATTCTCCTCCGAGGATAAAGACAACCAAATGTGAGGGAGTAAAAATAGGTCGGGTGGACCAGCAGGGAAAAGGAAGAAAGTATACAGCAGGCACGTGAGAGGGAGACAGGATGAGCCATCAGGAGGGAAAGGAAGGTGGAAGGCAAGGGGGAAAGAACAATTAACTGGAAGAAAGACAGGTTCCTTATTTCCCCACCTCATGCCTCATCCACATGCTCCCCCCAGACAACGGTCCAGCCAGGCCAACTTCTCAGCCATCTGCTGTCTATCCTTAATAAGCTTCACTCATTCCACTTTTGTAATTGTGGTGAAAGACACCTCATATTAAATTTACCATCGTAACCATTTCTAAGTGTACCGCTCAGTAGTGGTAAGTACATTCACACTGATGTACGATCAATCTCCAGCAATTTTTCACCTTGCAAAACTGAAACTCTGCATCCTTTAAACAGCAGCTCTTCATCCCCTCTTCTCCTCAGCCCCTGGAAATCACCGTTCTACCTTCTGTCTCTATGAATTTCACTACTCTAGGAACCTCGACTCAGTGGAATTACATAGTATGTGTCTGTTTGTGGCTGGCTGATTTCTCATAGCATCATGTCCTCAAGGTTCATCCCTGTTGTAGCAAGTGACAGAATTTCCTTCCTTTTTAAGGCTGAATACTATTCCATTGCACAGATAGACCACATTCTGTCTACCTGTTCACCTGTCAACGGGCACGTGGAGCTATTGTGAATACTGCTGCTGTGAACATGAAGTGTGCGTTACTCATTTTTAACAACCTCCTTCAGAATGGGCAGCGCTTCCTCTTTCTTCATATGATTTTTTGGGGGAAAAAAAGTACTTCTGTACTGAGCAAGAGATCCACAGAATCTAAAACAATGAAGAGAAATATTTGTTTCACTGATTCCCCAATCCACCTAGATACCCAAGACCTGATTTAGCTGAAGCTTCTAAATATCCATCCTGAAATCAGCCTTTCCTGGGGCTCTTAATTGCCTTGTGATTCAGATCTAGTGAGTCATCTTCCTGCCCAGGACACAAACAATGGGCAAAAAGAAGCTGACACACACTGGCTCTCGGTCTTAAAAATACCTCTTTATTACACATTCCCTCTGAGTCATAAAAACAAACTCCTTCTCTAGTAGATTTTACATTGGACATATTTATACTTTTATGACTCAATCCAATTTTATTTATATATACATACGTATACATGTGTTTATATATGTTTTTAGATACACACATATACATATATTTGCACACAGACAGTTTTGTTCTCTGTCTATACTTTTCAAGCTGAAGTCCAATTTGCTGATTTTTCAAGGGGATTTTCCACTGCAATACACACACAAATATATGTTCACAACTACATGTGATAAATTTGCCTGTGCAGTTAAGGGAGCCATGTTTCAGAGTGGAGGTGTGTACACATTGAAATAAGAAACTACTTCAGAAGCACCCTCAGTTTTCTTTTGAATAAAACAGACGCAATAAATTGGCCATCATAAACCAAGGAAATAAGGGTCAGGTGGTGAGACACTGACCTTCTAAAACTGTGCTAAACATTTCAAGTCACTTAAAAAGGCCAGGTAACCTTTTAAATGACCTTGGCCTTTACTAAAGGGTGGAGACATGGCCTTCTCATCAAGTGACACACGCAGAATAAGAAATAAGATTGGCAGGTTCATCTTCCCAGTCTAAATAATCTCACCATCGCTTTCCTTCAAAGATTCTAAATTTCAGCCAGACTTGTGCCTTGACCCAACCCAAGCACTCAACGCCCTTTCTCCTGCTAGAATGTTCTCTTTGTTTTGTTTTGTTTTTGAGACACAGTCTCACTCTGTCGCCCAGGCTGGAGTGCAGTGGCGCGATCTGGGCTCACTGCAAGCTCCGCCTCCCGGGTTCACACCATTCTCCTGGCTCAGCCTCCCGAGTAGCTGGGACTACAGGCACCTGCCAACACGCCCGGCTAATTTTTTATTTTTTGTATTTTTAGTAGAGACGGGGTTTCACCATGTTAGCCAGGATGGTCTCGATATCCTGACCTCATGATCCGCCCACCTCAGCCTCCCAAAATGCTGGGATGACAGGCGTGAGCCACCACGCCCGGCCTGCTGTTCTCTATTTCCTGTCCCTTCCTCTCTAAATCCTTTCCACTGACTAAGCTTCCTACAGGAAGCCCTTATTTTTTTTTTTTTTTTTTTTTTTTTTTGAGACAGACTCTCGCTCTGTCACCCAGGCTGGAATGCAGTGGTGCAGTCTTGGCTCACTGCGCCTCCCCAGGAAGGTGAAGCTCCTGGTGAGCTCGGCTCACCTCCACCTCCCCAGGAAGCCCTTCTTGATACCCTCCACAAGTAGGCATGGATCCTCCCTCCCCTAACCTCCTCCTTTACGGATCCCAACTAGATAGAGGGTATGTTGTGAATTATCACCATGCCTCATCCCCACCCCCCCATCACTGCCCACCTGACACACACATGCATGCACCAGCCTCTGCTCCATAAAATCAATACCACCAGTGGTGTCCAGGGAGCGACACGGGTCTGTCCACGCCACACCTTACTGATATATAAAATGAGAGATCCCTGTCTTGCTTCCCACTCCACAGGTTCAAGAGCAGCAGAAACGATGCTGGAAAGGGATGCAACTGGGCAGTGCAGGGAAGGGACATGCAGGAGCTGAAGAGAAAAGGCTGTGCTTTTTAATCCTGCGCGCTTGTCACACACGGGAAAGAACAGGCTTCAGAACACGGGACAGAACAGGCCGGCTGTTTTCATATAAGTCAAATTACCGAGTCAGACAGAAAAACAAACCCACAGATATCTGTCAATCAAACGAGGCCATAATTGCTATGTGAGGCTGCTTTTTTTTGTTGTTTGTTTCTGTAGATTTGAGGTCATATATTAACACATTAATTGGCATTTTGGTCATAATTATCGTGTAGTAAGCCGTTGATTACATGGTTGCATTTTGAAATTTTTAATTGGTTTGTTTCAATTGATAAAAGGTAATTTGTTCGGGGATGATGTTTAGAGTTATGTATTTAATATCACTGAATAGATAATTAATATAATGCAGCAATAGTAAACAATGACTATGGTAATTATCATCGAAGTGCACATATTTGTACAAATATGACAGACTGATTTTCTCTCTCGAGTTGTGTTGGTCTCTGCTCAGAGCCGGTGCACTGTGTCACTTTATTCATAGATGTAATTAGCAGCATCTCTCTCACCCACTTCCTTCAATTTGAAAAGAGCCGAGAATATAGGACAAAGGACATCCTAGAAGCCACGAGGCACTGTACTTTTCCCTCACTGCCGATTACCCCCTTAGAACTTCTCTGCATTTTCAGTCAGCTCTCGGCATTCCTGTAGTTTCAACTGAACCTTTTTATTAAAGTGTTCCTGGGTCATTAGGACACTTTTTCCCCAATCCAACAGAGCAACTGCAATCCCAGTGTAAGAAAGCCTCCCTTGGTGGTTTAACTAAATTCAGGAGGAAAAAACAGCACTTACCAGCAACTATTTGTAAATTGACAGATAAAGTTGGCCAAAAAAAAAAAAAAAAAACCACCTTAGTGTTTATAAAATCTGCTCTCCGGGAGCTCAGAGCGCTGTGCCCTACAGCACAAATATACCGTCCCATGTGCCACAAACTAGTGCTTCTCAAATATTAGTCATTTCCATACCACCTTTGTGGTTTCTGCCAACTGTGCTATTATTTACGTATTTCATGGAAACCACTATATGTACATGCATTTATTTTCTAAAGAGAACTCCATACCACCACTACAAATGGACAGCCTGTGACTGTCCACAGACAGAAGGTAGACACACAATTAATACAGTGAAAACCAAACAATGTTATTAAAACGTTAGCCTGCCCAATGTTTCCCTTCTCTCTCTGCAAAAAGGGGAAATTGGCAAGTATCACGAGGTGGCGATGTAAGTTGTAATAAGGTGCGACCTTCTCCCTTCAATCAGCACAGGCCCTGGAGGGGCCTGGGCAGGGAGGGCAGCAGGACAGAAGTTGCATAAAGAATTTCTCAGCCGGGCGCGGTGGCTCACGCCTGTAACCCCAGCACTTTGGGAGGCCGAGGCGGGCGGATCACCTGAGGTCGCGGAGTTTGAGACCAGCCTGGTCAACACAGTGAAACCCCATCTCTACTAAAAATACAAAAACTTAGCTGGGCATGGTGGTGGGCACCTGTAATCCCAGATACTTGGGAGGCTGAGGCAGGAGAATTGCTTGAACCCGGGAGGCGGAAGTTGCAGTGAGCCGAGACTGTGCCATTGCACTCCAGCCCAGGCGACGAGAGCAAAACTACGAATAAAAAAAAAAAAAAAAGTTAGCCAGGTGTGGTGGCATGTGCCTATAATCCTACCTACTTGGGAGGCTGAGGCAAGACAATCACTGGAACCTGGGAGGCAGAGGTTACACTGAGCCAAGACTGAACCATTGCACCCAGCCTGGGCGACAGAGTGACACTATGTCTCAAAAAAAAAAAAAAAAATTTACCAGCGACACACACAATCGCCAGATCCTCCACCCCTCACTCGGACTCATCGGAGTTGTCCTACCTTCTCCAGTTCTGCATGTCTTTAATTACTTCTCAACAAGTTATGATTTTTTTTTTTTTTGAGACAGAGTTTCCTTTTTTTTTTTTTTTGCGACAGGGTCTCACTCTTTCACCCAGGATAGAGTGCAGTAATGAGATCTTGGCTCACTGCAGCCCTGACCTCCTGGGTTCAAGCAATCCTCCTGCCTCGGCCTCCCAAAATGATTACTTGTTAAATATAACTAAATTCCCGTTTTTTTTTTTTTAAGATGAAGTCTCACTCTCTTGCCCAGGCTGAAGTGCAATGGTGCGATCTCAGTTCACTGCAACCTCTGCCTCCCAGGTTCAAGAGATTCTCCTGCCTCAGACTCCCAAGCGGCTGGAATTGCAGATGTGCACCACCATGCCTGGCTAATTTTTGTATTTTTAGTAGAGATGGGGTTTCATCATGTTGGCCAGGCTGGGCTGGAACTCTTGACCTCAAGTGATCTGCCTGCCTCAGCCTCCAAAGTGCTGGGATTACAGGCATGAGCCACCGTGCCTGGCCTAAATTCCTATTCCTAATTTTAAAAACAACATTTTCCCTTTCTCATAAAAAAAAAAAAAAGAAAAACTCTTCAGCCCTGATCTAAAAATTAAAGCAGGGTGCATTATATGAAGGGATACATTTTAACATACTTCTGAATGGATCACATTAGTTAAGAAGGTTCATCCCACCCATCCTTGCGTTTCCAGAAATAGAATATTATCTGTAACTCTTATCTAAAAAGATGTCTCCTTTCCGGCTGCAGAGCCGAGAGGAGCCCTTTCTGCCCACTGCCTCCGAGTGCTCGCTTTGCCAGGCTGGGGTCTCACGTCAGCCCCACGGCTGTGCCCGCAATGGAGTCACTTTGGACTGTGGCCAAGTGCACAGGTACGGGCAGCAACACCTCAAACCATGGGAGACTCGCTTCCCCTTTCCGGTCCCTCTAAAGTCGTTTTCCCGCTCTTTGGAGTTTCGCATCAGTCTGAGGAACACGGTTGTTGTGGTCCGGGGTCTCTGCACTGCTCAGAGTCGAAGGGCGGTGAACTCGCTGGAGTGACAGTCCAGAGAAACGGTGACCTGTCTCCGAGCCCCTGGGACGTGGGGGGTGCCACAGATGCTAGGAGAATGCAGGAATCCTCCAGGCAGCATGGGCTTCCCTGCCTGTGAGCTGGTGGTTGAGCACCCTTCTCGTTACAGCCTTTCCATGCAGATGGCCATGCCAAGAGCAGTGCCAGGCATCAAGAGGTGGCAGACTGTCCCCAGGACAGCCCCATGGCCCCTGCCTCCTGTTCTCATGCCCTGTGTGACCCCTTCTACCCTGTACACGGTTGGTTGGCGTCACCCGTAGGAGACAGAGTGTGTCACTTCCCAGGCAGGGTTATATAAAGACACTGTGACTTTCACTCATTCCTGGACCACACGCCTTGGGAGAAGTCAGCCACTACGTTGTGAGGACATGGGGACAGAGGTGGTGAGGCCTACGTGGTGAAGGTCTGAGGCCTCCTGCCAACAGCTGATGACTGAGCTGCTGCGGAAGCTGACCCTCCACACTCCCTAGGCTCGGTGGCCAGCCCCTTTGCTGGGGTCAGAGCCACATTCCCATCTTGCTCCAGGATGGATCGCCGGTTCCTTGAATCCAACACATGCAACACTGAGCATGTCACATCCTCCAGGCCTGCTCCTTCTCATCTACTCTGGCTCAAACCTGAGGACCCGTCAGACCCTCTCTCCCACTCGTGCCACATCCAGACAGCACCGGGCCCTGCTGACATTCTGCTCTCTGTGTCCCTTACATTTGTCACCTGATTTCGACTCTCACTGCAACCGGCACTCATCTGTACCTGGGAAGGGCCACCTCGCCTCTGCCGGTAACCCAACAAGGCCCCAGCTGGCGTCCCAGCTTCCAGAAACCATCTACCACAGGTCTGTGAGTAGCTTTTTAAACAATAGTGTGAATGTGCCAAGACCCTACTTTAAAACTTCCAATGGCTCCCTTTTGCAAATAGGTTTTGCAAACCTTTCAGCAAGCCCTTCCAGGCTAAGATAAAGCCCCACCTCTCCTTCCAGCTGAACGCTATGTCCAGCGTCTGCTCCAGCCCAGGGCTCCTAAGGAGGCTCAGACCAGCGCCACGCCCAGAAAGTGTGATTTCATCAGTATGCAGCAGTATTTTTTTTTAAAATAACACCTTCACTGAGATATAATTCACATACCATACAACTGACCCATTTAAAGTATACAATCCGATGGCTTTTAGTCTATTCAGAAAGTTGTACAACCGCCGCCACATTCCATTTCAGAACACTGTCATCACCCCCAAAATACCCCTGGTACCTGCATCCAGCCACTCCTAGTTTCCTCGAAACCCCCAGCCCTCGGCCCTCAGCAGCCACTCACCTGCTTCCTGTGTCTGGATTTCAGGCAGCAGCTGTTTTACTCACAGTTCTCTACCGATGCAAGAGCATCCCAGGGAGAGAACCTCTGGCCAGACGAGACCTCACCCTGCTTTTGCTCACAGTTTCACCCTTCTGGGGATGTCTTTCTTTTATTTCTGTGTTTAAAATTCTACCCACACTGCAAAGTACACTTCAAATACAACCTCCTCCATTAAACCTTCACTCTCTCTTCTCTTCCTCAGTTTACTCTAACATCACCCAAATAGCTAGGGGAAAAAAAACCCAAAGCAAATATGGGTTCTTCCTTTACGATCGCACCATTCTTTGCTGCTCTAGGGTTATGTGGTCATGCTTGTTTTGTTCTGGTCCAAACCACACACTCCTGGACAGCAGGAACCATTTCTAACTCAGCTCTGAATCTGCAGTGACTACAGCGCACTGTTTGCATGTAGTAGGTACTGAAAGTATATACTCCAAATACATAAATATACGGTCTGTTTACAAATTTTCTCCACTGTTACAGATTTCAAATTGGAGGACACGCTCCCGTCCTCTCCACCCACACCAAATCCTTGTTTTTTTCCCTTAATAATAGTAATGATGAAACAATGATATTGAATAAGCTTTCAAGTTACAATGCCAAAATCATTACACACACACACACACGTGCAGATGCGGGTGTATGTACATCTGTGTGTGTATGTGTGTAATTTTTAAATTTTCACTGCAGTGAGCCAGGACAGTTATACAATAAGCCATGTATAATTATTAATCCACCATCATTCGGGAGGCACCATGTCTTACACATTTCAGGGAAACCACTTGCCAAGAATAATTTTTATATTGAAGGATTTTGAAAGTGAACAGGTCACAGGGTCACATCATCAGAATGTATAAACATCAAAAGTACAAGAAGGCCACCCGCCCCGTGGATGGAGTGCTCACAAACACGCCTCTTCAGAGGATGCCTGCTTGCAGGGCCGGGCAGTAGAAAATGAATTATGCAGGCGGCAAGCAACCTAAAAAATCAGATGGTACACTCTTCAGGCTAAAACACAGCCTGAATCAACAAGCGAGATGCTGCCTTAACATGGATTAAACACACTTGAAAATCATATACGGTCATTTCACAAAGAGCCTTATCTAACCGAAATGTCTTATTCCATCCTTTATCAGTTGGCCTTTCTTTTCTAATGCAAAGCTATTCTTCGTATGAATTATTTTATTCCTATTGTTTGTCTTAAGGAAGGAAAAGCTGATCCCCACATAGAACAGGTGCTCCGATCGGACGGTTCTCGCCTCGCACTGCATAGGCCCTGCCTGTCCCTGGAGTTTGACTCAGCTCCGCCAGTGAAAAATTAGACTTCATTTCAGTATGCTAATAGCAATCTCTCCAAAACAATGTAATCAAGGCCTCATGTGCACCTATAATTTCATCCTTGACATAAGCCTGACAGCTATTTATTGTCTGAAAGGAAAAGCAGGGAGAGGCGGGGGGAGGGGAAAGGAGACTCCTACATGCCCCCTCCCCCAAAACGAGCCCAGCAGCTTTATGTTTGAAGGCAGAGTCTTTGCAAAGTCCAAAAAAATGGCAATAATCATGGGGTTTACATGTGTCTTGTCTTAAGCAATCAAGGCACAGAGTTAACAGAGAAGCACAGTCAGATGTGCCAATCCCCCAACTGCCCACCTCTGATGAGCCAGCTGTGAGCCGCAATTGTCACATTATAATTTAGGCAAAGAGAAAAAAAAAGGCATGAGATACACACTGGATCAACATAATTATTCACAGCAGGATGCTGCAGAATTAATTTAGCCAATCAGAATTATACTTGGGGGTTGGGCACATTGCAGAGATCAAGGAAAAAAAGCAGGGAGAGGGAAGGGGGAGGAGGGGGGGAAGCGCTGTTTTCAACACCTTACTGGTATTTGGATAATCTGATCTTGAATATATTTTGAATACATGTACGTGCAATGTTGGTTCTGTTTCATCTATTTACAAACACCTATACAACACTGATGGCGTGCCAGTCACCAGTCTAAGCGCTTCACAAATATTAACTTACGTCATCCTCACGGACTCTGAGGTAGGTACTACTATTACGCTGGTTTTAGGTACTGAAACTCAGAGAGGTTCAAAAACTTGCCAAGGTCACACACCTAGGAGGTGGCAGAGCCAAACACTGAACCCAGGCAGACTGGCTCCAGAGGCTATTAACAAGCATGGCTTAACAGTTCTCGCTCCTAAACAAAGCAATTTGCAATATGAAGACACACTACGACTAGCGATATGCACCTAACCTAGAACATGGCACCACGAGACTTCACCGCTCCTATGTTCCTTTAACCTGACTTTCCTAAAGATGGTGGCGATCCGGCCCTGCTAAATCCGGTCACTATACTATAGGGTTGTTCACTTCCCTGTCTGGGTACTGTTACCACCAGACTTCACAAATGGGAAAAGCAAGCCACCATCCCACGAGCCTCACGAGGCTCTGTGATTCACCACAGAACATCCTCAACAGGAGTGGCGTCTTGGTCTCCCCTGCTTCTTGACACGGACTTCCTATAGAAAAGCAGCAGACAAGAATCTACAAAATCGATGAGAAAGAAAGAAAAAGTCGGCTGCTCCAAGAATAAGAATAAGGTTTGAGGAAGAGTTAGAGGTCACATTAAAACAACTTTTTGTCTGGATATGTATCTGAAGAGTCAGGTTTGCAGTGACGCAAAATGGTGCTTGCCCTTCCCATGGGCACAGGGTGATTGGAAACGAAAGTGGCCCTCTTGCTTGGAATTCTGTCATGAGGGTAGATATCAGAGGAGCCAGAAGGAGCCCTGATTTCCTTGCAAAAGTTAGACTTCAGCTTGCATTTGCTGCTTCTGGTAACGGGGAAAATGACAGGGAGCGACCCGGGGTTTTATGTCTGGCAATAATGTTTGATCTATGCCATTGTCGATGAGAACTGCGATTTAATCCATAAGGATATAGAGCCTCGTGATGAAAGGGGAATAACGACAAATCCTGATTAACAATCGCTGCGACACTAAAGCAGGTTACCATAGTAACGGGGCTGAAATTATACAACAAACTGGGATGCCATACCAGGCAAATTACTCCGTGAAGGGACCCTTTTCTGAAAGCATTTGGCTTTCTGTGTTCTCTTAAAATTAAGATGCCAGCATTTTACTTTCAACGGGTATCAGCCTCCCTCTCTTTTTTCTAAACACTCCCTCTTCACTTGGTCTCGGGTGATGTGAGGGATAAGTACATGTGCACAGGAAATGCAGCAAACAATTAAGCACATTTCAGCTCCTCTTTCCCCGTGAAAGAAGAGGACAAACCAAAACGACGGTGCAGGGAATCCTCCTTTCATCCCATTCTTTGGATAAAAATTACGCTTAATTCTTTGATGGAGGGAACTGGGGAAGTCAAAGCATGCCCCAGTGAAATCTTCTACTTCTTACTCCACATAACAAAGTTATCTGGATTTATGGGGAAATGGAGCAAAATAAAGGATCAGGGTGGGAACTGGGAAAAGGAAGGTGCTTTCTTTGTTCTGAAGAATGTTTAATTTTCAATTAGAGTTTTTGGAAATAAAAACATGGTTTAAAGTATTATTTTCTAATAGTTACTCAAAATAATTTCAAAAACCAGGCAATAAGTGAATCTGCATTGGAAAACATCACTTTAAAACTATTATGGCTATTATCGCAACTGACTTTGGCAGTTCCTTTACAAAATAGATCTTATCAAATAGTCCGGGAAAAATCTACTACATTTAAGCATCACACTCACTGTCTTCTTTCAATTGCAGAGGACATTAAAAACAAACAGAAGTCAGAGTTGTAAATAACCTCCTAAAGAGACTAAAGATTGGAGGGAAGGTTAAAGAAATTCAGACACTGCAGATATTTAATATTCCTCCTTCCAGGAGAGGGGAAAAATCAGAGCTTCACCTTTGTCAGAAATGCTACTGCTCTGAAAACCACATTTCCCTAGAGATTGATCCATGGCTTTCCACTTAAACCACTGAAGGGCAGTGCAGCCTAGAGGACAGAACACGGATTTAGAAGCAGAAGCCCTCAGGTGCCATCTCCATCACTTGCCAGCTCTAAGACCGCAGTCCAGACAGTCCTCTGGGTCTTGGTTTCCTCTCCTGGAAAATGGGAATCCTATTACCTACCTCGTTGGCCTAGAGAAGTTTCTGAGATAACTAGGGAAACACTGTACATAAGGGCCAGGCACGGTGGCTCATGCCTGTAATCCCAGGAGTTTGGGAGGTCAAGGTGGGTGGATCACCTGAGGTCGGGAGTTGCAGACCAGCCTGACCAACATGGAGAAACCCCGTCTCTACTAAAAACACAAAATTAGCTGGCCGTGGTGGCAAAGGCCTGTAATCCCAGCTACTCGGCAGTCTGAGACAGGAGAATCGCTTGAACCCAGGAGGCAGAGGTTGCGGTGAGCCAAGATCGCGCCATTGCACTCCAGACTGGGAAACAAGTGCGAAACTCCATCTCCAAACAAACAAACAAAAAAATCCTGAAAATTGGGAGAGTACTGATGGTTAAACAACTGCTAAATCTCGTGATCCAGTCATCAACATTGACTGAGTGCCTACTACCAGCTAGGCACAGTGCAACCACGGTAATCCTAGAACCCCATTTTCACCTGGCAAAAAACCTGCTGCCAAGTTTTGTCTCTAGCAAATTCTTATTGGCATTTTATGCCAGGTCAAAAGAAGAAAGCAAACTAAATTAAAACAAAAAAAAAAAAAGCAGGCATTTGTCAAGAGGTGAGTTCCTTCACTCTGGTCCCATTTATCTGTGTATCTTTCAGAGGTCTACTACAGCATTGACTGCATTAAAATTAGGATACAAATTATGTGCACAGCAGAAGCCAGAAGGCTGGGATGTGACTCCATGCATGCTTAGCTCTAAGGCTTCTGTGTGTTCTCTGAGTGGGTTTCTTTGTCTCTGCCATAACTATCCCCGCACTTCTAGTGGTTAGATGAAGCAGGAGGGGAGATGGCTGGGCCTGTGTGGGTGACAATGTATGTCTTGTGCATTGGAGTGCGTTTTCCTTTCTGGTGCCAGGCTTCTTGGGTTCAAACCTCAACTCATCCTTGATCAGTTGTGTGCTATCACACAAGTCATGGAAACTTTTCTAGGTCTGCTTCCTCACCTCTGAAGTGGGGAAATGGCAGTTGCACAGGCCTCCCGACGGTGATGTGAGGATTATAAGGCGTGAGGGGCGAGGCACACAGAACCAGGCCTGGCACAGGGTAAGCACTCAGTATAACGTCCACTCCCATTTCTGTGGGTGTTCAGAACCCAGGGTCTACGCTGGTGGCCAGTGGATGACAGATGAATTTCCTTTGGTGAGCGCAGGGTTTGTTGGATTTGAGTGCCTTTGGACAGAACAGGCCCTCTACAACTCACTGCATCTGCCCATCACCTTTTCTTATGTTACACCAGTATTTGCACAGCCCCCAAAAAGGACTTCCGTTTGCCTGCCTTGCATATATTCATCTTTAGGTGTATGGCTCGTTTTGTCTGTGTCTCACTCTGAGTCCTTGATTTTTTTTCTTTATTACTGTGAAGTCTCCGAGTGTGTCTGTGTCTGTGATCTTTCTCTTTCCTTCTCTTTTTCATCCTCAATCACTCATTTCTATTTTTAGCCATTAGATAGATTTATGTCCCTGTTCTTATTTTTTTAAAGCAAAGTAGAACGTACTTCTCTCTTAAAGGAGTTAAGCTTCTTTTTAGTCAGTTGATCTTGACTCATTTTTCCTGTGCACTGGTAACTTCTGATAGAAAATGTGCTCTCTCCATCCCTGCTGCAGAAAAATCCAAATTATAAAATAGAGAAACCGAGAAATTATGCATATTACACAACAGTTCATGTAGGGGTTGTATGTTTGTTCATTTGCTTGTAATATCAGGCCCTTGGTATGCTAAAACGTGAATTTATTATAGGCCATCAAATTCCAAATCTCGTAGATCAAGGTAAAGCTAAACATTTATGGCAAATGCCTGAAATGTGAAAACCAATCAAAAATAAAAATAGGAAATCTTTGTAAAGCTATGCAAATGATGGGGTTCAGGACATGCTACCTGAAAATATGGCACTGTGGCATTCAAGAAAGCAGCAGAAGCAGGAAGGCTACTCTATGCCCTTTTCCTGCCCTTCTCCCCTATGGCAGGTCATAAGATTCTCATTGGTGAAGTGCCCTCCCTGTAACTGGAGGAAGGAACAACCACATCTATGAATACACAGGGACACAGAGAAGAATCAGAACCAACAGGACTTGCTGAGTATCCCTCTGTTTATCACCATTAGCTCACTCCTCCTTTGTCTAATCACACCACACTCCTCCACATCTGTCCTCTCTTCATCAAACCTAAGCATACAATACACAGGTTTCCCTGTTTCCCTCGCTCTTCATTTCGGAAGGCTCCCGTGTCGCAGAAAACTTGCATCAGATAAATGTATACTTTTTTCCTGTTCATCTGTCTTTTGCTATAGATGACTCAGCCAGAAACCCAGCGATGGGTAAGAACAGAAATCTTCTCTCCCCTACACAAATAAAATATGGGCACTTTACACACAACACTGAGGAAAACAATCCTTCTCTACTTCTTACACTCAGGACACTTTCAGCAACACCTGTGCCAATCACTATTCACAATAGCAAGGATATAGAAATAACCTCAATGTCCACCACCAGATGACTGGATAAAGAAAATGTGGTGTATATACATATACATACATACAGTGGACTACTACTCAGCCAAGAAAAAGAATGAAATCAAGCAATATGAATAGAACTGGTGGCCATTATCTTAAGTGAAATAACTCAGAAACAAAGTCAAAGACTGTATGTTCTCACATGTAAGTGGCAGCCAAATAATGTGTATACATGGACATAGAGAGTGTAAAAACAGATATCGGGGACTTGGGAGGGTGGAAGCAGGATGAGGGATGAGAAATTGCTTAATGGATACAATGCACACTGTTTGGGTGACGGCTACAGTAAAGCCCAGGCTTCACCACTACGCAACAGATCCATGTAACAAAACTGCACTTGTCCCCCGCCCCCGAATTTAGTATAAAAAATAAGTGAAAATAAAGATCATGAGAAGTGGTTTAAAACATGCTATTTTTAAAACAAGAATCATTTAAAATTAAGAATATTGCTTTATCATTCCAATATTCAAATCAGTGCTTTTATTATTCACAGATTACATGTTCTTAAAATAGATTAGCAAATCTGGCCCACTTTACATCATAACATTCTCAGATTCTTTCTGATGAAATATCAACAGTGAAAAATTCACAAAACATCAGAAACTCAAACCTCAGTATTCTTCGGCATTTTCCACTCAAATACAAGAAATTCAAATTGATCCTTCTAATGGGATAGTAATGAAAGCCTTTAAAATAACAGAATCTTAGATCTCAAAAGAACAGACTGGCCTAATGTAACACCCAACACAGAGGTCTACTCCTCAGGGACTGAGACTGACAGCACCCAGCCTCTACCTGTGTATTTCTGGGGACAAGGAGCTCTAGGGCCACCTGTTTCTGGTAGCTAGCTCTGCTGCTGTGAGTCTTGCTGCTGCTGCTGCTGCTATCATTTTAAGAGTGAATCCAAATCACTCTCACGGAATTTTCCACCCTTTGGCCTTAGTTCTGCACTAGCACAGTTGTACTAAGATAAGGGGAGTGGTTTTGCAAGTGGCTTTTACCCAGATAAAATTGTGAAATAAATCAACAGCGAGCAACCTCTTTTTCCAAGGATGATTCAGGAAGAAAAAAATAAATGTGTTTAGAGTCTTCTATTCCATTCAAAATGCAAATAACTTAATTTAGTCCCATGGGAAAATAGGAAATATTCTTGCAATTCAGATCACCCACTACATTGAATAAAAGAATGTCACTGAAAAGACTGACATATTTGAGAAGTAGAGACATGAAAGCAGCCGTCTTATTTCTTATCCTGGCAAAGGAACAAAGAATGTATTTTGAAAACTGGTGGGCTGTGTGTGTCCCGTGGGCCAGAATGCTCAACATCGAAGTTGCAGCAAGATTCTGCCCTGCCTTGGGCCTCCCTTTCTTCTCCTTCTCCCTTCACTGTGACATCCACACCGTGTCCCGCGGCTCCCACACCCTCCCATCTTCAAGCTTTTCTGTAGATAGCACCTTTTTCTTTAGATAGCACCTTTATTGAAACCAGCTGACACCAATGAATTACCTCTCAAAGAGATATCCATTTTAAAATCTTTCACCTCTATCTGTACTGCACAGGGATACATCCCAGTCACGCCTCTCTCAACATTCTCCAATTTACCACCCATCACTGAACAAAACAATCCAGAAAGAGTCTGACCAGCTCCAAGAAGCCAAGGCTCTTATTTCATCTATATACGCCTGTGACCCAGTGAAATGAGCACTAAACTAAGTCACATTCCAATCCCTGCTGCCTTATGCATTACCTGTGTGCTCTTGATCATGGTACTAATCTCCCTGATCTTCAGTTTCCTTCTATGAAAAATACAGACACTAGAGATAATGCCTTTGCGGTCTCTTCTTCAGGGTCAAATAAAACAATGTATAAAAACATGCCTCTACAGTAATAAAACTTTGTATTTACTTAAGGGATCCCTATAGCTATATAATTAACGTATTAACATAATGGTTTTCAAGTTTCAGGGGGTTACCTGGAAGGGGCAGGGCAGGCACCCATCCAGGCTCTAAGCTCCTTATACCTCCCCAGTCACCACTCCCACTGCCCACTTTGTGCACAAGGTCCCAAATCAGAACACTGTTAGGAAGTGGGGTCTCCCACTTTAGACAAGTTTGAAAACCACAGCATTCGCTATTTTAGCTGCAACATCACATGACTGATTCCTACTAAGCTTATGGTCAGTTCTTTCTAATGGGTTAGTTCGTTTGTTATAGAAGCCCTTTTCATTGAATTCTCTTATTTCCCAGTATACCACAATCTTGGAATGAAACAGGGCACAGAATAAGGAAATAAATACCGATTCCAGGTGTATATTTGAGGCAGCCTACTTTGCTTGCTCTCAAAGAAAGCAGTTAACAACTTGTGAAAGTGGAAAGAACCTTTCAGATGATGGCCGTGAAAAATGGCAGGCACCAAGACGTTCCTAAGTCAAACAAAACCATAAAACCATTCCTGTACTTGATTACACAAATGCAGAAAACCAATTTTTTAAAATATGCTTTTAAGTCGAGAAATAAAAGCAGAAATGCTATTTTTGAAAACTCACGTCAAAATAAAGAAGGCTCCAATGATGATTTG
Source organism: Homo sapiens (assembly GCF_000001405.40). NCBI lineage: Eukaryota > Metazoa > Chordata > Mammalia > Primates > Hominidae > Homo > Homo sapiens. Next base: position 10,137,167 of record NC_000008.11, on the reverse strand, counting down.
CTGGGCGAGCCACCCATCGTCCCAGCAAAGCAGACGAGCTTTGTTCTGTTAAATGTGTGCCCTCTTCAGAACACAACAAGGATCTGAGGATGGAAGCGAATTTTTGTCTCAGGCCAACGCACATCACAGGTTACTGCAGAATTCGACAAAAATATATATTTGATCTATCTATATGGTAAAGAGGCTAACAGTCTTTTTGGGCCCATGACGACAATGACTAGAGAGGTGTTTGACAGACTATTTGCCGTCCATGCTGGACAGACAGCAGGGTGGACACTGAGTACAGGGATGTGGAGAGAAGAAGACACAAGTTCTAATTTTACAAAGACACACCAAGAATGGGGAAGGAGAGGGCAAGACACACAGTCACAGGTGAAACCCCCAACAGCAATGAAGTGTGTCCTGCAAGGAGGGGACCCGACATTGAACCCCTGACCCCGAGTGGGCTCCTGCCTTGCCTCAGGGCAGCTGTGATGATGCTACTGCAGAAGCTTCTGGAAGGCCTGCATCTAACCAGTATCCCTTGACGTAAAGGCTCTCGTTCCCACTGTGTCAAAAGAGATATGCTACAATGTACAGGCCCACACTTGTGATTTTTCAAAGTGCTATAAATTTAAAAATGAGGACAAGTCCATAGCTCCTGTCAAGACATATGATTCCATACGGCTACTGGTTATCTGCACTTTTTAATCTTGTGGGCTCCCGAGCTGGGACTTGTTTCTTGCGTACGAGAGAGGAATGGTGGCTCCAAGGAGCTCAGAGCTTGCTAGGCTCAGGGTGAACAAAGCTGTGTAACATGAACGAGACCTTCTGAGAGGAAAGGCAATGTTAGGCCTTGAACACCAAACCCTTTCTCCCCAGAAGTCCGATAGCAGAAGCTAGTTGAGATAGATAAGGACGCCCTCCTCTACCATGTGGCTGAATGCCTGGCTCCCTTCACCAATGTGCCTCTCTGCACCGCAGAGCTCCTCTCTGCCCGGGGTCCCTGTGCCCAGCGTGACTGCAAGCCCTTATCACTTAGTTGACTTCTAAGTTACAGCCCATGTGTTACTCACTTTCATGGCCTAAAATTTAAAATGGATAGAATACAGTGTTCCAGATGCCACACAGGCCTAAGTCCCAGCCTCACAGTCAGCCCTAACTCACCCGACATGCAGGTCCCCTCACCTCATGGGGCCTACTTCTATTAAACAACCACAGTGCAACACGCAGCCCCCAAGGATCCTTCTGGATCTTCAGTTCTGTGATTATTAGATAAAGCATCTGAGGATTCTACCTTTCTGCATGGTTCGTTATGCCTCTGTGAAAAGACCCACGTGTCTGTAGGCCTGTGAAACACTTTGGGGATGTCTCAACAAAATTCCAGAACTGCGTCTGCCAGTTTGCGTATATGCAAACATGTGCTGGGCTGAACCACTTGGAATTACCGATATTTGGCTCTCTTTGCCCATAAAAATGGCAATTTCATATGGGTCAACCTAAGTATATTTAGCATAGGGGCACGCGAATGCACAGAATGTTGCTTTCATCTTATATTCAGCTGGTGTGCATGTTATATGCTTGGGATCATGAACCATACCTTTGCCTGACCATAGTATAAATTTAAGTGTCATCATGTATATTAAATACCTAATATAATACCTGGCACATTAGTCATTATCCCAATATTATGAATTGAAGTCATTAATATTACTCGTTGGTAACTTTACTTCCACTGTTTTTCAGCACAATAAAATGACTTCTTCCTCTCTTATATAAAACAGAGCAAAAGAGCATTTTAGGTAGAATGGAACTGGCAAAACTCTCTCATGCCAAGTAAACTGGGATTTCTTTTGTCACCTTAGAGATTTAGGTTTCAACGGCAAAAACACCGAATGACTTTCTCCTCACCACTCTGCCTCTCTATAAAATAGGCAACCCCCAATGTCACAGAGGGCATGGCCTGAAAAGTGGGGAACCACGGCAGGTATTGCTTATATAGGACTTTTTACAAAGAAATAAAGAATTGTGTATTACAAGAGTGAAATAGAAATGCTGATGACAAAGTGTCAAGTTCTAAAATGACAGTGCCTCTCTCATTGATCTTTGACCAGTATCATTCCTACACCAGCTTCCTCTTCACCTTAAAGTAAAGCTGAGGTCAGATATTACACAAAATGTTAATGTGATTGAGAGATTTACAAATTCACATTCCTCCGTTGGTTCCCTTAGCAACAGCTCTAGCTTTTACAGCCCACCTAGGCTACACAACAAACACTCCGGGGCAAGAGCTCTTTGGGACTGATTTCTTAGAAACCCTACCTTGCAGTCAGAACACAGCTTGTAAAACAACATTTAAACAGAAAATGCAACGGCATGTTTAATCAAAGACTTAAAGATATACTTCAACCAAGCGTTTGGTCTAGTTGCTCTGTTCTGCCATAGGAGAAGACTGCCCTCCTAGACATTTCACTAATACCTCTCTAAAGCAGTCGGACTGTTTCCTGTCACCACCAGGCTTCCGAGTTCTGATACGAGGCGTGCAGTCATGCCTGGTCTGCCGTCCACAGAATGACCACAGGTCACGGGTAAACTTAGACTCGAGCCTGTGCCGCAGGATGAATCCCTTGGCCGAAGGGTCCTGCAGCAGGAGCACATGCTGACAGTGCCTTGGTATGTGAGACAGGCATGGATGTGCCCCACGGTCACCGTGTTTGGGAGCAACACCGGCACAGGGATAAACTGAAACCCCCATTGCGAAGCAGCTAATGGGGCAGGACAGGCACGTATCTGCAGTCTGTCTGCTGCCTCTACATGAGCTCAGCACTGAGAATGTCAAGTGTTGTGCTGTGTTTCCAAACGGTAAACACCCAGAAGCTGGAGGCTTCTTTTTTCCCATTGTCTTACGTGGTAATAGCAACCAACGTGCTCATGGAATATCATGACACTTCCAGTGAAACAATAGAAAGGTGCAGAGAGTGAACACAGGAGGTCGGATGGCACGAGAAAGGCATTTCATAATTTATCACCACAGAAATTCCTTTAAGATAGGATCCAGGCCGGGCACAGTGGCTCACACCTGTAATCCCAGCACTTTGGAAGGCTGAGGTGGGCAGATCGCCTGAGGTCAGGAGTTGGGAGACCAGGCTGGCCAAGGTGGTGAAACCCCTTCTCTACTAAAAATACAAAAATTAGCCAGGCATGGTGGCAGGTGCCTGTAATCCCAGCTACTCAGGAGGCTGAGAAACGAGAATCACTTGAACCCAGGAGACAGAGGTCACAGTGAGCCGAGATTGTGACACTGCACTCCAGCCTGGGCGACAGAGCGAGACTCCATCTCAAAAAACAAACAAAAGAACAACAACAAAAAAAAACCATAGGATCCAAAGAGCTAAACTGACAGGTCAGGATAATATCCTGTTAAGGTTCAGCCTCCAAGTATCACAGTCTTAACAGTCACTACCATTTCCTGAGCACTTCCCCTGTGCCAGGCCACATGCTTAGTACTTTGCATCTGTCTCGTCCTTTAAGCCTAACAATAACCCTGTGATGTAGGTCTTTTTTCCCCACTGTGGGTATACTAAAACTCAGGTCTGGACAGGTTCACACTGGAAGGGCCACACAGCTGGTAGGCAGCAAAGCCCAGATTTAAACCCTAGAGTGATGAAGCCAGTAGGAACTATCCCTAAAATCTCTCTCCTGGATGTGCACAGAGGAGAGACCTAAGACCTTATTTGTGCCCACGGCCTGGTCCTTGTCGCTGAAGCACTGAGGCGTTAGCCAAGCAGTGGCTGGCCCTGAACCAACAACCTTCCTGACGGAGGAGTCCAGGAGGCAGAGCACCCCACGGACTGTCCTCTTTCTAATACATATTAATAATATAAGTCTCAGAGTGGTCGTGAGGATTCAGTGAGCCAGAATTTATAGCACGCAGCTCTGTGTAACTAATGTTCAACCAACAGCAGCCCCTTCTCCCCAACCAACCCTGTCTCCAGCCACCCTCACCGCCTTCCCCACAGTCCGTGGGAAAACATGATTGAAATATATACCTCATCAACAATTGATCCAGGAACCAGACCACTTCCCAGAGCACCCAAGTCCAATGCGGACTCCCTTCCCTAAGAGTTGGATGGCTGTAGGCCTTTAAAAGGCACTCTAGGCACTCTTGTATGACTCAGCTCCAAGGCAGGACCCCATATGGTGCTTATTACAAGTGAAATATATTTGAGGCCAGGCCTATTGTAGAACCTTCTGGCCTGCTAGCCCAAGTGTCAGTATGCAAATGGCCAAGACTCGTTCTTCTGCATTATGGGGTCCATCTAGACAAGTCAAAAGACATACCTTTGTGTACCTACTCTGCAACTATTTTAAACATCTATTTTATGACTCCGGGTAAACTGTTTAACCTTTCTGATCCTATCACAGTCCCTGGCACACAAGGCTCATTTGATAAACAGCAATTAGTATCTTATTACTATTACATGTCTCACAGGACTGTCATTGGGCTTTTAAATATACCAGGTGGATCCATCATGAATGGGATTAGTGCCCTTATAGGACAGCCTGCTTTCTCTCTCTCTGTTCAGCAAGAAGGTGACCACCTGTAAACCAGGAAGCAGAGCCCTCATCAGACACCAAATCTGCCAGTGCCTTGATCTTGGACTTCCCAAGTCTGCCAGTGCCTTGATCTTGGACTTCCCCAGCCTCTAGAACTGTGAGGAAATAAATTTGTTGTTGAAGCCACCCAGCCTACGGTATGCTGCTATAGCAGCCAAACTGCCTAAGATCCATGGTAACCAGACCCCAGGCTTAGTGATGGGGGTCCCCTAAGCAGAGTCAAACACGCTTCAGAGAATTCAGTGACAAAAAGAACAGAGAGTGGCCAGGCAGAGCTGCAGTGGAGCAAGAATCTAACATTGCTAATGTCAAATAAGTCATCTGAAAGTCCAAACTTTTTTTGTGAAAGGGGAGAATTAACTTCCTCGGGCAAAATCTCCAATTTACAGAACGATCAGGACCAATATCACCTCATTGAAAAGCACGGTTCAGATAAATTAAAATTAGCAATCAACCTTGAGAATTGTATTGGCAAGGTGGGAGTCATTTCACTCTATCTGAACTGTGACAGAAGATAACACATGTCAGTCTTCTCTGTCTTTCCCTTTATTAATCAATTAGGAGACCAAAAACTCAATTTAAAAAATCATATAAAAGGCTTATAAACATCATTCAGTTCTTCTTCAGTCATTTGTTTTCATTTGGTATAACTGGTTTTTCCATTAAAAGAAAATTAAATAAAATATGAGATGTTATTGTAATGGCTTAAGAGGAGATTTGGGGATTATACTTCTGAGAAAAGTGTTCTCCATTTCCCTCCTGTGTGTTTCTGGCATCCCAGCATCGCCTCCCAGCTCAGGAAGAGGCAGCGACAGAGTCCCCAGTGGCTGGCTGCAGGGTGGACACTGGCCATAGGGAATGAGAGACGGCAAGATCTCTGAGATCTTCTAACCACAGGGTATGGAGAGCTTCCCAGGGATAGAAATTTCTAACAAGCTCCATAGGGATTTCTGTAGCCCATCAATGTGTGAATACTAGGATTCCTAACCATTCATTAACGAGCAGTAAATCCAGGATCATTCTCTCAACGGTCAGGAGTGTACACCTACGAACCTGCTAACCTTAGCTATTCTCACTTCACACTCATAACCTTTGTGAATGCCACTCCCCGGCATGGACTGCCCTCCCCTACAATAAGTCTTCTTTTCTTCCTGAAAGCTAATTGCTACCTGCCCAAATCCTACATATCCTTGAAAATAGTTAAATACCATTTCCACTCTTTTGTCTATGTAGCTTTCTTTGATCCTATCAGCTAGAAGTAATTTCTTCTGTGGCGAAATTTCCATTTAATTTAGGCTTTATTTGCATTGTCATTGCCTTCTATACTTTGCACTGTGGATATGAACGTGTACATTTCTCCTACATTGGAGGGCAAGCTTCCAGAGAGAAGAATCCACAGAGGATTCCCCTTTGTATCCACAGGACCCAGCACATGATCAGTGCCCTAACATTCCACAGAGAAGGAAATAAATAAGAAACAAAGGAACAAAGCAATAGGCAAGAATGTGTCCTTTCTGATAACTTTTATAGTTCTGTAGTTTGCAAAAACAAGCTGAGCTTGCTCCACAGACCATTAACATCTCTATATACACACTCAGCTTGCTAATAAAAGCACACTGAGGATTCTTAAAGGCCCTATAAGAAAGGTTTTATATCCTGGCTTTAGCATCTGTGGCATCTAAAACCTGAGAAGGCTATTCCTCGGAGGTGTCATTAGCTTTCTGTGTGCCCTCAAAGGCTCAAAGACAATTTGCTGGACTCCTCTAAGAATGCTAGTTTCTTTCCAGCCACTGCAAAATACATCTTAGCGACCGCCAGAATTGTCATTTGCTTTCTATGCCTTCAAAAGCACTGTGAGAAATAGAGCCCCGTGCTATTACTGGCACTGTTGGTTTCCCTATGTAATTTCAAAAGGGCCCTCCAAAATCGCTTTGTATGTGCGGTCTCTGTGTGTGTGCATAGTGACGCCAAGATTATTTTTTCCGTCGAAATGTCTTGTCCACAAAGCCTACACAATTTTTGTCTAATAGCTTCCCAGTGAAAGAATGTCGGAGGGGAAAATATCCAAGCAGCAACAACTCTTATTTCATCCACACCAACAGAAAGAGAACAATGATCACAATGCCCTCAGATCTGAAATAATATTCACATACATGTTAGAGCTTAACATGTCTAGAATCCCCCAGTGGGGATCAACATGCAGTCAACATTCTCACCGAGTAATACCATTAGTCGGGGCACAGGGAAGTTAAAGATAACTTCCCCTGAAAAGTTGTTATCCTGTATGATAGAATAATGAGCAGTCTCTAATTCACAAAGTTGCTGAGAAATGTTCCACACTGTCAGTATACAGTGTTTCTCAATGGAAGTACTACTGGCATTTGGGGCAGAAAAATTCTCTATTGGTGAGGATAAGGGACTGCCTGACAGTCTGATGAATGTTTAGCGTCCTTGATACATCCAATAGCACTCCCAGTCATTAAGATGACCAGAAATGCCCCTTCAACATCCCACCCATGTCTCCAATTATCCAGTTACTTCCAAGGGATGTAGGTACTGCTAGCATATGGATGGATGGGGATAGGTGCACATACAAACTCACACTTTAATATCCAAGTTGCTTCTATATATTTTATGTCACAGGTTTTATATATAGATATGTATGTATTCATATTTATCATTACGGAGAGAGAGAGGAGAAATATGGGGAATGGAACTATTTGCTGAATGTCAACCCTGTGCAAGCCAGACACAGAGTTTGCACAAGTATAAGCTGGTTTGGACAGATTCAACTCAGCCACTTACAAACACAGAATGTCTTTATTTTTCCTAATAACTGGTATCTTTGCTTTTTTGAACCTCCAGGGGCTCAAGGATGGAGGAATAAAGAGAGAAAACCTAAGCCTGTAAGAACAGCATTCCCACCCCTTCTGATCTGCACAGTCCAACCCATGCATGCTGTGCTCTAAGCCTGCATGAGAATCAGGCCTCCTCCTGAGCTGGTCTTCCCCTTCTCTTCCTCAAGGTCCTGCTTGGTGCTCTCAGTTTCCCTGCATCAGAGGCTGCAGGGCAAGAGAACAGGTGTCTGCTCAAGGGTGAATCAAGGAAACTCATTATTCCAAGAAATTATTTCACCTCATCACTTTATATTTATTTTATTTCATTTAACTTTCTGAATAACCCTGAAAGATGTAGACTTTAATTCTCATTTTTCAGGTCAAGTCCATTTTCCAAGTAGGAGAGCCAAAGGTTTTCACCCTGAAGCCCGAGTTTGTTTCTCTTTACATCCTTGCCTTTACGATACCATGCTACCACTACCAATGATAGTCATGCAGAATACCAATCATGTCCAGGGGTGACCAAGACAGCAAAGAACCTACAGCAAACTCATTTCAGATCATCTGTTAAAAAACAGAGTCTCCGTCACTCAGAAGCTAGAGGCATAAGATATTCTGGATGATGGAATCATCAATTAGCCACCACTGCCTCTATTTGCATAAAATAGAACTGCGAAGAGTTGAGATACCATCTTTACCCCTCAAGGGGCTTGCAAACTCGTGAGAAAATTAAGAGAGAAAGCATATTATATAGCGTAAAGGGTTAAGTAAGGCTGACAGTAAAGGCATGTACAAGTTTACCAAGGAGACTGAATGTCTTCCTAAACTCCTCTCCTGGAAAAAATCAACCTAATATATAATAACAAGCTTTTGATGATTCATTCTACTATGTCCATTGCAACGTAAACATTTAGTAAATATCTGTTGCATGAATGAATAGATGAGGTCATGAAGAGTACCTCTGATGAAGAGTTGAATAGAAAAGAAGTTTTAAGCAACTCTTCCGTGCTCTCTAAAAGATACACTACTGTAGCTGCTGTCCGTTCTGGAGACTCACCTACATCTGGAATATCACATGGGCAGCATCACCCTCATGAAGTGCACACACAACAAAGCCAAGCTAAGAGGAGTGTGCTGAGTAGCTTGTTTTCCAGGCTGGGCTACTAGTGAGCCTACACCAGCCTCAGCTGTGATGCCCCAGGAGAATGATACATTAATAGGAGTCACAGAATTTCGAATATCCTAGAAACAGACAAAGTCAGATATGGCAAATCCAGCAATGTATATGATCCTGAACGTGTTTATGTTCACATCTGATCATCACTGGAATTTAGACAGAATTTTTTTTTTTTTTGAGACAAGAGTTTTGCTTTTGTCGCCCAGGCTGGAGTGCAATGGTGCAATCTCGGCTCAGGGCAACCTCCGCCTCCCAGGTTCAAGTGATTCTCCTGCTTCAGCCTCCTGAGCAGCTAGGATTACAGGCCTCCACCACCACGCCTGGCTAATGTTTTGAATTTTTAGTAGAGATGGGGTTTCATCATGTTGGCCAGGCTGGTCTCGAACTCCTGATCTCGGGTGATCCACCTGCCTCGGCCTCCCAAAGTGCTGGGATTACAGGTGTGAGCCATCGCACCTGGCCTAGACAGAAACTTTTTAAAGGTCTCTTGAAAAATAGAAGGAGACACAGAGAATGCACAAGATCCGCAGTTCTCCTCTCTGGAAATGCACCACGGTCACAGGTGGGTCCACAACTTGCCCCAGTGTGAAACACTGCCCCAGGAGAAACACTGCCCTGGTGGCACATTCACGTACACAAAGAAACCACCCCACGTGAAGGCAATAAAAAATCCATTCTTCCTGGAGGTCTGAAAAAAAAAATACTTGAAGTTTCAAAACACCATCAAGATAAAAGGATGAGGTTTTCATATCTACATGCCTTTACTTGCACTCATTCAAACTCTGGCATTTTAAAATTACCTATTTCTTCTACTTAACCACAACCATTTGAATTTTGATCAAGTTAGCTAAGGTAACCCAATTCTCTTTTATCCATAAATATAACTAGTACCTTAATCCCAATATCAAATATCCATTGATGGATTGGATGTTAAATAGTAAGCTACAGGAAGGATCTCTGGAAAACATTAATGTATCATCCTCCACTCATTTCATCTGAGTGACTCTAGTCCAGTGAGGCAAAGCTAACCAGTAAGATGACCACCAGCATGATCTCTGAACTGAATTCAATAATAAGTAGGTTATGCAAACAAGGATGGTTACAAACAGCTCAGAAGCTGTTTCTCCTTCATCCCTTTGTACTCCATATAGATTTAATTCATGTATTCATTTGTTTACAAAACAAGCCACACACTGTAAAAAGAAGAAACAAAATTGAACATAGTCCGTACCCATTTATGCCTGAGGTTGCAATTTTTTGAATTTTTGCAAACAGACCTTGGCGATGACCCTGAGTAGGATACAAATAACTCCCACATGCTTAGCGTTCCAATAATGGAACACTTGGCAAAAATTAAGAAACTTGAAGAGTAAAGAAAAAAAAATTCTAGGCAATCTCAACAGATATCCTACAGAGAGGACCAAGCACACCAGAGTTTGCAAGAAGGACTAAGAATACAAAGTTATGAATTCTAGAGAAATGTCTGGTAGTATGTTCGCCAGAATGTCATCTGTAGTTAACTCTAGAGCAGGGGTCCCCAACCCCTAGCTAGTGGACCAGGCTGTGGCCTGTTGGGAACCAGGCCGCACAGCAGGAGGTGAGTGGCAGGTGAGCGAGCACTACTGCCTGAGCTCCGCCTCCTAACAGAGCAGTAGCAGCATTGCATTCTCATAGGAGTGCGAACCCTATTGTGAACTGCATGTGCAAGATATCTAAGCACGTGTGCACTCCTTATGAAAATCTAGGCTGGACATGGTGGCTCATGCCTGTAATCCCAGCACTTTGGGAGACCAAGGCGAGTGGATCACTTGAGCTCAGGAGTTTGAGACCAGCCTGGCCAACATGGCAAAATCCCACCTCTACTAAAAAATACAAAAATTAGCCAGGCATGGTGGCAGACGCCTATAATCCCATCTACTTGTGAGGCTGAGGCACGAGAATTGCTTGAACCCAGGAGGCAGAGGTTGTGGTGAGCAGACATCATGCCACTGCACTCTAGCCTGGGCGACAGAAGACCCCATCTCAAAAGAAAAAAGAAAGAAAGAAAGAAAATCTAACTAATGCCTGATGATGTTAAGTGGAACAGCCGCATCCTGAAACCATCGCCCCTGCCCCCAGTCTGTGGAAAAACTGTCTTCCATGAAACCAGTCCCTGGTGCCACAGAGCTTGGGAACTGCTGTTCTAGAGGATGAAATTTTGGAGTGATTTTTACTTCCTTTGCATTTCAGGTACTATTTTACTTCATTCATAGAAAGCTTGTATCATTTAACAAAAACAATACGGTATTTAAAAAAGAAGTAACTAAAACCATCCATTTTGCCCATCATCTTCTTTCACGTTGTCTGGCTTCAACAACTGTGACCTAAGATACAACTCATCTCACCAGGCAGTATTCATTAATGTGTTAGTTACAATGTATTAATTAGAAGAACCTTGAATTTTTACCCAGGGGATAGTCCTCCAAGAAGAGAATGAAAGTAGCATGATTTCCACGGTTTTCCCTGCTTTCCTTCTAAAGATGGAGAAGTACAGAGCCTTGCCCTAAAAGTTGGCTGAGTTCTGTAGGAGACTCTGACATTCGGTGCCTTTGATTAATCTCAAATCATAAAAGTTGTGACCAACGCCTTTTAAAGCAGTTAGTGGTTTTGTCTTAGTGTAAAATGGCCAAAAGGCACTAGGAGCCTAATAAAGGATGACGCATTGTTGTGAGTAATAACAGGTATTGGTATCAATTTCTGTGATTGAACTTCTGGTCATCAACAAATGATAGCAATGGTTAAGATACTGCATCTTCTATTGTGCAATACCTTTGTGGACCAATTCCATTTTGAACTACCACCACAAACATTTAAGAGGGAAAACTTTCACGAGAGACTTTCGGCTGACTGTGGTACCAACACAGAACATCTCTGTCATCAGCGCTGCTCAGTGGTTCCCGCTATACCTGCAGGATCAGGTTCAAGCTCCTTAGCCCGGTTCAGGAGCCTGGCCCCCAATGTTCTCAGCCTCATCTCCCACCACAGTCCATGTGCTTCTTCCGTCCAGTTGCAGCCAGCAGGTCCAAACTGACTCCCTCTGGCCCTGGTACCACTGCACAGGTGATTCTCACTCCTGAGTGTCCCCCTTCTCTCCCCTCTTCTTCTCCATAGCTAACTCCTGCTCCTCCTTCCAGGCTTGGGTCAAGCCTGTGACTACCTGGGCTCACTTTTCTACCAAGATTTTGATCTGTGCCACCACACCACTCTGCAAGAAACTCCCCAAGCCTTAGTCATATGGATGTCCCAGTATGCTGGGCTACACACAGAGGAAGCAGAGAGTACATGTCTTTGGAAAGAATGACCTAGCCAGAAAGTTGTCCCCTACTCCCCAAATGAGGCACCTGGCAGCCGTCACACCCATTACAATGTTCAAGCACAATTACTGGACATATCCTCAAAATCTGGAAGTCTTATCACCACATGCCTTGCGGAATCGCTAATGACAGACACAGAGCAACTAGTGTTTCATCAAGAAGATGGAACAGGTGAATTGCATCAAAGCACCTTAGTTTGAATTCTGTACTTTCTTTCAATCTTACTATTTAATGTATCTAGTTAATCATACAGTGAGTTATATTCCAAAATAATGTTCTCTACCTTTCTAAATAATAAAATACATCTTCCCAGTACATAAACCAATAGCTTTATTTTTAAGGTAGAACTGATGTGAAATTACATGTCATGAATTATTCATATTACCCAATTTAATTCAATTATTTTTACTGAATTCATATCTAATCCATAAAAATGTTTAACTCAACCAAAAAAAAATCATCTCTGCATCCTCGAATAATAGATTTCTTGCAAAATTTCAGGAAAGATAAGTGGATATTTGGTTTGAAATGGCAAGGCATACTATAATTGCAATGATGAAAATAATTTTAGCTATTTAACCATACATCCTGTTCTATTTACTGACTGGTGTCTCATAAAGGAAACTTATTTAATATCAAAGTAGAATCATAGGAGCAAGAAGTGAGTCCTAGCTCCAATTATGGCACCAGTCACTTTTAGAATTTTCCATAAGAGTCACACGGATAGCAGACAGATGCCTCCTGAAATGGGAGCAGATATTCTGCTAATCAAAAGCACAAATTTTGTGCTTACAGAAAAACGGGTCTGGTTTGCCCCAAAGAAATCATACAGGGGAAAACCACCATTCCCCTCTCCTTAGGGAAAAGCCCTTTGAGGCCCATGCCATTATACCACACTCACTCCTCAGCCTCTCTCTCGCCTGCCAATCTTCTTGGAGCTGTCACCATATTTATCAATGGCTTTGCCAATGATCTCCCTGTCCACTTATCTATCACAAATCTTGGCAGTTTGGGGTGGTCTCAATGTCCCCAAAGAAGGTCTTGAAACCCCTTTGCCTCTATGTTTCTAGATGTCTTCTGATCCAGTGGTCTTTATCACTTCACTTACACCACCCAAGGCTGCAGCCCCACCCACACCAGAAGCCCCTCGACCTCTGCAATCCCAAGGTCAAAGGGCCATTCCCCAACCTCAGCCTCCCAGAACTTCTACTGTCTTCACACCTACTCCTCCCTGATCTCATCGAGACTTCCACTTGAGGCTGCAGTGAGCTGCGATTGCACCACTGCACTCTAGCCTGGGTGACAGAGTGAGACCCTGTCTCAAAAGAAGAAGAAAGAAAAAAAAAAGCATAGACCAATGGATTGGAATAGAGAGCCCAGAAATAAGGTTGCACACCTACAACAATCTGATCTTCAACAAAACTGACAAAAACAAGCAATGAGGAAAGGACTCCCTATTCCATAAATGGTGCCGGGATAACTGGCTAACCACATGCAGAAGATTGAAACTGGACTGATTCCTTACACCACATAGAAAAAGTCAACTCAAAAGTAAACCTCAAAACTATAAAAACTCTGGAAGACAACCTATACTGCCCTGAACATAGGAATGGGCAAAGATTTCATAATGAAGATGCCAAAAGCAATTGCAACAAAAGAAAAAAATTGACAAATGGGATCTAATTAAACTAAAGAGCTTCTGCACAGCAAAAGAAACTATCAACAGAGTAAACAGACAACCTACAGAATGGGAGAAAATTTTTGCAAACTATGCATTTGACAAAGGTCTAGTATCTAATAAGAAACTCAAACAAATTTATAAGAAAAAACAAAACCCCATTAGAGTGGACAAAGGGCATGAACAGACACTTTTCAATAGACAACATACATGCAGCCAACAATCATATAAAAAAGAAGTTCAACATCTCTGATCATTAGAGAAATGCAAATCAAAACCACAATGAGATACCATCTCACACCAGTCAGAATGGCTATTACTAAAAAGTCAAAACATAACAGATGCTGGTGAGATTGTGAAGAGAAGAAAACACTTACACACTGTTGGTGGGAATTAGTTCGACCATTGCGGAAAGCAGTGTGGCAATTCCTCGAAGAGCTAAAAACAGAACTGCTATTTGACAGAGCAGTCCCATTATTGGGTATATACTCCAAGGAATATAAATCATTCTCCTATATAGACACATGCACATATATGTTCGCTGCAGCACTATTCACAATAGCAAAGATGTAGAATCAACCTAATGCCCAATGACAGAATGTAAAAAGAAAATGTGGTACATATACACCATGGAGTACTATGCCACCATAAAAAAGAACGACATCATGTCTTTCGCAGCAACATGGATGGAGCTGGCGGATATTATCCTTAGCAAACTAACACAGGAACAGGAAACCAAATACCTCATGTTTTTACTTAGAAGTGGGAGCTAAATGATGTGAACACATGGACACAAAGATGGGAACAAAAGACACTGGGGCCTCCTTGAGTGTAGAGGGCAGGAGGAAGGACAAGAGCAGAAAAAATAACTATTGGGGTGCTAGGCTTGGTATCCGGGTGACAAAATAATCTGTACAACGAACCCCCGTGACACAAGTTTACCCATTAAACAAACATGCACACGTATCCCTGACCTAAAAGTTAAAAAAAAAAACACAAAAAAATACTTCCACTGCCTCAGCCCCACTGTACTCTGGATCCACTTACATTCCTAATCAGACCACAGAGCACAATTCATCATTTACATCACAGTTTTGTTTTTTAAAAAACAATCCAGAAATCCTTTCTTTTGAATACTTTTGTGCCATGACTTGGGGACAGCTTCCACACTCAGCTCCTTTCTGCTGATCCTCACAAAGTATGCTTCTCCAGGCGGGTGCTCCCGCTGAGCCTGGTGCCTTTTTCTTTGGCTTCTTGCACTGAGCATTTTCCTCCACAGGTTTCAGGAACCCACCTCAGCCCTTAGGATGCTTCACATGCTAGACATGTACATCAATTCTCATGGCGAGAATCTTGCCCTCTGCTTGGTTACAACAACACCAGCAGCATGCTGGGTAGCTCTGCAGACCCTTCCAGCTTTGCCATGGTGACAGGACAGATATGTGGTGCCCCTTCCCTGAAGAGTTACAGGACCGCTGTTCTTGTAGATCCACAAGCATGCGTGTGGCCAAAGGCACAACCCCATGTTTTCTAAAAGTCCTACAAAACATTTACACAGTGGCTCATGCCTGTAACCCCAGTACTTTGGGAGCCCAAGGAAGGAGGATCACTTGAGGCCAAGAGTTTCAGACCAGCCTGGGCAACATAACAAAACCCTGTTTCTACCAAAAAAAAAAAAAAAATTAAAAATTAGTTGCGTATGGTGGTGTGCACCTGTAGTTCCAGCTACTTGGGAGGCTGAGGTGGGAGGATCGCTTGAGCTTAGGAGTCTGAAGCCGTAGTAAGCTATGATCATACCGCTGCATGCCAGCCTAGGCAAACAGACCAAGATCCAGTCTCAAAAAAAAAAGAGAGAGGGAGAGGGAGTAAGAAAGAAAGAAAACATAGCAGGTGCCTCTCTTCTTTCCCTTCATGTTCATCACATAGGCAAATTAATGAAAAATGGCAATTCTGGCCAAAAGGCTTAAGTCACTTTTAAATCATTCTTGCCCAAACTCAACTCTCGTTTCCCCTTAAACCCCTGCCACACCTGCCCCCACAAAATCCCCATCCTGGATCGCTCTAAGCAACTATTTTTGCACTTCTACGTCAGCCTGCCAAGCACTGCAAAAGAAAGTCGCACAGTTGTTTAGGTAGGTGGGGGCCATGACAAAAATCACAATCTCCAGCCTCAGGTGGATGCACGGTCAGTGCTGCCCACAAGTCCTTCTCCAGGCCCTAGCCAGCAACCTCCCGTTCCCCTGCCAAGTTATCTATTTCAAGCTGTCTTCACGGTCCTCAGGCTCCCACCCCCATCATTTCACTGCTCATTCCTCCCTCACAGAAAAATTGAGAAACCATCAAGGTACAGTCTTAATTTTTTGCCTACCATCGACAAACTTATTGTTGTCAAGATCATCCTTACTGCCAGCTTTAAGGGATGAGGAGCTGTCTTATCTGTACCCATTTCAAATGGCATTTTTTAAGTGACTACCCTTTATTAACTTTTTCTGAAATGTTTGACTTAATTTTAACGCAAACGAAAGCTTTTTATTTTGCATCTATATTTCACTGGTTCACTTAAAACGTAATTAAATTGTATAAATTTAATTACTAACAACTGACATAAAATGATTTGGGAACACACACAGGAGACTCTTGGTAAACATGCAAATCATGGACGTGTACAGGTGCACAGAGACACAGCCAAATAAGCCGAAACCATGTAGGCTAGCCAGCCCAGCAGCCACAGCGTTTGGAGAGAGAACAAGGCTTCCCAATTAACACAGTGAGTCTGCAAGGGCAGGTCAGTTAAGAGCTTCCATTAGATTCACCAGGCTTCGCTTTAATTATACGATTTGTTTACATGATCATCTCCCCTACTGTATTCTAACTCCATGCCTTCTCATCTGGGTATCCTGAGCACATCCAGCATAGTTCCAAGAAATTCTTGATGTTCAGCAAATATCCGAATGTAATTGAACTGAACTGAATTGACGTGAGGTAACGCTGGATAAAACATAAGAATCCAAAACATTTTAGCTTAGTATTTTGGAAGTGACTGAGCCATACACAGAGAGCTGGTCCTTAAATCGTGGTGTCACTACCCTTTTGTACATGTTCTAGGGTGCCAGTGTCAGAAACCAGACACGGATGGGCAAATTACAGGTCTTAGAGTGATACCTCTTCCAAATAACAGAAAAAGCACTCTTGCTCACCCAATGAGAATCCCATATCCTTCCTATTTGGTACAATCACAAAGTGATTGTTTCCAAGCTCAGCAGGGCTCTCAACATGGCTGAGTACGACTCTTGCCGGTGCCTAATCAGTCTTTCTGCAGGACAGTCTCTGTGTGCTCTGCTGGGACCACTCTCTATCCTGTTGCACGACCTGTATCAATGGGCTCCCTTGAACTCTGGTTTCTGTTGGACTTGGCCAATGGGATACACTGATGGGAGACTCGGTATTTCTTCCCCCAGCCCTCTTTCCACAGTTTGGCAGTGGCTGAGTTCCTCTACTAAAGGGCACAATTCCTACAGGGCGACCCTCTCCTATATCACGGTTCAATACTTGTCATTGCTCTCTTCTTGCCCCTTTTTGGGTCTAGGCATGGTAAAGCTTCAAAGCTCTCTGCCAGCTCTTGTTGGTTTCTCTTAATCCTGACCACACCTTTGTAAATAGTGTCTTCCTTCAGCTTTCTCCAATTATCCCTCTTAGGTACATTTCTGCCAGGACCCTGACCAAGGTAGTCCCTTTGTACACCAGAGAGATAACCCCAGCATTGTTCTCAGTACTCTACTCGATTATAAGACGTCTCCCCCACCACCTCATCTCTCCTCCCTTACGACTGTCTTCACTGACAACCTGGTGCTCTCCAATAATCATGCACATGCTGTACTTGATCACTCAATGCTTGTGTCTTTTGTCACAGCATTTCTTTGAATGGTTTTCTCTCCCAAAGGGCAAGGCTGTGCTTTAATCATCTTGGTAACCCAAGTGCTGATCAGCGAACCAAATACACACAGAAATACCTTGCGCCCTGGTTGCTTTTCTGTGCTAGAATCACTCCAGACTTCAATCATCAGCCTGCTACAAGCCACTCCCAAGCCTGGGACTTAATCGCCAGCAGAAAGCACGTCCACATGTCCTCTGTTACCTCCTCTAGATGCTAAGGAATGTGACTCCAAGAAGATTCAAATAGCAGGATCCTACAGCGTTCTGCCATCATCTTATTCAACAAAAGTCTTCTGTCGGACAAAGACCCATTCATATTTCATTATGAAGATAAGCATTTTATGGACAAATTATACAGCAATATTAAAATATACCTGAAACAATATCCCAGATAATGGAGTTAATGGCTTTAATTCGCTATCACATGTTTAGAGAGTTCTTGTGTAGACACAAGCTATGAACTATGAGAAGGCAGAAGAAAAGTCTATGCAGATATACAGAAGGCTAAAAGACATACCCTAGATCCATCCTGCTCACAGGGGATTCCACGTCCCAGGGAAGGCGGGGAGGGGTCCCTCCTCCTAAGTCTCCAGAACCTGCCTTCATGAACGCTGAGATCATCTGGAGGGGACCAGACCAGCCCGGGCTGGACCAGGAAAGCCAAGAATTGTTGCCTTCCCATATTCCACATTCCCATATGCCTTCCCAATGTCCTCTTCCCAAAGAACCCCTGTATCCTACATGTTCTAGCACAAGCCTAGAGACAAATTCTGCCTTGGGTGGGAATTGGGGTAGCTTAGAAAAGAGTGCCACATTGGAGGTAACAGAGGAGCTGGTTTTGAGGGACGTGTAGAAGTCCACCAGCTGTTGAAGATGAGGCCAGGCGTCCTCAGAGGAGAGAACAGAAAGTGCCAAGGCCAGGGGCAGCGGTAAGGAGCACACGGCACACTGGGGAAGAGTCAAATGCTGGAGCCCAGGGTGTGGGCGGAGCGGTGGGAGATGAGGACACCCAGATGGCTTGGGGTCAGGTTCTGAAGAATGTTGGGTACTAGGCTCGAGTTTGGACTCTATGGTGGGGGAAATAGAGAGCCCCTGACAGTCTTTAAAGAGGGGAGAGATGGATCAGGCCTGTAGCATTTCCTCAGGGAGGTTATAAAGCAGATACAGAGGTACAGACACATCTTCTGTGCTTATTTATGTCATGGGGCCTTTGCACATAGTTGGAGCCATGATTTACATAGCTGTGCTTCCCCATAGCACTTCCCATGGTTCACTGCACGCAGCTAACACTCAGCCTATGTTTGTGGAATAAATGAATGAAAGAGTCATTATTATCAAGTCTCTCCTACAATCAAGGATATACTCCAGTGACTGATTATAGCTGCCAAGGCTATATGGGCAATGAACTAAAAACATTACTCCAACATGAGAAAGAGGAATCAGAAAAGCCACGGTGAATGCTCCAGCTCTGCCAACCACCATCAGCCCAAGGGGAGAATGAACACCCAGGGAAAAGAAAATCGCCAAAACCTTACAGTGAAATCCTATCAACACCTTTGATTTGGTGTCTGTATCTTTCCTGACTGATGAAAATTAAACCTCTCTCAGAGTGATGAACGGTTTCTTATGTTTTTGTTTATGTTCTACCTTCAGCATCTCCTGATCAAGATGAAAGGTTACATTTGTGTTGATTTGGGCAAGGAAGTTGGGACCCAGGATTTTTCTTCATCACAGTAATCAGGGATTCATTCATGACTGAAAATGAGAGTAAATTTAGGGTTTCTCTGACAATATTTCCTAACTGGTTCATCAAAGGAAACAGAGTCCAAGTTCTTGAAAATTAAAATATTTTAATACTAGCAAGTAATACTCACAGCTATCAAAAAGACCCTGAAATGTATTTGCTTGATCTTTCAGTAAATGGGCAAGTCCACATATTGTTTTCACTCTCATCAGTACCATCAAATTACAGACTATCTATATCTATATATAAAAGATACTTAATTTGATTTGTAAAAGACATGCTCCCAACAGCTAGGATTCATTCTAATACCCCACATAGAAACTTACATGTATATCAAGGAACTATTTTTCTCTGCTCCCAAAAGACGAGCCCCAAGTTCACACTTCCATGGGGACAAGACCAGCCCTGCTCCCCTTTCTATGCAGAATGCGGCTGACCAGAGAGCTGGATCAGGGCACCTGGCAGACCCAGTCTAGGGAAGAGCTGTGGATTTTTGAGGCTGTGTTTGTTGCCCCTTCTAGGAATTTTCCCTTCACGATTCTTTTCCCTAAATGCCCAGTGCTCTGCTCCAACCTCTCTCCTCCCCCATCCCATGTTCCATCCTTTGTGACTTCTCTTCCCTCAAAAATCAAACCTAGGAACTCAACAAAGTAGGCATGCCTACTTAGAAGAACTCTAGGAATCTGACAGAGGCGTCTCTGTTTTAGGAGAGGACTCCTAGAAAGCATGAGGCCAAGAAATATGAGCTGCCATTTCAGGCATGCTCCTGCATAGTTGCTCTGGGCAGATGGATTTTCAGCTCCCTTCACATTATTCCATACAGTTAACCAACCATTTCACCTACATTTGAGCCTCTGCCTCAATATGGCCCAAATAAAACTCCATCTTGGAGTTTCGCTCTTGTTGCCCAGGCTAGAGTGCAATGGCGCAATCTTGGCTCACCGCAACCTCCACTTCCCAGGTTCAAGCGATTCTCCTGCCTCGCCTCCCAAGTAGCTGGGATTACAGGCATCTGCCACCACGCCCGACTACTTTTGTATTTTTAGTAGAGACGGGGCTTCTTCATGTTGGTCAGGCTGGTCTCACACTCCCAACCTCAGGTGATCCGCCTGCCTCAGCCTCCCAAAGTGCTGAGATTACAGGCATGAGCCTGTAATCTCAAAACTCCATCATATGTAAAATCTACAATGACCAGTGTGTTGGCAGACCCTGCTCCGTGCTCCTGCAGCATCCTAGGTGTCTATCGATGGCATGTATGTTATCACACGATATCCAAGTGATTTGTCTACTTATCTAGATGGCTACCAGCCTACAACAATCTGTAGAAGCCTCAAGGGCAAGGACCACCTCTTTGTTCTCTGTACCGCAGAGCGTAGCATGGCGTTCAGCATACAGGAGGTGCTCAAGAATTGCTTATCAAACGAATTACTTTTTACTCACTATGTGAAAAGAATGAACTATGTGATGCATTAATACTATAGTCCAGGGGGTGTCCAATCTTTGGGCTTCTCTGCGCCATATTGGAAGAAGAACTGCCTTGGGCCACATATAAAATACACTAACGATAGCTAATGAGCTTAAAATTTAAAAAAAATCAATGTTTTAAAAAAGTTTATGAATATGGGTTAGGATGCACTCAACGGCATCCTGGGCCACATGTGGCCCACGGGTTGGACAAGCTTGCCATAATCTAACTTGAGTTTTAGTGTCATTGGTTGCAAGGATGGTGCTTTCCTTTGACATGTAGCTTCAAGCCATGCACCATGAGGGCAGACCGCCAAGCTACCATTTCAGCAGCTCCAACTCAGAGCAGTGGTTCCAGCCACGATCTCACATCTCTGTCCCCTCGAGCCACCATGCGTGAATCAAGTGGGAGGTGAAGGGGACGGCAACTATTCTGGCCCTATGGTCCCCACCACAACCTGGTTTTATTCAAAAATTAGTATCTTGTTTTAAAAATGGATAGTGTTTACATTTTTGTGTGTTTTCTATTTATTAATTAATTCATTAAACAGTCATTGAGTGTGGACTGTGTCCTCTTCTAACTCTTCTTAATGCTGGGGATACAGCAGTGACTAAGATGACGTCCTTGCCCTGCGGGACCAGTGTATCCTCCTCAAATTCATCACGCAGATCCGTGGGCCCTCCTTAATCATGAATGGAAATCTCTTGTCTGCCCAGACTAGACAAACACAGCTCATGGCATCAATCTTTTAGAAAGCGCCACTGGTTCTGACCACTCTCTCCATCAAATCCTGTCTGAGAGTCACTGCATTGTTCCCTAGGGCCGTGTGGCAACAAATTACCACAAATCTGGGTCTTAGACACAGAAATTGATTTTCTCGTAGTTCTGGAGGCCAGAAGTCCAAACATCGAGGTGCTGGAGGGGCCCTGCTCCCTCTGAAGGTGCTAGGAAAGGATCTTTCCTTGCCTCCTCCAGCTTCTAGTGGCCCCTGCCATTCTTACTGTTCCTGGCTGTGGCTGCATCACAGCCAGCTCTGTCCAAGTCTTCAATGGCCTCTTCGCTGTGAGGCTGGTCTCTCTTCCATTCCACAAAATCTAACACCATGACCGCAGTTACTCTTCTAGTGTTCTATGAATATATTTTTCTTCACAAATATTTAACTTCAAATTTATTGTGCTGTCAGCTGATGTGAGACAGGGATATAACTTTACATTTTTGACATAGTAAGCCAGTTGCCCAAAGCCATTTATGAAATTATCCTTTCACTTCTGACGAGGCAATGTCATCTCTATAATACATGTTCATGTTAACCTGGGACTTCTCTTTTGTTCCAGCAATCCACTGGTTTATTCCATTCCTAAAACTACACTGTTTAATAACTAATTTTATAGTATGTTTTAATATCTGGTAAATAAGTCCCTATCATTGTTATTGTTTTTCCCCCAAATATATCTTGAGTGTTTTCATGCATTTAAACATTCCAGTTGAACTTAATCATCATTTTAGCAAATCCTTCACAAATTTTTCACTGGGATTTCTGCTAGAATTATATTACATTTACATATGAGATTTTAAGAGAATTGACATCTTTACAATATTGAGTCTTTCATTAATTTAAGGCTTCCTTTCTTCCCTTTAGTAAATTTTTGTGGTTTGCTTTCCTTGGTCCTGCAAATTTCTTTAATTCAATCCCTGACCCGTCACTTCAATTATCCACTTGCCACCATCCTCAGCTACGTAAGACCTCTCTTTTTCCATAGAGCCTTCTAGCAAAATCCCAACTGTGGATCAATCTAAGTGCATCTTCAATATGCACACACTTGGAATGAGATACCACTTCACACCCATTAGCATGGCTGTCATTTAAAAAATAATAATAATAATAACAAGTGTTGGCAAGGATGTAGAGAAACTGGAATGCTCATACTTTATTGGTAGCAAAGTAAAATGATGCAGCTATTGTGAAAAACAGTTTGGACATTCTTCAAAAAGTTAAACATAGGTTGCCAAATGGCCCAAAAATTCCACTCTTACGTCTGGCCCCCAGATAATTGAAAACATATATTCACACAAGAACTTGTCCGCCAATGTTCACAGCAACATTATTCGAGATAGCCAAATACTAAAAACAACCCAATAGTAAAAAGAACCCAAATGTCCACCAACTGATGATGGATAAATAAAATGTCAAAATATGGTATGTCAATAAAATGGATTATTATTCAGCCATAAAAGGAATGGAATACTGATACATGCTGCAACATAGATGAACCATGAACACCATGCTAAGCAAAAGAAGCCAGATGCCAATGACCAGCACCACCTATTACATGATTCTATTGACGTGAAAGGTCCAGAATAGACAAATCCATAGACAAAAAGTGAACTAGTAATTGCCAAGGACAGGGGGAAGAGGAGAATGAGGAGTGAGTGCTAAAGGGTATGGAGTTTCTTTTGGGGATAATAAAAATGTTCTGTAATTAGACAGTGGTGATGGCCACACAATTTTGTGAATATACTAATAACCACTGAATTGTATAATTATAAAATGGAGAACTCTACAGTATGTGAATTAGATCTCACTAAACAATTAATAATCTTTTTTTTAAAAAAAAAAAAAATGCAAATACCTGGGCTGCTTAAGGCTTCAATGCACAATCTCCTGAACTCACAGATTGGTGTCACCATAAATTAACAGTCTTCCACCTTTAACTGGGTACCCAACCAGCCTCCCACATTTCTCAGTCTGCTCTGTCTCATTCTCTTTCTTAATGGCCAGTACCCATTTTATTACCTACTTTATTCAAATCTCCAAGCCCACCACTTCTCACTGTCAACAACAGCATCATTCAAAGAAGAAAACTTCCCCAACATCCCATCACCAAACCTATGAACGTCAGTTCTGCACAATCCCCTCCTCCTACCCTCCCATTACAGGTAAAAGCTGTTTCCCCTCCTCTTTCAGGCTAACCCCTGTGCCCTTTATCCCAGTCTGCCATAGATCCTCCCTTCCCCCTTCTTTTAGATCTCCCAAATCAACTTTTCGCTCAGCATTTAAACACACACCTCCAAAAAAAAAAAAAAAAAAAAAAGAAGACCTGTCTTCACCAAAGCCATGCCTCCCCAGCCCAGGTAGGGCTCCACCCTCTGCTTCCTCCTGAAGGGGCAGCCTATAAGCACCATATCCTGTCTCCACCTCCTGTCTTCCAGCACATTCACTCAACAAATTATTTAGTGAGCACCTACAGGGGGAAGACACAGTTCTCTACCCTGAGGATAAAACCATGAACAAGACTGACAAGCCCTACGCTCTTGGAGGATACCTGTGAGGTGATGGAGCTGCAGACAGAGAATATGCAAGGAGCCAACAGAAGTCACTGCAGGGGTGACACTGTTATGGACCAGCAGGGGTAAGGAGCCATGTTAGACGGGGTGGTCAGGAATGACCTCTCCTGAAAAGGAGACAACTGAGCCCAGACCCCCTGAGTCAAAGAAGGCAGCCATAAAAGTTCAAGGGTGAGAGCTCTTCAGACAAGGAATGGCTGCAGCAATGGGCCTTGAGGTCACCATGAGCTTGACAAGTTTGAGAAAGAGAAAAACTTCTCCAACCCCACCCCTGCAGGGCTCAGAAAGCCATGGCTATCATGTTCCCATAGGTCTCTGTGTTTTTCTCTGTCGTGGAATTTATATCACTACATTAGAGTTGCATATTTAATTGAATGTCTTCCCTAATATAAGTTTTACAAGACAGGGAGCTTAGCACATAGTAGGTGCTCAAGAAATATCCTTTCATGAGTATTCCATGTAATCACAGCATCTGACCATAATGACTCTTGCCTTTTTCCAGTATTTGTATTTCTTATTTCTTTATATTGTTTAATGGCATTAGCTACAATTTCCAAAACAAGGTTGAAGAACTGTGACTGTGGCAGGCATTTTTAACTGGCCGTGACTTTAGTAAGAATGTTAACAGCTTTTCCTAGAAATTCTCTATTATGTGAGAGAGGTAGCCTTCTATATCTCATTTACCAACAGCTTTTATTTCTTTATTTTTAAGAAAAAGTAGGTGTTGAATCAAACCAAATGGCTTTTGCATATCTATCAAGATGGTCAGTCTCTTTTCTAATGAATTAATAGACTGTATTACACTACTAGCTTTCCTAAGAACTATTCTTTTGTTTCTGGAATAAACCCTACGTGATTGTGGTGAGTTGCTCTTTTAAAATAAGGAGACAGCGCAGGACTGTGGATAAAAGCTGGGACTTGGGTGTCAGAGGTGACTACAAAATTAGAGAACAAAGACTATCTATTAGGATTAACAAATGGAATTTAAAACTAAGTCAAAAAAAAAACTGAGTCTTAAAAAGAAAAATAAAGAAGACAAACTTCTGGTAAATAAATCTCACCAAGAGCAGCCACAAAAACCCAACATCAGGAAGAAGCGGCTATGACCTCAGCTGCTGCAAGGACCAGCTGGTCCCCACTTGAGTGTCACCATCCTCCTCCGTTAATGACAGAATGTAAGCCTCACAGGGCAGTTGTGTGAGACCTACATGAGACAGCGTGTGTGACCATCTCACAGCACATAGCATGCTACCAGCTACCCAGGTGAACCAAAAGAAGTTCTCTCTAAAAACTGATATTCAATCTGCTAATATTTCCTTTAGGCTTTTGACTGCTCTTCTCATGCAATACTAGCCCAATAACATGAACAAGAACATTCCCATTCCTTCTATTTTCTGAAAGATCTCAAAATACCTAGGCATTCATATATTTTGCCTTTAAACCACTTGGAAATAAATGTGTTAACGCTATATAAGAAAAAGTCCCCAAAAAGGCCTGTCTGATGGTCCCTCCCTATGATAATTCCCTTACTGCAGGAGTGAAGAAGGGAAAAGATCGACAAATCATAAATGGAGTTAACCTGGGAATCTATTTTATCTGCCTCAAGAACCTAGCATCCTATTGTTTTGGCTTTCACAAACAAGACAAGAATAAGTGGCCCCAAGAGAGAGAAGACGCAGTGGTGTAGCATCTCAATGAGGGAGGGGGCAAGGGTGGAGGTTTGACTGAATGGAATGATTTATGTTCACAGACCACATAAGTGCTCTGGAGACCCGAACTTGTCATCCAGCACCCTGTTTGACATCATTCTCCATACATTCATGTACTGCCATCACCCAGCCATGTAATGGGTACCAAGAAATGACCAAAGCCAGGTCCAAATGATCAAAGTTGATCCACCCCGTCCCTGGATAACACGGAAACCCTTTTGTCCTACTGGGAGACTAAGATGCTACACTTGGTCAAATCAAGCACACAGGAAGTTCTGACACTTCCTTGACCTCCAACTAGGTCAGTAATGGTTCCACACTTGTCAGACAGAACCTACATAAAAATGTGACTTTCCTTTTTGCATCCCACTCCACAATAAAGAAATTGCTAGACTGGAGATGGTTAGGAGAAAAACCATGTAACTGAACCATGTCCTGTCTGATTGGTGGAATACAGAAGGGTCATTTTTGAAATATGTGAAAGGCTGCCACGTGTCGAAATTAGATTTTGTGCTGTATGACCCCAAAAGGTTAAAGGAGAAGCCACAGATGAAAGTAATGGATAGAAAGATCGCAGCACCACAACTCAACAGAATAACTTACCAAAGACAGCACAGGTCAGCCAGCCTGGGAGAAAGCGCGATCACTACTGTGAAAATCAAGACATTTGACACAGATCCTGCCAAGGAGATGAAGGATCAGAGAAGTGATTTTCTAGGTAATATTTAACTCATCCTCCAAATATGAGAGTCTGTGAAAAAGTACAGAAAACAATGAAAGAAAATCTTCAAAGGCACTTGCCAGACAATGACACAAATAGGAAGCGGTGGTCTTGTTTGCACTGTTTCTCCTAACTTAAATCATGCACCCCACTTCCAGCCAGCAGTGAGGCTGACTCAGTGGAGTCTCCTTTGGCCCCTGACAACCATGATATGCATCTTAGTGGGTAACAAAATGGGAGGGAGGCTGGAGAACAAGCCACAAATCTGGATAATCCACACTCTTGAAAATATCCAGAAATAATAAAGAATGGGGCAAAATAAAACCACCAAAGAAAACCTGCTCCAGTTATATGAACAAAACATCCACTGAAACAGTCCAAACCTTTCTTGTTTCAAACCCAGCTTCACAAAGATATTAATTAATTAAATGTGATGGTGTTAGCGTGGACAAAGAATCCAGATGTGGGCCTTGTGGAAGTCTGTGTCAGAACGCTGGGCAGAGGCTCAGTGAATGTCTGTGTGGGGCATGAACTGTGGCTGCAATCAGAGTGGCCTCCCATCCGAGAGCCAAGGACGGACTGAAATCTGGGATGTGGGGAACAAGAGGTGATACAGCCTACTAAGGGTGAACTTGCTAATTATGACGAATCTTTACATATGTGGAAACCAAAAACTGTGGCAACTGATCTTTCACAGACTAGCGGTGTTAAAACCCAGAGCCTAAGGCCATATTCAGACTGGTTTTGGACCACTGCGTGGTATCACTTGATCACTGTCCTGAACAGTTCAACAAACTGTGAAAAAAAGACATCAAACAACCATCATGAAATGAATGACTTCATCTCCTCATTAAAATGCTTCATCATATAAACTAAACTACTATCAGAAATAAAGTTTCTTCAAAAACAGTGTGATATAGTTTCAAAACACTTAAATTCCAATGCTAAAAATACATCATAAGAAAAAAGACTGGGCACAGTGGCGTACACCTATAATTCCAGCACTTTGGGAGGCCAAGATGGGTAGATCACTTGAGTTCAGGAATTCGAGACCAGCCTGGGCAACATGGTAAAACCGTCTCTACCAAAAATACAAATAATTAGCTGAGTGTGGTAGGTGCGTGCCTGTTGCCCCAGCTAATTGGGAGGCTGAGGTGGAAGGATCGTTTGAGCCCGGGAGATGGAGGTTGCAGTGAGCCAAGACTGCATCTCTGCACTCCAGCCTGGGTGACAGAGTAAGACCCCATCTCCAAATAAAAAAAAAAAAGAAAAGAAAAGAAAAGTAAAAAAAGAAAGCATTTGTGCTCTTTAGCATCTTAGTACTCTAATATTGATTTAAAACACATTAAAATTAAGCACTAGGTAAAAAAGGGTTAAAACAGATTTAGCATATGATGTCAAATATGGTTCCTGAGCCAAAGTGCTTTTTTTAAAGGCAGGCACTATATGCATTTTATCTCCTGGACTTAATTTGTGTTTTGCTATGCTCAACAATTTTAATGCCAAGAGGAAGAAACTAAGTGAGAAAGGGAATGCGCTGGCCAGAACCTAGAGAGTTGATCTAATTGAACTGAAAAACTTAAAACCCTTCTCCATCTGTTCAGTACACCTGCTGATGGAGCACTAGCCCAGGTAGGGAGGAAATCCATCAGAGGCCAGTTATAAATAGACTTTTATTTCATCTGCTAAGAGCTTGGCAGCTGAGGTGGGAGGGCTGCCTACATTGGCAGCCAGGCAGAAGCTCTGGGCTGCTTTTATGTTGAGGTAAAAGGAGTGGAGAGACAGAGAACTAAAAAAAAAAAATTTCCCAACAACTCATTTGACAACCAACCACCAGTCATTAGTTTGTTTAAAACGTGCCAGGCATTTCTGATAAGTGCTAGAGACCTGCAAAGATCCATCACACCCCCTCGTGAGGACTGCACAGAATCTAATGGGAAACAGCCTCGCCAATTGCTCACAGGCCAAAGTTTCTACGTGCAAACTTCCTCGGGGTGTTTATAAAATGAATCAAGAGAAGAGGGCATGAATAATATGACAGTGCCTTAACTTTCTGAGGATGGGGTCAATGTAAACTCTAAATGTACCAAAATATAAATCAGGAAAAAAAAGTCTTTGTGGAAGAGAGGAACCAGCAGTTCTAATCCACAGACTATCGCAAGGACTGTAACTGGCAGGTGACATTCAGGCTCCTCCTTCTAGGTGCAAGTCAGTGGGAGTCACTCCTCTTCACATCCCATCAGCCACTAGGGTGGTACCTCCCACCTAATGAGGGCTCAACAAACAGGAGTTAATGTGAATGAATCAACAGCCAGGGAAATCATGAAAGGATCTTGCCCTGTGAGTGAAAATGGAACCAATGGGTATCTCCAGGAAGGCCTGATGTGAATGTTTGCAACAGAGACTTAAGAACAAACGTCAGAGATTATATGTCCAAATAGAACCACTGAGAACGGGGGTGTAAAGGAGAAAAAATTTATATTTCTCTCACTTGCAGAAGTCTGGGCTAAGGGAGGCCTCCCTCATACCCTTCAGGAACATTAAGTATATTATCAAGAAGACAACGACCCCTATATTCTGTCACCACCAAGGACAACAAAAGAAATGGGAGTGATTGGTGGGAAGGGACAGCTGGGTTAAATATGAGGAAGAATTTCCTGACAGCAAAGGTCATTAAACACTGTAAAGGCAAACTAAAGGAGATTAGGGATGCTCTCTCTGGAGGTCTTTAAAAAGTAGAATCACTTAGCAATATCCGGGGATAATTTAGGTACAGTTCTGCCCACTCCTCTGGCCTTTTTCAGTGCTCTAATTCATCCCCTGGCCCGGACAAGACAGGCTCACCACGGTAAACTACTGTCACACTCTGTTCCATAACAAGCTCTCAGAAGGAGAATAAGCATTAAGAAAATGACGAAAGCTCTCTTGGAAGTAAAACTCATTTTTCTTTATTTAAACAGCATGTTGGGTTTTTGTGGTTTTCTTTTGCTTCTTTTTCCTTTTTTAAAAATGCTTACATACAGAAATAGCTAAACAAAACTCAACTACACTGATCTGTTATTGAAAAGCATTAGAAGGAATCCAGGTGGAAGATGAAACAGGAATGTTCTGAGTCAGAGACGCACAGAATATCTCATTATGGACCTCTTTGCTAGGCACTGAGTACGAGTACCACAAGGACTGCTGCCCAGAGATTCTAGCATCTATTTCTCAGGAGGTCAGAAAAGGAGATTTTCATCGGTTTGGTTACAAGGAGGCAAACTAAATGACCTCTAAGACACTAAAACTCTAGAGTGTTTATTTTTCAGAGTGCTATACTTAAGTGTTAAATTAAAAAAAAAAACACTCATGAAACTCTCATATTCTGAAAGATCCATGTTCTCTAAAAAATGTGAATTTTGATTCTCCCTCTGAGTTGCAGAGGGACAAGAAGGTGAGGAAAAGCAGGATCCTTTCTCCTCTCCTAACAGTCACTGCGCTTGGCCACATTTACTGATCTGTAGTCCTTCACCACTGTATCATCAGCTGGGTGATGGCAGCGGTTATCTGTGTTCTATCCATGATGTGGCCTCATCACTCAGCACTGAGGGACTCAGAGACTAAATGAATAATGGGCTGACAGCTGCATGGATGGACGGATGGGGTAGATGGTTGCGTAGGTGGGTGGGAAGGTGGATAGATGGGGTAGGTGAATGGGTAGGTGGGTAGAGGGGTAGGCGGGTGGAGGGAAGGGGTAGGTGGGTAGGTGCGTGGGTAGTTAGGTGGGTGGGTGTGTGAGTGGGTAGGTAGGTGGGTGGGTAGCAGACAGAAGGAATGACCTAAGGACACATTCCCAAGGGTGTATGGAGAGGCTACCATAAAAGCACCAACTTACTATATTCTCCTGGTGGTCCCATGACAGAGTGAACAAATGTGAAATCACAAGAAGCACAACAAATCTGGAAGCAGAGGACTTGATTTAAACTCTAGCATTGCTACTAACAAGCCCAGGCACTTCACTTCTCTGGGCCTCTATTTCCTCACCTGAAACGTGTGTGGTGTGTGTGTCTGCCAGTCTCTCTCACAGAGTTGCACTGACTTAGATAACCTAGAGAAAACAGGGTTTGTAATTAAACAACAGTCATTATTTTCATATACTCTTTATTGAAGTTTTCCTTAAAACTTTTAAACAGTAGAGGAATGGTGCAGAGACGGTGACTGGAGCCAAATGCTGATTCCAGGTAAGAATTCAGTAAGTGGAGAAAGAAGGAAATATCAAAGCTAGCCAATGAGAGGACATTTCACTGGTTCCTATATGCTGAAGGGAGGCTCACTCCCTGCAGTAAATGGCAAACGAGTACAATAAGGCCAACTGGAATTGACTGAGCAAAGCGTATGGCCACTGTCCTTAAGAAAGTCAAGTCTGTGAGAACCATACCTCAAGGTCTGACTTCCACGTTTGGGTTTGCAAGCCCACTCTTCCCTCAGCTGTTAGTATCTGCCCAGAACCTCACCTATGACTGTGGCAAACCATCAGCAGACACGCAGTGGTGCCAAATGTTTGAACAACCAAGGAGGGTTCCTATAGGATTGTGGAAAGAGTATCCTTTCCGATTCCAATTTTAAAACAGATGTATAATTACTAAAGCAATTTCATATACATGGTTACTAGCAGGGAAAGAGGGAGTGCTGCCTAAAATACTCCACAGCCGCCTGGTCCTCCTGGTTTCTATATCTTCTGTGTGTTCTTTTGTTTTGCAAAGTGATTTGGAAGATTAGGTGGGTTTTGTTTAGACGGGACAGCATGAGCAAAGTCGGTGAATAAGTGCTACTTGATTGCACAACAAAAGATACACAAGGAGCCTCAGCCACAACTCAATCCACTTGCCCCAACAGTGTGCATTTCTCAATTAAGTTATTTTGTTAGCAAGACTACTGGTTAGGGGAAGGAGAAAGTGCTTATTGCACCGAGATTATTCACTGTATAGAAAGCACTATAATCAGATCAACAGAACATTCTTTCTAAGGGCCCTAGAACTCCTATTTGGTAACATTGCAGATGCAATGGGAATGTGCCTACATTATCGGTGTGCTATAGCAGTCCCTGCAAATAATAGAGTAAAACTCCACAATACTCTTTAATTCAATGATGGATGCCTGGGGACTAAGAATCTGCCTGACATTTCAAGTTGACCAAAAGTTTACATGGAAAATGAGAAACTTTTTCCTCTAGATGTTAATTAAGGAGATAAAATTCTGATGCATTCTAAGAAATTAGTCCCATTAGCCCTCTCTGCCTCATCGGAAAGCATGGATTGTAAGCATGTATTATTACTAAAATCACTTCTGAAAATGAAAAATGAAAACATTCCAATTTTTCAAACATATTCCATAGTTAATTTCCAAAGTTGCCATAAGGAAAATGAGAAAAAAAAAGATTGAGAAGGTATCTTCGATGAGCATAACAAAGGATTAGTTAATATGATACAAATTAGTAAGAATAAAACAACTCAAAAGAATACTGTGCAAAGCATATGAATACAGAATGCACAGAAAAGGAAATCTAAATTACCAATATTAAAAGATGTTCAATCTCACTAAGTAATCAGCTATACCAATAAACGTAACAGCAAAATATTCCTTGCCCATGAGATTGACAAGAATTTTAAAGTCTGGTACTACCAACTGTTGGTGAAGATACAGTGAGACAAGAACATTGATACTCTAGCACAGGAATATAAATGGGTACTGGAAACCAAAAATAAAATTCTAAGCCCCTCTCAACCATCTGAATGGACCTCTCCTCTTGGCCAAGGGCATTCCAAAGTCAACCTGAAAACCCAGTTCAGGCTATGATGTGAAGGGGGGTTGGACATGCCTCATTATATCCGTCTCCCTTTTGGAATTCAGGAAAAGCAGGCCAGCATTAATATCAACACAGACCTTAAGTCTGATAAGAAACATTTACAATCTATTCTCTCTGAAACCTGCTACCAGGAGGCTTCAACTGCATGATAAAACCTTGGTCTCCACAACCCCTTAGCATAACCCAGCCATTCCTTCTTATTGAGGATAATTCTTTCAACCAGTCGCCAATCAAAATTTTTATATCTACCTATGACCTAGAAGCCCCTGATTCAAGTTGTCCTGCCCTTCCAGATCAAACCAGTGTACATCTTACAGGTATTGAATGATGTGTTTTACGTCTCCCTAAAAGGTATAAAACCAAGCTGTACCCCCATCACCCTGGGCACATGTCAGGACCTCCTGAGGCTGTGTCACAGATGCATCCTTAACCTTGGCAAAATAAACTTTCTAAATTGATTGAGACCTGTCTCAGATACTTTTGGGTTCACATTACAAATACTTGGGAGAATGGCGTGGCATTACTGAGTAAAGCTGAAATATTCAGAAACTGGGCTCCATTTCTAAGTCCTCCTCTAGAGATCACCCAGATGTGTAGGAGGGTCATGACAGCATGGGTAGCACAAAGCAGATCCCTAAACGCCCATCCACAGAAGAATGGCTACGCTAAAATGAGACACTCTACAGCCTCATACCCACATTAGCAATAGAGATAACGCTCAGAAATATCTAATTTCATTTGCAAAAGGATAGCAACAGTTTAAAATATTTTATCAAAGTTTTTAAACATGTAAAATATATTGTTTATGGCTACATGTATACGCTGTAATTCCAGAAAAATGTGCATGAAAGTGTTCTACACCAATTTCAGACGTGAGAGAGAGTAAGGCTTTAGTTATATCCTTAATTTTTTTTTTTAACATCTGAGGAAAATAAATATGGCATTTGTCACTTCTGAATAATGGGTATATGGGTATTCATTCTACTTTATTTAATACTTTGCTATCTATTTGAAGGTCTTCGATATTTAAACAATTTTAAAGCATTTTAAATATATATATATATAAAACAGTCTATTGGAATAAACAGCTGAAAAGCATACAGAATTAGGTACATTATCTTTATCCATCATCCTCATGTGTCTGGAGAAACTAACTAGATAATTGTCTCCCATGTTTATGATACCTATCAGCTAAATTGCTTTCAGGCACATTATCTCACTTAATATTCTGAACAACCCTTTGATATTGGTATTATGACAGCCACTTCACTTATAGGAAAAGTCAACCTTTAGAGTTTTGGAGATTTTCCCAAGATTATCCAGTTAGTAAGTGATGCAAAACTGGGATCTCACTGTCAATGCTACAGCACAGATGACCCGTAAGAACCCTGACAATATATTATTCCAAAGTTACATGCATCATCTTTAAGATCTGTCCTGAAGCTACAGGTTTGAATTCACAAATGAAACAGAATACTTTATCACTGACATTTTTAAAGCCTTCAGTCAAATCTGTTTCTTCTGACTATTTTTAATATACTGACCTCTTCTAAAAATAAGTTGCAAAAGTCTGATAAAACCTCGCATGTTAATAACCAAAAAAATGGAAATCTTACCCAGGTAGCGTATTCTCTCCTTTTAAAAATAATTTTTCTAAATTAATAAAGTAGAAACTACAATGTCATCTCTTATATTCTTTTATTCAATGTGCTAGTGGTAAACACATACTAATCTCTGGGTAGCTAGTGATTAAAGAAGGCTCAGTCCCTAATTTGAGAATGTAACTAT